>NC_000006.12:42181212-42484242 GCF_000001405.40 Homo sapiens | reverse complement strand
TTTAAAGAGAGCAATTCTATTATTAATCAGGATGAGAGCTGTTTTAGGTCAGAAGGAAAACATTTTCAAGCTTTAACAAATAGCTGTTTAGAATTTATCATGTACTATATCTGACACTGCTGGAGACACCATGATTTAACAAGCTGGTCTGCCCTTAAGGAGATGGACGAGAGAAGAAGTGGGTTTGACTATATTAAACAACAATGGCTTAAACATAAAAGGCTTATTCATTTACAGAAAAGAAGTCTAGAGGAGATAGTCCGGGAATGTAAGAGTGGCTCTACAAAGCCATTGGATACTGGGCTCGTTCCATCTTTCTCCTCCATTGTTCTTAGTCAGTGGCTTCCATCCTGAAGTTTACCCGATGGTCCAAGACAGCTTTCTTAGCTCCTTTCTTCATCCCTCTTCACCTCAGGCAGCAGGAGTGTGAAAGCAGGAGAGGACAAAATGTCCGGCCTTCCTGAAGAATCTGCTCCCCTTAAGCAATCTTCCTGTAAGTTCTAATGTTTTTTAGAACTTATATCTTTTTTTTTTTTTCAGATGGAGTCTTGCTCTGCCACCCAGGCTGGAGTGCAGTGGCACAATCTTGGCTCACTGCATCCTCCTCCTCCCGGGTTCTAGCAATTCTTCTGCCTCAGCCTCCCACGTAGCTGGGATTACAGGCGGGCACCACCACACCCGGCTAATTTTTGCATTTTTAGTAGAGATGGGGTTTCACCATGTTGGACAGGCTGGTCTTGAGCTCCTGACCTCAAGTGATCTGCCCACCTCAGCCTCCCAAAGTGCTGGAATTACAGGCATGAGCCACTGTGCCCTGCCAAGAACTTAACATCTTATTGATCAGAATGTATTGACGTTACTGTACTTGGCAAGGGAGATTAGAAAATGCAATTTTTATGTGGTTGTTTGCCACCCTGAATAATTGGGATTCTGTTACTAAAAAGCAGGGAAGAATGAATTTTTGGATGGCAACTTATAATTTCTGCCTAAAGAAGTTAGAATTTACCTGGAGAAATAAGAACCTGTAGGCTTGAAAAGACAATTAATAATGTATTTAAAGGGCCAGGCAGTGAGCGGCAGAGAAGTTTGGTGGAGGAGGAGAAGGTGTCCAGGCCTCCCAAGAAATACTTCTTAGGACAACCAGGATTTGATCTCCCTTTTGAGGATGTGTAGAATTCATAGTTACAAAAAACTAGGAGGCCATCTCAGCAGGAGTTGCTGACCTGAGCAGAAGCCCCAAGGCTGGGCAGAGCAGATCTGCTCTGGGCAGGACCATCAGCGACCAACTGGACCAGACATTGGGCTGGGGCATAATGGAGTCTTAGGCTAGATGGGAAGGAGTATTGACTGCTTTTTAAAAATCACCCAAAGCAAAAGTTCCAAGACCTCTTTTCTAGGATAAAATATGAGCACTGAATTTGTTTCCCTGTTCCTGGAATTGACACTCTTGTATTCTCTATACAACTCATACCAGCAGAAATGATCGAAATATTTACTCCAATGAATTCCCCTAATTTTGGACTGTCCAAAATAGTACAAAGAGTGTAACCAGTGAATATATGACAACAGCAATAAAAATAAATGCATGAGAAGCCCAAGACCACAGTCCAAGGCTATTATTCATTAAATGAGAGGAGAAAAAGTCTACAAATAAAGCGTTCTGGGTCTTTTTCCTAAATATTAATTGTTTATTTCATGATTCTTTTCCAATCTAAACAGACCTTAAGCTGCCCCTTCTTAATATGCTCCCATAAAGGATTATAAACCAGAGAGGAGCTTGGTTTAAACAAAGTAATCAGAAAGTAAGCAATCTTCTCTTTCTCTCTGGCTCGCAGCTTGTTTTGTCTGTTAGGAAACTTTTCTCTTTAGTGTGCAGATCTCAAGGTCAAACAGAGGTCACCCTTCTGCTTTTTGAGGTATGGGTGCTTTCACATTATTTGCTCATTTTTATTGCTGAGAATAACCATCCATTTGCCTAAATAACTGGGGCCTCCCCAACACAAAGACTTGAGGGTGGACACTGGCAGGGGGTTTAATCTCATTCAGTGCAAAGCAAACAAGTTCAAATCTCATTAAATGGTGGACAAATGCAGCAAGAATACAAACATTTCCAATTTAGAAAAGGAAGATAGAAATATGACACAGAAGTATTCTAATCATTTAGTAGAATAAATCGTACCAACATGATACTAAAACTGTCAACTTGGTGGAAAAAAGGATAAAACTCCATTAATAATACAACAGCAATGCTTACTTTTTCACATGAGGAAAATTCCATTAAAACAAACAGCCTGGGGCTTTCAAATTGCTTTTGTTCAAGATCAGTGGAATATTGTTATAAAGACCATATTGCTAGCAATGACATTTTGGATCTGAAGATGAAACTTAGCTGATTTTTTAGGGTGAACCAGGAGAGATGGGGTAGTTGCACAAAGGGCTATATGTGAATAACCCCCTTTATGCAAATTTTAAAAATGTAGACCCAACGAGATTCTGTGACTCATGCATGTAATCTTAGCATTTTGGGAGGCTGAGGTGGGAGGATCACTTAAGCCCAGGAGGCTGCAGTGAGTTGTGATCGTGCCACTGTATTCCAGCGGGGGCGACACAGTGAGACCCCATCTTAAGGAAAAAAAAAAAAAGAAGAAATAGACCCTTCACGTGGGTTCACAGCTTGGTTAGAATAGGGCAGGCTGGAATTCAATCCCACTTGTCCCTGCAGCGAGGGGATAAATTGTACAGCCTTTGCAGAGGCCTTGGTTGCACACGATTGTCCTTTGAAGGCCTGTTTATAAATTAGCTTTCTGGGCAAGGTGCAGTGGCTCACGCCTGTAATCCCAGCACTTTGGGAGGCCAAGGCGGGCGGATCATGAGGTCAGGAGATCGAGACTAGCATGGCCAACATGGCGAAACCCTGTCTCTACTAAAAATAGAAAAAATTAGCCGGGCGTGGTGGCTGATGCCTGTAATCCCTCCCAGCTACTCGGGAGGCTGAGACAGGAGAATCACTTGAACCCGGGAGGCGGAGGTTGCAATTGCCACTGCACTCCAGCCTGGGCTACAGAGAAAGACTCTGCCTCAGAAAAAAATAAAAAATAAAAATAAAATAAATTGGCTTTCTGGAATTTGTTTCTTGAGCCATTATGGCATAGGCCTCACTGTATGAAACCTTTTAAATTACACATAAAATTTCCCATTTCAGGATTTGGACTAATGCTTTCCCCCGACCCCCCTGCCCCCAGTTTTTAAAGTACTTTAGATTCATCCTACAAAGGTTTGAGCTCTCGACCCCTCCCCACCTACCCAACTATGACATAATTATGGTGCATCTGGCCAGATATTGTACAAAGTCTGCCATAGGCCTTGTCTATACGGTCAGAATTCTCAACTGACATATGCTCTCCGAAGGTGCTGTCTTAACTTAGGTTCCCTTAAAAGCAGACCTAAAGAAAAGGGTTTTGATATAAGTAGTTTATTTCAGAGGTGGTCCCAGGAAGCACAGTGAGAGGCTGGGGAATTGAGACAAGAAAATAGGAAATGTCGATAAAGGATGCATCAGTGAGCAGGCTACTGCTGTGGGCAACTGAGGCCCAATCCCGCTAGGGACTCTCTGAAAGACAGTGCAAAACACAGCTCAGAATTGTCCAGCTAGGGCTGTGCATGGTGGCTCACACCTGTAATCCCAGTACTTTGGGAGGCTGGGGCGGGCAAATCACTTGAGGTCAGGAGTTCGAGACCAACCTGGCCAACATGGTGAAATCTGGTTTCTGCCAAAAAATACAAAAATTAGCCGGGCGGGGTGGCACGTGCTTGCAGTCCCAGCTACTCGGGAGGCTGAGGCAGGATAACTGCTTGAATCCAGGAGGCAGAGGTTGCAGTGAGCTGATATTGCACCACTGCACTCCAGCCTGGGCCCCAGGGCGAGACCCTGTCTCAAAAAAGAATTGTCCAGCCAGGACAAGGAAGCTGAGGTATTTATTCCCCAACTCCCACCCTTGTTGATTTATTATTGCTCCTGGGAGCAAGGATTGACATAGTATTGAGCCAGAGAAGGCTAAGAGGTGGAAGAAGCAGGTACTTGGGATATGAAACCATTGGTGTGCACAAGAACTTCCACCAAAGCTGGTGGTTTCCCAGGTGGTCTGAGGGGCTATGGATGGCACATTGACAACAGCTCCCTCCCAAGTTGCCCCCTGCATATCTGATGCTAATGTGGCTCCTGGTGGTCTCTGCCCTCTTTACCTCACTAGATGTGTGGGGGCAGAAAAAGCTTGAGAGCCGTTTGTGTACTGAGTGGCTCTTCAGACCTCACTCATGTTCTTAGGATATGTTCTTTCTCCCCATTTTCTTCCTACATCAGTGCCTTCTACTCATTCACATATAATTAAACACACAGAAATGAATCCTATTTGCACAGCATATCGATTTTCTCAGGGTTTGCTTTTGAGCAAACCAAAATGAAGAGGCTGCTCCTAGATGGAGATGCCAATAAGAATAAAGAAGCTCCAGCAGCCTTGAGAACAAAGGGAATTTCTATCCCAGCACTCAGCCAGTTCCCATACTCCTGCATTGGGTTGGGAAGTTCTGGGCCTAGATCTTCTTGGTCACCAAGTCCTGCTGATATGCTTTTGTACCAGTGGTTCTAACTTTTCTGTGGTTGGGAACCCCTTTGAGAATCCAATGAGAACCATGGATTTGCGCCCTAGAATCATGTGCAAATACACACACACATAGATACATTATTTTCCTACAGTTTTAGGGGATCCATATAACCCCAGAAGCTCCTCTGGGATGTTCTGACACTTAAGCAATGGTTTCGTGTGTCCATTTTTCTTCATCGGATGTGTCGATTTCTCCTCATTTCTATAGCCCAAATGCCTTAGTTGGGTTTGCCTGGCGTCCTGATTCTGTCTTTGACATGATACAATGAATTGATGAAGAGCCAGACAGTTAGGGATCAATCATCCCAACTGTGCTACACATTAGCTGCTTGCCTTTGGGCAAGTCTCTTAGCTCCTTGGTGTGTTGGTTTCCTCATCTGTACAATGAAGATAGCAAGAGTCCTCACCGTGTTATGAGGGTCAAAGTGTTAGTAAATGTAAAACTCATGACTGTCTTAGTCTATTTTGTGCTGCTATAGCAAAATATCTGAGACTGGATAATTTATAACCACTCAAAATTTATTTTCTGACAATTCTGGAAGCTGAGAAGTCAAAGATTAAGGCACCTGCAGATTCATGGTCTGGTGAGAGTCTAGTCTCTGCTTCCAAGATGTTGCCTTGAATGCTCCATCCTCTGGAGGGGAGGAATGCTCTGTGCTCACATGGACAAAGGCAGAAGGCAAGAGAGCTGAACATGGGTGAAGCCTCTCCTTACTCAATCTCATTCACAAGGAGCCCTCATGGCCTAATTACCTCTTAAATGCCTCACCTCTCAGTACTATTACATTGGCAACCTCTACACTTTGGAGGGGACACATTCAAACCATAGCAAAGAGTGCCTGGCACATATCAACTGTCACGTACATGTGAGCTATTGTAGTTGTTATTTAGATGGAGGCCATTGCTTTGGAAAGTAGGGTGACATAATGGAAAGAGTCAATCAACAATGGGTACAAATCTTTCCTCTCTCAATTACCAACTGTGTGATTTTGAGAAAAATAAGTTTTATTAAAAATTCTTTTGGCCTAAATTTCTTTATCAAGGTCACTGGCTATCTATAAATATTTCGTACTGTCCCTTTTTCTATGCCAAAATGAAATTCATGGGTAATATGATCATTCTACACATAAAATTTTAGAAGTAAGTGTAGTATAATAAACAAATATAAAAAAGAAATGATGACAGGAGAACAGTTGATCATTAAAATGCTCAGGCCTCACTATAATAGAAGTCATAATGCAGTTGTCAGATGCTTGCACCTATATGTAGAATCACTGTGAAGATGATAATTCAATAGTAGATTGGTATCGGTGTGTGGCTTGTATTGGTGATTTAAATACCATGATCAGTATTGTTGGGTGGTAGATTTTTTTTTTTTTTAAATCTGTCAAAGAGTTAACCACACTTGGTAAAGTTCTCAACAACAACAACAACAACAACAACAACAACAACACACCATAGTTAGAAATGTCCCTCAATTTAAATAGCAGTTTACATTCCTGGAAAAATCAGTGCAAACCTGTGACAAAACACTTTGTGGTTACACAGAAAACAGAGTTAGATTTTAGGTTTAATTATTATAAGAAGGCTTTTCACTCATATAAATATCCAGCAGGACTTTTGAAAGTCGTTTGCAGTGGACAAGAGAAATTCTTTGTTGCGTAGGACTGTCCCATCCATTGAAAGAAGTGTAGCACCCCGTTCCCAGCCCACTCATGCCAGTAATGCCAACCCCCCAATCATTGTGATCATCAAAAACTCACCCAAAATGTCCTAAACACACCCAAGTAGGGATGTACATTTCTTGTTAATAACCACAGGGTTAACTAGTCTTGAATCAAAAAAGCCCAAAAACCCAGGACCAGAAAAAGTCTTCCTCAGTCAAGATATTACTACAGCCTCTCCATGGGACTTCAGTTTCGTGGGAAGAAAACAGGGCTGATGAGACAGTTGGCCAGGGATGGCACTGGAAAGAAGCCCAAGGAAGGCAAATAGTACCTCCAATCTTCCCCTCACTCCATCTGCTCCCTTTGCAGGGCTATTTCCAATTTCTCCTTCCTCACAGGCTTTTTCCTTATCCAAATTCTCTTTCAGAAATGGAGATGATACAGGGATTTATGTCTTGGTGCAAATATATACTAATTTATGTCTTTCAAAGCCAAGTGGCCTATGAGAATGTAAAAAGATGCACATCACTAGAAATTAAGGTAATGAAAAATTTATAACAATGATGAGATACTATTTCATACTCACCAAACTGGCAAAAAATTTTTTTAAAAAATCTAACAATGCCAAATCTCAGGAAAAGGTGGAATTATTGGTGCAATCACTTTGGGGAGCAATTTGATTTCATCTATTAAGATTGGAAATGCTCATATCCCACAACCCTGGAAGTCTACTCCTAGATATATACCTTAGAGAAACACTATTTGGTTGCATCAGACGATTTGTGTGTTTGTGGCAGCACTGCTTTTAACAGCGAAAAAACTCAATTGAAAACATTTAAATGTCATCAATAGAAGAACAGATTCACATATCATCATATATTCATACACAGGAATATTATAGAGCAGTTATAATGATGAATCGCAGCTTTGTGTCTGCACAATGATAAATCTTAAAAACAAAACAGAAAAGCTAATTGCAGGGTATATAGAACATGATACCATTTAAATAGTTTAAAATCCTGTAAAACAATACCATATATTGTTTATAGATACATGAATAAAAGCATAAAACATGTATAAGAATAATTAATACCAACTTCATGATCTGGGTTATCTGTAGAGAAGAAGAATGAGGCTGGGAAGAGGATACACAGAAAACCCTCAGTTGTATCTACAATGTTTTTATTCTTTTAAAAAATTCTGAAAGAAATGTGACAAAATGTTGAGATTTAATTTGATATAGATAGTGCTGGATATACTAGGTAGTCATGATATATTTTACATATTTCTATGAGAAATATTCCATGATAAAATAATTTTAAAAACTGATCTCTAAGGGGTATTTTTATTCTTTTTTTTTTTTTTTTTTTTTTTTTTTTGAGATAGAGGCTCGCACTGTCACACGGGCTGGAGTGCAATGGCACGATCTCAGCTCACTGTAACCTCTGTCTCCCGGGTTCAAGAGATTCCTCCTGCTTTAGCCTCCCGATTAGCTGGGATTACAGGCACCTGCCACCACGCCTGGCTAATTTTTTGTACTTTTAGTAGATATGGGGTTTCACTATGTTGGTCAGGCTGATCTTGAACTCCTGACCTCGTGATCTGCCCGCCTCAGCCTCCCAAAGTGCTGGGATTACAGGTGTGAGCCACCGCACCTGGCCTTTTTTATTCTTTATTTAACAGATTCTTTTTGACCTTCTGGACACCAGATGCTGAAACAGAGAGTTCAACACGGAACAGGATACAAGCCCAGACTTTAGATAGTGCTTCTCAAACTTTACTGTGCATTAGTGTCACTTGAAGGCTTGTTAAAACACAGAATGCTGGGCCCACTCCCAGAGTTTCTGATTCAGTTGGTCCAGGATGGGGCTTGAGAATTTGCATTTCTAAACAAGTTCCCAGTTGATGCTGATGCTGTTGCTGGTTGGGGGAACCATACTTTTTTTTTTTTTCTTTTTTTTGAGACAGAGTCTCGCTCTATTGCCCAGGCTGTAGGGCAGTGGCACAATCTCGGCTCACTGCAACCTCTGCATCCCGGGTTCAAGCAATTATCCTGCCTCAGCCCGCTGAGTAGCTGGGATTACAGGCGCACACCACCACGCCCAGCTCGTTTTTGTATTTTTAGTACAGATGGGGTTTCACCATGTTGGCCAGGCTGGTCTTGAACTCCTGACCTCAGGTAAACCTCCCACCTCAGCCTCCCAAAGTGCTGGGATTACAGGCATGAGCCATGGAGCCCTGCCCATGGAACCACACTTCTTAAGTCAATTGACATTCCTGTGGAAGGACAGATTTCATTCATGCTATAAGGATCCCAAAAACTGATGAGAAGTATTTTCTGACCAGCATGCTTGACCAGGTCTCTAAAGGCACACTTATTTTGTTGCCTGCCCTAAGCCAAAAGAAACATCAGTAAGTGCAACTCTTGCTTTTCTTTCTTGTGGTTGTGTATATTTCAATTCATTCCATTAATATCTTAGCTCTCTTGGGCCAAATATCCTTACTGATTGGTGTATATTGTATATAAAACGTTAACAGTAGTTATTCTTGGATGATGGAATTATGGATAACTAAAACTTTTTCTAGGCTCGGCACAGTGGCTCAGATCTGTAATCCCAGCATTCTGGGAGGCTGAGGCAGGTGAATTGCTTTGGCTAAGGGGTTCCAGACCAGCTGGGTAACATAGTGAAACCCTGTTTCTACAAAAAAAAAAAAATAACAAAACTCAGCCAGATGTGGAGGCATGCACTTCTAGTTCTAGCTACTCAGGAGGCTGAGACAGGAGAATAACTTGAGCTGGGAGATCGAGGCTGCCGTGAGCCACGATCACACCACTGTACTCCAGCCTGGGTGACAAGGCAAGACCCTGCCAAAAAAAACAAAAAAAAGTTATTTTTGTTTGTCTGTATTATCTAACAGTTCCATAACAGAACAAATGTTAATTATATAAGGATAAATTATACTTGAAAGTAAAATACATATATATCAAGCTGTGCTAGGGTCTGTGATGAGGAGAGAGATGCTAAGGAGTAGAATACTAATTATGAGTAAGTTCTTGCCTTTAGAAACTTTATGATCTAATTCAGAAGATAGAACATACATTTGAAAAGTATTTAGGCTGGGTGTGGTGGTTCATGCTTGTAATCCCACCACCTTGGGAGGCCAAAGCAGGTGGAACACTTGAGGCCAGGAATTCAAGACCAGCCTGGCCAACATGGCGAAACCTCATCTCAACTAAAAATACACAAGTTAGCTGGGTGTGGTGGCACGCACCTGGAATGCCAGCTACTCAGGAGGCTGAGGCAGAGAATCGCTTGAACCTGGGAGGCGGAGGCTGCAGTGAGCTGAGATTGTGCCACTGGACTCCAGCCTGGGAGCAAGCAATCCAGAGCAAGATTCCATCTCAAAAAAAAAATAAAAAAGTATTTAGTGATAAAATAAGACAAGCTGTTCAGGAAACAATGTTCATTGAAATGTATAGTTGGCAGGTACTTCCAAATGAAAAAATGATTGGGATGAGTGGCCCTAGAAGGGGCATGTGAACCCAGCTTTAGATGACAAACCAGCTTGGCATCTTCCAGAGCCTAGGCAGAGGGTTAGGAAGGATGCCAGGGCCTCTGTAAATTCCCACAGTGCCTCCACTACACACAGCAGGTGTTGAGTGAACACTGTTGACCGAGCAAGGTGAAGAACTGAACAATTATCGTATGCAGATAGAAACTTTACTTGGGCACAAGTACACACTCAGCATAATAGTGGCTCATGCCCCTCTTAGACTGTGGCCAGAATCTACAAAAACAGAAACGAAAATTAATTCCATTGTGCATTTATGACCAGTCAAGTATGGAAAGAAAGTCTGTAATCTTCTCCTTTTATGTGATTTCTACATTGATGATGACATCCCAAAAGTGCTTCTATGAGTTTGCAAAGAAAGACCCCTTTGAACTGGACACACCTTTAGCTGTGGTCTCCACTTTTGCCCTTAAGATGGGAAAGTTATGTGTGGGTTATTGGTCTTCTAGTTTCTCTGCTCAAAACCATACTTACCCTAAAGGAGTATCTCTTCCTTTCTTTTATGTTTGGGTTGTTAATATTTTTCTGTGTTAAAAAAAAAAATGCTCACGTCTGTATTCCCAGCACTTTGGGAGGCCGAGGCGGGCGGATCACCAGGTCAGGAGATCGAGACCATCCTGGCTAACATGGTGAAACCCCGTCTCTACTAAAAATACAAAAAATTAGCTGGGCATGGTGGTGGGCACCTGTAGTCCCAGCTACTCGGGAGGCTGAGGCAGGAGAATGGCATGAACCTGGGAGGCGGAGGTTGCAGTAAGCTGAGATCGCGCCACTGCACTCCAGCCTGGGCAACGGAGGAAGACGCCATCTCAAACTCCTGACCTCGTGATTCGCCCGGAGGAAGACGCCATCTCAAACTCCTGACCTCGTGATTCGCCCGCCTCCCAAAGTGCTGAGATTACAGGCGTGAGCTACCACACCCGGCCCGACGCCATCTCAAAAAAAAAAAAAAAAAAAAAAAAGGCTCAGAGACTTCTACTTCTGGATAAGATGGAATAACAGCTACTGGATTTACCCTTCTGCCTTAAAATGCTAACAAAATAGATAAAAACATATGAAAAAGTAGGGGCAGAGGTAGGAGGGAGGTACAGAGGGGGCTGGATGGAGGAATTACAGAGGGGCATGGGGAAACTTTTGAGGGTGATGGAGGAAATTTTGGGGTTGACAGATATATTCATTATCTTGGTGGTGGTGGTACTTTTGCAGGTATATACTTATTTCAAAGCTCATCAATATGGGCAGTTTATTATACCTCAATGAAACGATTTAAAAAGTACTAGAGGGAAAAAATAATACCTTGGAAGCGAATAGCACAGATACCATTTAAAAAATATTCTCGTGCTAATCATTGAATATTTTTTTCCTTTTAGCAGATTTTTAAAGTCACTGTTAAGCAGAGGTGAATATACAGTGGGAAATACTCCACTGTTATTTAATGGGATAATTTACCCTCCTTGTATCACATGTGTTAATACTGTTAAGCACAGGTAGATATTCTGTGACACCAACGAAGTTTAACCTTCTGGACCTTCGCAGAGTTCTTTCCAAAGTCCTGTGCCTAACTTTTTATTTCTAGTTATGTTTCCTTTTTTTTTTTTTTTTTTTAAGAAGCCCGAAATTGTGTAAGATTCAAGCTCCACAAAACCTGGATCCAATCCTTGTGTTAAGTGAGCTAAAGAAGTGTTACGTGAGCAAATTGTTCCCATTGCTCATGGATGTTCATTTCCTGCCTCCTTCAACAGCAATCCAGAATTGAGCAGGCAATGTAGTGGAGGAGAGCTTTGCCTTAGGTGCTCTCTGTGGCCAAGCCTTGTGGAATTTCAGTTCCAACACCTCCAGAGAAGGGGCATTGAAAAGGTCATGGAAGTGTGATTTGTTTTTACTACATTTGGGCCACATTTCATACTGTTTCTGAGTAAGACACCGTTGTTCTTGTAAAATGTATCCTTGTTCTTCCTCTCTTCCAACTCAGATCCCACCAGCACCTCAGTTGCCTTCTCAGATCCACCCAGCGCAGAGTAAAATATTCCTCCCCAAAACCCAGAGCATTTAAATTGTGTACCATTCTTGAAGCTATTAGGAGTTTAGGCTCCATTACCTATAAGCATGAGACCTTGGGTAAGTGACAACCTTTCTGAGCCTAGAGTTCTCCAACACTAATTCATTTGCCACACTGATCATGTGTTAATTTTATAAAGTGCTTTCTGATGGCAATAATAATCCCAACTGATGTCACAGAGTTAATGTGAAGCTTAAACAAGACAATATAGGTAAACACCTTTTGTAAACTACAAAAGGCTGTAAAATACTGGCAGACATGACATTTCAAATATTTAATGACCAGTAGACACTGGCCTTGACCGATCCAAATAGTCTTCAACCACAGTACTGTTGCAGGGTCCAGGAAGCTCCCTGCCCAGCCAGGCGTTAACTCTTTAGTTCCTGGATTAAGGAAAGTTTGGGATTCTCCAAAGAAAAAGCTGAGATAGTGGGGGCCTAGTGGAGACAGAACCAAGGGGCTACGGCCACAGCTATCAAAAAATGTTTTAGTAACTGGATAAGTAATATGGCTCTAACTTGCATACCACTATATTATAGTATTGCTTAGAAAAAGAAAATAATAATACTCTTTTACTTGCTAAAAAGCAATAGAATTCAACATCAACTTTTACTTACATATGCAGTGCACGCACTTTCAAAAGTAGGCATACATAGTGCATACTTTTTCAAAAAGTATATCCAATTATCGACAACTTTCTTTCTTCTTCCACTGGTCTGTAATATTAAACCTGAAAAACCTGCTAATAAATTCTAATTTTTTTTAAGTGAAGACAAGTTTATTAAGAAAGTAAAGGAATAAAGAATGGTTACTCCATAGGATAAGCACAACGTGGGCTGCTAGACTGAGGATATTCACAGTAATTTCTTGATTATATGCTAAACAAGGGGTGAATTATTCATGAGTTTTCCAGGAAACGGGTGGGCACTTCCCAGAACTGAAGTTTCCTCCCTTTTTTAGAGCATACAGAGTAAGTTCCTGATGTTGCCATGGCATTTGTAAACTCTCATGGCGCTGGTAGGAGTGTCTCTTAGCATGCTAATGCATTATAGTTAGTGTACAATGAACACTGAGGATGACCAGAGGTCACTTTCATTGCCATCTTGGTTTTGGTGAGTTGGGCTGGCTTCTTTACTGCAAACTGTTTTATCAGCAACGTCTTTATTACCTGTATCTTGTGCCTACCTCCTATCTCATCCTGTGACTTAGAATGCCTAACCTCCTGGGAATGCAGCCCAGTAGGTCTCAGCCCTGTTTTACCCAGCCTCTATACAAGATGGAATCGCTCTGGTTTAAACGCTTCTGACAATTCCCCCCTCCCTTTTACAAGGGAACCCTTAATCCTAAGGGTTGTAGAAGGACAAAGTTCCATCTTCTGTAACTTCTTCAGGCTGAATTAGGGGCAATTATATTCCTGCCTAACTATTAGGGTCTCTTGTATTCAGTAGAGAGAAGCTCAGTCAGAAAGCATCGATATGGCAAGGGCCCTTCATAACTCTTGAGTTCTGACAAAAGGTGATATCTAGAAGATTAATAAGTGTTCAATTTAAGAATATATTCAGTAAGCTTACCCTGCATTCCTACACAAAGAGTGCAACACCAATATATTCCATAATAGTAAGGCAAAATAAGCAAAATTATCCCAAATAAACTAAATTAGAAGGCTTTCCATGAACAGGATGACTGTTGGAAGCAAGCTGATGTGGGGTTGCTAGCTGATTCCAATATGTGTCCAGAATTAAAATATTGACTGAGAATAAATCCTAATTTTTGAGGCCTCCTAATTTTTACCCTAAAAATGTCCAGAATACAACCCCAAATTACTTAGCATTCAAAGGAAAATCTCAACTAACAAGTAAAAAGGAATCAACAGACATCAACCTGAAAAAATACAAATGTTGTAATTTTGAGACAGACTTTTAAACAGCTATTATAACCACACTCAAAGAAGTACAAATGAACACTCTTGAAACAAATGGAAAGATAGAAAATCTCATCAAAGAAATAGAAGATATAAAGAAGATATAAATAATATTTTTTTTTTTGAGATGGAGTCTCACCCTGTCACCCAGGCTGGAGTGCAGTGGTGCAATCTCAGCTCACTGCAACCTCTGCCTCCCAGGTTCAAGTGATTCTCCTGCCTCAGCTTCCTGAGTAGCTGGGACTACAGGCACGTGCCACCATGCCCAGCTAATTTTTTTTTGTATATATATTTTAAGTAGAGACAGAGTTTCACCATATTGGCCAGGCTGGTCTCAAACTCCTGACCTTGTGATCCACCTGCCTTGGCCTCCCAAACTGCTGGGATTACAGGCATGAGCCCCCACACCCAGCCTAATTTTCTAAATGAAAAATATAATAACGAAAATTAAAATGCAGTGGAAGAGTTCAGTAGGAAAGAGTTCAGAGATGACTGAAGAAAGAGTTCATGACCTTGAAGAAGGGTCAATAGAAATTACTCAATGGGAGAAAAAAATTGTTTTAATGAAAAGAGCCTAAGGGATTCATGGGACCACACCTAAATGTCTAACAGAAGATATTCAAATAATCCAAGAGAAATTAGGAAAGGGGAAATAGAGAAACAAATACCAGGAAACAAATAGTAAAAATGGTAAATACAAGTTCAAATATGCCAAAAATTACATTAAATGCCAATGGTTTAAACAAACCAATTAAAAAACAGGGATTGTCCAAAAAATTTTTAAAATAAAGACCCAAAGATATGCTGTGTACAAGAAACCAGTTTTAAATATAATATCATATGTAACTTAGAAGTAAAAGAATGTAAAAAGATATACAATGCCAACAAAAGTTGGAATGGCTCTGTTAACATTAAGAAAAGTAAACTTTAAAGCAAGAAAAATGAACAGGAATAAAAAGAGACATTACATAATAGAAAATAAGTCAATTTCTCAAGAAGACCTAATAATCCTAAATGTATATGCACTAAACCACTGAGCTTTAAGATACATGAAGCAAAAACTGATAGGCAAATCCATGATTATAGTTGGAGATTTCAATACTCTTCTCTCATTAGTAAATGAAACTAGACAGAAAATCAGCAAGAATATAGAAAAGATGAACACCACCACCAAACAGCTGAATCTAATGTACATTTGTAAAATACTCCACAAAATACACTCCAAAATACACTCCTATGTGTATTTTGAATACACATAGAAACTTCACCAAGACAGACTATATCCTGGGCCATAGAACAAAATTTAAAAGAATTGAAATTATATAAAGTATGTTCTCCAGTCATAATGGAGTTGAAGTAGAAATCAATAACAGAAAGATAACTGATAGATCACCACACCCTTGGAAATTAAACAACACATATCTCAGTAACCTATGGGTCAAAGAAAAAGTCCCAAGGGATATTAGAAAATATGTTTGAGCAACACTCATATAGAAATTTGTGGGATGAGGTTAAAGCAGTGCTGTTTTGGTTTGGATGTTGGAGCTTAAACCCCAAGGTGATGGTATGGAGACGTGGGGCCTTTGGGAGGTGATTAAGCTAAGAGGATGGGACTAGTGCCCTTATAAAAGGGATTGAAGAAGTGAGTTCATCTCCTTTTAGCCTTTTTTGCTTTCCTCCATGAGGACACTGCAAGAAGGTGCCATCTTGGGAGCAGAGAGCAAACCCTTACCAAACACCAAAGCTGCTGGTGCCCTGATCTTGGACTTCCCAGCCTCTAGAACTGTGAGAATACATATCTATTATTTATATATTATCTAGTCTAAGGTATTTTGTTATAGCAGCAGGCATGGACTAAGGAATTGGTACAGAGAGTGGGGTGTTACTATAACAAGTACCTGAAAATATGGAAGTGAAGCGGCTTTAGAACTGGGTAATGGGTAGAGGCTGGAAGAGTTTGGAGGTTCATGCTAGGAAAAGCCTGGATTGCCATGAATGGAGCATTAAGGGCAATTCTGGTGAGGGTATAGAAGAGAACTGTAGGGAGAAGCTAAATCTTAGAGATTATCTAAGTGGTTGTAAACAGAATATTGGTAAATGGCAAATGGCAGTTCCACTGAGGTCTCAGAGAGAAATAAGTTATTGCGAACTGGAGGAAAGGCCATCCTTGATACAAAATGGCAAAGAACTTAGCTGAATTGTGTCCATGTCCTAGTGCTTTGTGGAAGACAGAACTTATAAGTGATGATCTAGGATATTTGGCAGAAGAAATCCCTAAGCAAAGTGTTGAAGGGGTGGCATGGCTTCTTTTGACTGCTTATAGCAAAATGTGAGAAGAGAGGAACAAATTAAAGATAAAATTTATAAAGAAAAGATAAGCAGAACTTAAAGAGTTGGAAAATTCTCAGCCTGGTCATCTGAAGAATAAGAAAGCATGCTCCAGAGAGAACACCAAGAGTGTGGCCAAGTGACCTTTGATAAGGGGATTAGTATGGTTAAAAGGGAGCCAGATGCTATTCTCAAGATAATGGAAGAATGGGACAGATATGATGGCTCATGCCTATCATCCCAGCACTTTGGGAGGGCGAGGCAGGCAGACAGCTTGAGCTCAGGAGTTCAAGACCAACCTGGACAACATGGTGAGACCTTGTCTCTACAATAAACACAAAAATTAGCCATGTGTGGTGGTGGCATGCATCTGTAGTTCCAGCTACTCAGGAGGCTGAGGTGGGAGGATCACTTGAGCTCAGGAGGTTGAGTCTACCGTGAGTCATGATTCTGCCACTGCGCTCCAGCCTGGGTGACAGAGCAAGACCCTGTCTCAAAAACAAACAAACAAACAAACAAACAAAACAATAATGGAAGAAGGACTCTGAAGGCATTTTGGAGTCTGTCAGGGCTGCCACTGCCATCACAGGCCCAGAGTGCCAGGATCTGGAGAGCAGAATGGCTTCAAAGGAGGGGATCAAGGCACCCTCAGGAGCTTAGGCTTGCTGCCCAGGGCCACTTTACATTTCTGCTCCAAGCGTTCCAATGCATTGTTCTTTAGTCACTCCAGCTGTGGCTCAAGCTAGCTACCTTGTTCCTCAAGGTATTTTGTTATAGCAGCAGGAACAGACTAAGACAAGTATTTAAAGGAAAGTTTATGCCATTAAAATGCTTTTTTTTTTTTTTTTTTTTTTTTTTTTTGCCCTTAATCCATTTAACCCTGAGTGGACACAGCACATGTTTCAGAGAGCACAGGGTTGGGGGTAAGGTCATAGATCAACAGGATCCCAAGGCAGAAGAATTTTTCTTAGTACAGAACAAAATGAAAAGTCTCCCATGTCTACTTCTTTCTACACAGACACAGCAACCATCCGATTTCTCAATCTTTTCCCCACCCTTCCCCCTTTTCTATTCCACAAAACCGCCATTGCCATCATGACCCGTTCTCAATGAGCCGCTGGGCACACCTCCCAGACGGGGTGGCGGCCGGGCAGAGGGGCTCCTCACTTCCCAGTAGGGGCGGCCGGGCAGAGGCACCCCTCACCTCCCGGACGGGGTGGCTGGCCAGGCGGGGGGCTGACCCCCCCACCTCCCTCCCGGACGGGGTGGCTGGTCGGGCAGAGGGGCTCCTCACTTCCCAGTAGGGGCGGCCGGGCAGAGGCGCCCCTCACCTCCCGGAAGGGGCGGCTGGCCTGGCGGGGCTGACCCCCACCTCCCTCCTGGACGGGGTGGCTGCCGGGTGGAGACGCTCCTCACTTCCCAGACGGGGTGTCAGCCGGGCGGAGGGGCTCCTCACTTCTCAGACGGGGCGGCTGCCGGGTGGAGGGGCTCCTCACTTCTCAGATGGGGCGGTTGCCAGGCGGAGGGTCTCCTCACTTCTCAGACGGGGCGGCCGGGCAGAGACGCTCCTCACCTCCCAGACGGGGTCGCGGCCGGGCAGAGGCGCTTCTCACATCCCAGATGGGGCGGCGGGGCTGAGGCGCTTCCCACATCTCAGACGATGGGCGGCCGGGCAGAGACGCTCCTCACTTCCTAGATGTGATGGTGGCCGGGAAGAGGCGCTCCTCACTTCCTAGGTGGGATGGTGGCCGGGCAGAGAGGCTCCTCACTTTCCAGACTGGGCAGCCAGGCAGAGGGGCTCCTCACATCCCAGACGATGGGCGGCCAGGCAGAGACGCTCCTCACTTCCCAGACGGGGTGGCGGCCGGGCAGAGGCTGCAATCTCGGCACTTTGGGAGGCCAAGGCAGGCGGCTGGGAGGTGGAGGTTGTAGTGAGCCGAGATCACGCCACTGCACTCCAGCCTGGGCACCATTGAGCACTGAGTTCATTAAAATGCTTACATTAAGAAAAAAGAAAGGTCTAGGCCGGGCATGGTGGCTCACGCCTGGGATCCCAGCACTTTGGGAGGCTGAAGTGGGCATATTGCTTGAGATCAGGAGTTCGAGACCAGCCTGGCCAACATAGTGAAACCCTGTGTCTACTAAAAATACAAAAATCAGAAGGGTGTGGTGGCTGATACCTGTAATTCCAGCTACTTGGGAGGATGAGGTGGAAGAATAACTGGAACCTGGGAGGGTGAGATTGCAGGGAGCCAAGATCAAGCCACTGCACTCCAGCCTGGGCGACAGAGTGAAACTCTGTCTAGAAAGAAAGAAAGAAAGAGAGAGAGAGAGACAGAGGAAGGAAGGAAGGAAGGAAGGAAAGAACGAAGGAAGGAAGGAAGGAAAGAAGGGAGGGAGGGAGGGAGGGAAGAAAAAAAAACCCACAAAGGTCTCAAAGCAACAAATTAGTCTTCTACCTTAAAAAACTAACAAAAAGAAGAGCAAAATAAAATCCAATGCAAGCAGAAGGAAGGAAATAATAAAGAGGAGAACTCAATAACATTGATTACAGAAAAACAATAGAGAATATCAATAAAATAAAAAGATCTCCAAGCTCAGATAGGTGAATTTCTATTAAACTTTTAATGAACAAATAGCACCAATTCTACACAATCTTTTTCAGAAAATAGGAGAGAAAGGAACACTTCCCAGTTCATATTATGAGGCTGGACAAAGACAATACAGGAAAACTATAGACCAATATCCTTCATGAACAGTACACAAAAATTTTCATGAAAAATTAGGAAATTGAATCCAGCAATATGTAAAAAGAATAACATTTGGCCAGGTGCGGTGGCTCACACCTGTAATCCCGGCACTTTGGGAGGCTGACGTGGGCAGATCACAAGGTCAGGAGTTCGAGACCAGCCTGCCCAACATGGTGAAACGCTGTCTCTACTAAAAATAGAAAAATTAGTCAGGCATGATGGCGCGTGCCTGTAATTGCAGCTACTCAGGAGGCTGAGGCAGGAGAATCGCTTGAACCCAGGAGGCAGAGGTTGCAGTGAGCCGAGATTGTGCCACTGCACTCCAGCCTGGGTGACAGAGTGAGACTCCGTCTCAAAAAAAAAAAAAAAAAATTTCATGACCACATGGGGTTTATCCTAGATCCTAGGAATGCAAGGCTGGTTCCATGTTCAAAAATCAATTATTATAATCCACCAAATTAAAAAACCAGAGAGTAAAAATGACAACAGCATATCAAACAAAGCAAAAAGAAAGCATTTCAAAAAGCCCAGCATTCCTTAATGGTAAAAACCCTCGGCAATCTAGAAATAAAAGAGAATTTCCTTTATTTGATAATTTACAAAATACCAAAGTGAACATCATACTTAATGGTAAAAGACTGAATACTTTCCCCTAGGATAGAAAGCAAGGCAGGGATGTCCACTTTCATCTCTCCTATTCAATATGGTACTGGAAGTCCTAGCCAGTACAGTAAGGCAGAGAAAAAAAGTAAAAGGCATACAGATTAGAAAGAAAAATACTGTTCCTATTTGCAAGTGATGATTTTCTATGTAGAAAATCCCAAGGAATATCCAAAGAAACTCCTACCCTAATTAATGAATTTATTATAGTCCCAGTGTATAAAGTCAACTCAAAAAAATGTATCATGCTTCTATATATTTTATTTTAAAATTTGGAAACCAATATTTTAAAAAATACTAATTAAAATTTTAAAATGAGAAATACTTAGGTATAAATATACCAAAACTTGTGCAGGATATCTATATGCTGACAAGTATGAACACTGATGAAAGAAACCAAAGAAGACATAATAAATGGAGAGACATAATGTGGGTTGGAAGATTTAATTTAGTTAAAATGTCAAATTCTTCTCACATTAATCTATAGATGTAATGCAATTCCAATAAAAATTCCAATAGGACTTTTGTAAGTATACACAAGCTGATTCTAAAATTTATTTGGAAAGGCAAAGGGATCAGAAGAGCCAAAACCATTTTTAAAAAGAAGAATAAAGCAGGAAGAACAGGTCTACCCGATTTTAAGACTTGCTGTAAAGTAACAGTAATCTGGATAGTGTGCTATTGGCAGAGGATAGATGCACAGGCCAATTAATAAGGATAAAATGTCCAGAAATAAAGTCACAAATGTGGATTGCTGAAAAAGGTACAAACGCAATTAAATGGAAAAGTGATAATCTTTTTAACATGTGGTGTTGGAACAACTGACATCTGTATACAAAAATATTCCACAAAAAAAATAAAAACAGGCTGGGAACAGTGACTTGCACTTGTAATCCCAGCACTTAGGGAGGCTGAGGTGGGAGGATTGCTCAAGCCATGAGTTCGAGACCAGCCTAGGCAACATAGAGAGAGCTCATCTCTACAAAAAAAAAAAAAAAAAAAAAAAAAAAAAAAAAAAATGAGCCAGGAGTGGTAGTGCATGCCTGTAGCCCCAGCTACTTGGGAGGCTGAGGTGGGAGGATCACTTGAACCTGGGAGGTCAAGGCTGGAGTGAGCCGAGATTGTGCCAGTGCACTCTAGCCTGGGTGACAGAATAAGACCCTGTCTCAAAAACAAACAAACGAACACATAACAACAACAACAATAACAACAAAATTAAAAACAAAAAAGTTTCATCTCAATCTCACACCTTATATAAAAATTAACTCAAAAATGCATCATAGATGTAAAAATAAAATGTAAAACTATACAACTTTTAGAAGAAAACAGTAGAAATGTACATGATTTGGGATTAGGGAGTGTTCTTAGACCTAACATCAAAAGTACAACCTGGCCGGGCGCGGTGGCTCATGCCTGTAATCCCAGCACTTTGGGAGGCCGAGGCAGGTGCATCATGAGGTCAGGAGATCGAGACCATCCTGGCTAACACGGTGAAACCCTGACACTACTAAAAATACTAAAAATTAGCCGAGCGTGGTGGCAGGCGCCTGTAGTCCCAGCTACTCGGGAGGCTGAGGCAGGAGAATGGCGTGAACCCGGAAGGCAGAGGTTGCAGTGAGCTGAAATCGCGCCACTGCACTCCAGCCTGGGCAACAGAGGGAGACTCCGTCTCAAAAAAAAAAAAAAAAAAAAGTACAACCCATAAAATGGGAAAGTAACAAATTGGATTTTATTAAAATTAAAAGCTTTGGCTTTGTGAAATACACCGTTAAGAGAATGAAACTGTAGACTAAGGGAAAATATTTGCAAATTGCATGTGCAAAGGAGTTGTACCTAGAAAAACTCCTCAAAGCTCAATAGCAGGAAAACAACCAAATTAAAAATCAGGAAAACATCTTGTTAGTTTAATACTTTTCTTTTCTTTTTTCTTTCTTTTCTTTTCTCTTTCTCTCCTCTCTCTCTTTCTTTCTCCCTTTCTTTCATTCTTTCTCGCTTTCTCTCTCTCTCTCTGTCTTTCCTTCTTTTTTTTTTTTTTTTTTTTTTTGAGGCAGACTCTCACTCTGTCGCCCAGGCTGGAGTGCAGTGGCACAATCTCGGCTCACTGCAAAACCTCCGCCTCCTGGGTTCAAGAGATTCTCCTGCCTCAACCTCCAGGTAGCTGGGATTACAGCCGCCCACCACCATGCCCAAGTAATTTTTGTATTTTTTTAGTAGAGACGGGGTTTCACCATGTTGGCCAGGCTGGTCTTGAACTCCTGACCTCAAGTGATCCGCTGCGCCGGGCCTAGTTTTTTTTTTTTTTTTTGAGATGGAGTCTCGCTCTGTAGCCCGGGCTGGAGTGCAGTGGTGCAATCTCGGCTCACTGCAACCTCTGCTTCCCAGGTTCACACCATTCTCCTGCCTCAGCCTCCCAAGTAGCTGGGACTACAGGCACCTGCCACCAAGCCCTGCTAATTTTTTTGTATTTTTAGTAGAGACAGGGTTTCACCGTGTTAGCCAGGATGGTCTCGATCTCCTGACCTTGTGATCTGCCGCCTCAGCCTCCCAAAGTGCTGGGATTACAGGTGTGAGCCACCGCACCAGCTAGTTTAATTCTTACAATCCTTAAAGCAAGGATTTTACATCGTGATATTAAACATCGTGATATTAAACATCATGATAGAAAACCAATGACCAATGACTTTGTTTCCAGTGCCTTTATAAAAAATAGTACTTTATAGATAATTTATGTCAGTGTACACGGGGTATACAAGTAATTGAGATTTTAAATTTTACTCTGTTTAATATTATGGGAAACTTATAAGCTAGGTATTTTATTCACTTCAGTTTAATGCAAGTGGTTAGCTCTTCCAGAAAGTTTTCTGTGACTTTTTTTTTTTTTGAGACCGAGTCTGGAGTTCGAGACCAGCCTGGCTAACATGGTGAAACCCTGTCTCTACTAAAAATACAAAAATTAGCCGGCCATGGTAGTGGTGGGGGCCTGTAACCCCAGCTACTTGGGAGGCTGAGGCAGGAGAATCACTTGAACCTGGAAGGCAGAGGTTGCAGTGAGCCGAGATCATGCCATTGCACTCCAGCCTGGGCAACAACAACTACTACTATATCTATCTATCTATCTATCTATCTATCTATCTATCTATCTATCTATCTATCTATCTAATCTATCTATCCTGAATAGGTAAATCCAGAGACAGAGGCAGATTAGTGGTTTCCAGGGGCTGAGGAGAAGAAATGAGGATTAACTGCTTTATGTGTAAAGTTTCCCTTCAGGATGATACAAATATTTTGGAACTAGATAGAGGTGATGGCTACACAAGATTGTGAATGTACAAAATGCCACTTAATCATACACTTTAAAATGGCTAAGTTTGTGTTCTGTATATTTTACCTCAATTTGAAAAAGAAGGTTGTGTCTCTGGAATCTTGTTTATGTTTGTAGAAAAATCTTTATTTTTCAGGGAAATCATAAAGAGTGAATCTAGCTCTGCCCATTTCTGAGCTAGGAACTATGAGTGGAATCCAAATGAATCAGAGCCACGCTGTTTTTTTGAAAGTGAACTGGATAGTCTAATAATGTGCTGAGGAATTCAGTAGTCAGAATGGTTACAAGTTAGCATAATGTATTCCCATTACACCACCTTTTCAATGCTCCTCCTATGTAAAAGGTATCAATAAATATATAATTGAACCAAAATCCTCTTTGTTGGAATATATTCTATTCAGCTGCTATTGCCCAAGTGGCCCTTGCAAATCTTGGGATGCTGTGCCTGTGAAAGCATTTTGTATTGTGATGGTGGCCTCAGGGTGAGGGAAGTGAGGATCAAGGGGAATGGGCTGTTTGCAAAATGTGGCTTCGGGGCCTGGAATGTTTAAAAAATTTTGAAATCCCAGCCTTTTCTTTTCATTAGTGATGACCCTTTCAAACACCCAAGCCTCTTTTCTTGAAATTCTTAATCTCGTTTTTCCTTTAAAAATGTATAAAATCCCGTGCATGATACATGCCGAATGACTGTCCTTTAAAAATCATTACAATGTAAAGTTCTTTACTGAAATTTGTTTATTTGTATTTTATTTACTCTTAACCATGATCCTGAAATTTTTAGGTACAAGTTCTGGGCTGGATCTTCTCTGATTGCTCTTTATAGACCTACTTGCTACCTTTCTCTACTGTACCCTAGGCCCTGGAAGGCTGACCTCCATCGATTCCATCAGTGGGCTCCCATACCCTCTGGCTTCCTGTCAGGTTCAGCCGTGGGAGGCACAAACAGATCAGAGGGTAGGAAGAGAAATAATTTGGGATACGTATTTATCCACCTCCCTCTCTGCAGGCTATGAATTGGCTGTGGTTGTGTTCTTCTACTGAAGGCCACAGCTCCTTTTAGGTGGGCCTCTCTTACAGCTACACCTGTGGCCACAACTTCAGCAATCACTTTCACTCCATTGCAGATATTTTTTTTCTTGCTGTTTCTGAACTAGGAATGGTAAAGGCTCCATATTGGTTTTGGTCCTTTGGTGCTATACCACCCCTTGCTGGTTTCCCTTAATCCTGCACACACGTAATTTGTGGGGCCGGTGCAATGCAGGGTCCTTTGTTCAAAAATTACAAAGGTCGGCCGGAGTGGTTCATGCTTGTAATCCCAGCACTTCAGGAGGCCGAGGCAGGAGGACTGCTTGAGGCCAGCAGCTCAAGATGAGCCAGGGCAACATAACTAGACTCTTCCATTTCTATATACATTTTAAAAATTCCAAAGAATTTAAAGATGGGGATTGCAAAGCATTAAACTAGTGTGTGGCCCCTCTAATTTTGAGGTCTAGTTGCACAGGTTGCACACCCATGGAGCTCGGTCCTGCCTGCACTGTATTGTAAATACTACTTACCTTAAATGATCTGCAGTTATCTATTGAGAATACCACCTGTTTCCTGCCAGAATTCTTTCTGATACAAGGTCTCATGTGTTCTCTCTCCCACTTAAAAAGAATTGTGGCTCCATTAGGGAATCTGGAAAACTAGCTGTAATCTATACTCACTGTGCAATTTAAAACTTTAGTAGATTTGCATCTGCAATAGGAAATTAACTAATTCTCTCTTTTCCTCACCCTCACAGCTAAAGCCACTCATTTGGGACTAACTTGAAGCTGGGAACTATTGTGGGCCACCATAGCCCTTGCATGCCACCTACTATTGCCACAGCTGAAATGTGTGACTCCCAAGCACGCCTCCTGGGCAGGTGCAGGAAGTTTTAGGAGTTACCCAAACCAGTTGATCACTTCTAGTTTTTTGTATTGGATACAGAATCTACTAAATAGGCTAATTAAAAAATATATGGCTTAAGCTGAGAACCTTCTCATATCCTGGAACCTATTTTTCTCTCTGGCTAGAAACTTACCCTAGATAGCAATCTCTTAGTATTACTAAACAAATATCAGTTAGGCCTCTGGTCTTGAGTAAGGCCAGCTCTCTCAATACCATCCTTAACAGAATTGAGGGTTGAAGTTACTACAATAAATTATGCTGCCTTGTTGGTTTCAAATGGGAGTTCCATAAACCCTCCTGTGCCTCAATTTTCTGTTTTTGTTTTCATTGCTTTGGTTGTTGCAGATTCAAGGATGGCAAAGAAACAAGGGTTTGAGAAACACCCTACAACCCTATTGTTTCATTGCTTTCACTTGCCACTGAAAGTGAACGACTCGCCTGCCTCTGGATCACTGGGACTGCTTCAACAACTGCATGAATTATATCCATCACTCATCCCTAAAGCACACACTTGATTTGTGCTATCCCCTTCATTTGGTCCTGTTGCCTCTCTGAGACTTCATTCTGCAGCAGTGGGTAGAAAGGCAACTGAGGTGGTATTTCCCCCTCCATGCTCTTGTCTATTTTTCCATGCCTGCAGTTTGTCCAGTTTTTAAGAAGCTCTCCCAAAGCTCCACCTTTAATATAAAGGGAAGTATTTTATAGAAGGGTTCACTTATTTGAAGAGTTACCAAATATATTGTCTTATCTTTTCCCCAAAATGCACACTTTCTCTTAAAGAGGACAAACTTTCATTTCAAAACGGGGTCATATGTAAAAATCATTCCAGCTGCTTAAATCCAGAGCATGGAAAAATTACTCCAAGAACAATATACAAATGCTCACTGGGCCTAAAACGTTTCGTTTGATTATGGACTGGATACATTTCCATTCAGCTCTGATTTGTTCCTGAGATAGGCAAATAACCAGCGTAGCCTCAGAAATGATCCTTCTCTTGGGAAAGCCAGCAGCATTGTGGACAGTCTAGACAACTAGAAGGAGCCAGAGAGTTCTAGCATCTAAACTGAAAACGAGGGAAGTCAGTCACAGTTCTGGACTGGGTGGCAGAACCGTGAGCAGAGTTGAGAATTTCACCCAGTGCATCTGATTCCAAGTCTATAAATTCTTGAGGTGTCTCTGCAGTGATGCACATTTTCAGGGAAAACCAGCCCCTAACTTTAATTTGCCTGTTCCTGTCACCCAGTCCTTCTGCCATTTACCTTCATATATGCTGTCTTCTGTGGAATTAAATGCGTCCTTAACAATTACCTGTCTACCTTGCTCTTTTCAGGGCTCAGGTCTGACTTACATGCTACCCTGAATGGCTCATGGTGACAAAAAATGCCATTTCTGGATGCCTATTATGTACTAGCATTGTATTTTGTTAACTTAAAAAATGTTAGGCTGGGTGCAGTGGCTCATGCCTATAATCCCAGCACTTTGAGAGGCTGAGGTGGGAGGATCCCGTGAGCCCAGGACTTTAAGACCAGTGTGGGCAAAATCGCAAAACCCGTCTCTACAAAAGAGAAAAATTTAGCCAGGCATGGTGGTGCACACCTGCAGTCCCAGCTACTTGGGAGGCAGACGTGCAAGGATCACCTGAGCCTGGGAGGTTGAGGCCGCAGTGAACTGTGATTATGCCACTGCACTGCAGCCTGGGTGAAAGAGCAAGACTGTTTCAAAAATACATGTATGTAATTATTTATAACAGTAATAATTCAACAAGCCTCATAATTTTTAATTTTAATGCTTAAAAGGGTTATGTTTATTTTACTTTTAAATTTATTTCATTTTATTATTTTTCAACCTGATCATCTCAGACAATAAATTTATTTCAAATGTATTTGAAACATGTCAAATATTCAACAGCAGTAGGGAAACTAGTATGGAAAGTTCCATATGGGAAATGGAATAATGAATAACTTCAACAATTTTCCGTATTTCACTAATCTTGTTTCATTTATTTAGTGTTTTGATGGGGAGGGGATGGAGTATTGGAAAGCAAATCCTAGATATATTTTCACTCAAAATGCCTCATTATGTATCTGTAATAGATAAGAACTTAAAAAAAACTGCAATGCCATTATCATATCTGAAAAAGTGATTAATTTCTTAATATCAGATAGTCTACATTTTGTCTCAAAAATGTCTTTTAAAAAAATCTTATTTATTCAAATCAAATCCTCACAAGATCTAAATATTGTATTTAGTTGTTACTAACATTTTAGAATGTTATTTATTTTAGAAGTCATTTATTTACATGCATTTAACCTTTATATTAAACCAACGCAGAAGGTATGGTCCCAGCTCAGAGAGGTTAAGAAACCTTACCAAGGTCTCATTGCTGGCAGGCACCGGACACATAATTTGAATTAAATCTTCTTAACTCCAAAGCCTCCATGCCACTCCTTCTGATGCAGGCTAACAGAATTTTTCCTGTGTTGCAGAGAGGCAAAAGGGCCACTATTTAAGAGAGAGGGTCCGGGTGTGGTGGCTCATGCATGTAATCCCAGCACTTTTTGAGGCCGAGGCAGGCAAATCGCTTGAGTCCAGGAGTTCGAAACCAGTCTGGGCAAGAATGGTGGAACCTCATCTCTACAAAAAAATACAAAAATTAGCTGGGGGTAGTGGCGTACACCTGTAGTCCCAGCTACTGGGGATGCTGAGGTGGGAGGATCACTTGCGCCTGGGAGGTTGAGGCCACAGTGAGCTGACAGCTAACCCTGATTGCCTCCATAGACTGTGCCACTGCATGCCATCTGGGCTGACAAGAGTGAGACCCTGTTTAAAAAAAAAAAAAAAAAGGAAAGAAAAAGTAAAAAGAGATAGGGTTTGGATTCAGGTTGGCCTGGATGCAAATTGGTGCAAATTACATAATCTCTCTGAACTTTCATTTCTGTCTGCATCTGTAAATAAGGATAATGATGAAGATTTGGGGCAGATTAAATAAGAATATGCATGCCTAGTATTTAGCACAGTGCGTGGCACACGGAAAGCCCTCGATAAATGTTAGCAATTAATGTAGAAGAGGAAAAAGAACCACAAAGTATTTAAACATTTGCATTTGTTAGTAGCTCGAGGAAATGGTGGCTCATCATTGTTAATAGAGCCTGCTTAGGATTGAGGCTGAAGGGGGGAAGGGTGGGAGTGGGGATAGGATAGGGGAGTGGCTCTACCTGGATTGGAGAAAGGAGTTCTGGACATAAAGATTTAAATTGGTGTCCGAGGAGTTCTCACAAGGCCTCAGCTGGAAAACAGTTAAATGCATCTTCTGACCACTAACCCAGGTTGCCTCCAGAGAAGGAAAACCAAGTGGGTGGCAGACAGGGTGGGAGGGAGACTTCTTGCTGTTTATTTGAATTTGGAACCATGTGAATGCATTCAACCTATTCCAAAAGAATAAATTACATTAAAAAATGGTCTTTTGCTATGGGGATAAGTGCTGAGAATGGTAAGACTAGGATCTAATGATAATAATAATAATAATTCCATTATACTTTGTGCAGCCCTAGGAGGGCTTCAGTCATGCAGGACAGGTTTTGAACTAAGATTGGGACTTTTTCAGCCTGACTCTGATTTCAAAGATCCAAGCTAATATTTTAATTTCAGTCACCCTCCTTCTGACCCTGATTGTAGAAAGATTCCAGACCCAGCGCTCATGGACTTGGTTTATTCAACCTGTGGATTGCCTTCAAGAGTATGCATTGTTGGGAGTCAAGTCTATTGGTAAAATCAGGGATGCATTGTCTGTGCATCTGCCGGTGTTTCCCAGTCCTTTTGGTGCTCTCTTTCTCTCTCTCTCTCTCCCTCTCTCTATATATATAATTTTATTTTTTGAGACAGAGTCTTGCGCTGTCACCCAGGCTGGAGTGCAGTGGGGCAATCTGCTCACTGCAGCCTCAACCCCGTGGGCTCAAGCCATCCTCCTGCCTTAGCCTCCTCAGTAGCTGGGACTACAGGCATGCACCACTATGCCTGGCTAATTTTTTATTTTTTAATAATAAACGTGGAGAGGGTCTCTCTACATTGTCCAGGCTGGTCTCAAACTCCTCAGCTCAAGCGATCCGCCTACCTCATCCGCCCAAAGCGCTGGGATGACAGGTGTGAGCCACCCCGCCTGGCCCCATAGATATTTTTCTGATGCTTCAATCAGCTAAGACTCTGAGGATCTGATTTTCTAGAGTCCTTTGGAAGGTGGGGGGGGGGCGGGGCGGGGGAGGATACACAACCCTATTCACAAATATTAGTAACTTGCTTTAAACTCTAAGGCCTTACATAAAATAACTCATTTAAACCTCACAATAACACTATGATATGAATACTATCATTCCCATTTTACAGGCAAAGAAACTGAACCAAGCGGTTAAGTAATTTGCCTAAGGTCAGAGCCTGCAGAGCTAACCATCTGGCATTACCATCACTCTGTTGGCAATGAACAGAGCGGGCCAAGCGTGTAGGGTGTAGGGGGTCCTTTGAAGATGACAAAAGCGTCCTTGGCTGTGTAGCCGCAAATCCCAAATCCTTCCTTCTCTGCAGCTTCTGGTTTAGGAGCTGGAAAGACAGGCTGTGAATTTCCACATTGACCTGGGGCAATTAACTTAACTCTCCGAATAGGTTCCTTATCTGCCCCGGGGAGGAGTTTTAGATTAAGAGGGTGTGTGTGTGTGCTGGGAGGGAGGTGGAGGGGCTGAGTTTTCTGGGTGGTGCGGTTTTCCCAAGTCCCGTTTTGAGGTTTTGTCCTAGCCAGCTCCCGCTCAGGTCCCTGGGCGGTGACGGTGGTCAAGCTTAGCTTGGCTGTTCCTCCTCCGCTTGGAAAAAGGCCGCCACTGGGGCCAACTCCGGCCACAGCGCTGCTGCCAGGAGACCTAGGGTAGGTCTTTTCCCCTGAGGTAGAGACCTGGGTGTACCCTCAGGAAGGCATCTTGAAGTTACTGACAGTTGAGTCAAATCTTGAAGGTCCAGCAGGAGTTAGTAAGAAGAGGTGGAAGGGGAAAGGTTAGGCGCCCCCTCCTCCACCCCTTGAACAAAGAAAGCTTGACGGGGCTTACAATATCCGAGGAAGAGCTGGGCGGGTAGAGAGGTCTGTAGAGGCGAAATCACAACTTGGCTTTATTCTAAGGGCAATGGAAGAGGGTTTTGAAGGCTTTAAAATAATGTCATTAGGAGTTTTAGTCGCTTGGGAGGAATGGGTCGGAGGGGGACAGGAAGCTATCGCAGAAAGCAGCCCACTTGGAAGATGACCGAGGACTGAGGAAAGAGGGCGGGGGACATCGAGCATCTGAAGCCTTTCCCAGTCGCCGCAACACTGTGCGCTGTCCCTCGGCTTTCTTTGCTTATGTGGAAGGGCTCCATAAAGGGCTGGGCACGCGCCAAACGCTCATTAAGCGAAATAGCCCGGGTCCCCTCCTCTTTTCAGGGACTCTGTGGTCCACGTGCCCCAGAATTGGTAGGGTAGGCGGGAGGACTTTCCACTGCTGAAGATGGAGAACCGTTACCCCTCAAAAAACACAAAAACCTCGGGTGCTTTTGGCAGCAGTCTCCTCCGCTCATGACCTCATGCTTTAAGCTCCCATATAGCCTCCCTCCGCCCAATCCACACCCAGCGCCCGGGTGGGGGTGGGGTGGGGGACACTGGCGAAGGTCTGGGTAGCGGGAGGTCATTCTTCTTGCGCGACATTTTGGGGGAAGGGGCGCAATGATTTCCCCCACGGAAAAAAATGGATGGTGTAACTTTCTGTCGTGCAAAAAATACTGTCTTGCCCTCGAGACAGATGCCTCGAACCCGGCTCGAGGTGGTCTGTTTAGCTGAACTACCTTTGGTTCACGTTTCCTCTGACCAGGAAAGAAGCTTGGAAATGCAGGGGTCTCAGGCCAGGTTCCCTGACACCTGGGCCGACCACTGCCACGCCTTCTCGGGACCTGGGGGCCGTCCTGCTGTTGCCCTCCGCCCCCGCCCGCGCCGCGGAGGTTTGAACCTTCGGCTCGCCTTTCAGCCCGCGCCCTGCCCCCTGCTCGCAGCTGCTCCCGGTTTGGGTGCAGCGGTTTCCCCCGCAGAGGAGGAGGAGGAGACAGCGCGAGGGAGCGACTCCGGGCTCGGGTTTCCGCACCAATGCCGAGCAGCCCCGGGCGGCCCCCGGTGGCCGTCCCTCCTCCCCGGCACCACGTTCCACAGTCATGGCGCGCGAGGAGGGGCGAGCGCGCGCGGCGGCTGCACCCGCGCCCCCTCTCCTCCCCTCCCCTCCGCCGCCCGGCCCCTCTCCTAGGCAACCCCCCTCCCCGGCCTGCTGCGCCTGCCGCGGCAAGGGAGACCCCTCCCCAGAGAGCTGCTCTTCCAGCGCGGTCTACTGCACCCCTTCCCCGCCCCCATCGGGGCGGAGGGATGGAGACGCGCGCTTCGCGAACCTCCAGCCCCTTCTCCGGAGCCCCAGCCCTCTCCCAGCCCCACCGAGGCCAGGGTGCGGTGGGGGTAGGCGCGGACCGTCTCCTCGCAGCCCGCCTCGACCTCGGCATCTTTGCAAACACTTAGAAAAATAAACAAACCCCCTCACAAACCCCAGTCGTTAGCTTGCAAAGCGTGTTACAATAACCGGGACGGCTACGCAGGAAGCAATCCTGCACTGGTCCGGGTTTAAGGCGGCAGCTTCCCGGCCACGCTGCCTTCTCCCCGGCCTCGATTTTCCGGCCATGCCGGAGGGTCCGCTGCACCTCAGGGCTGACAGGTCCCGCTCGCGCAGGGCCGCAACTGGGCCCGTGTCCCCCGTCCCATCCTCGTCCAGAGACTCGCCAGCCTACAAAAGGTGCAACCTCACGCACACGCAAAGCGCACAAATAAAGTCAGCAGCGCACCGCCGCGAAGGCTGCGAACAATGCGCCGGGCGGCCCGCGCCCGCCGTAGCGCTGCGCCCCGGGGGAAAGGGGACGCGGGCGGGGGCCGAGGCGGACGACCAGCCGGTCGCGGCGCTGGACACCTTACTTCCTGCTTCCCCGCCCGCGGCCAGACCCAGCTCTGCGGAGGGATATCTCCCCTCCTCGGTCCCTCTCCCTCCCTTCCCCCTCCCTTCCCCCGCCCTCCCCCTCTTTTTGCTCCTGCTCCCCCCCCCCACCCCGCCTTTCTCCTTTTGCAAGAAAATAATTTGACAGTCGATTTGCTGACAAGGGAGGAATTTGCATCCTGGATTTAAAAAAAAAAAAAAGGCCGAGAGGAGCTTGGGAACGGTTGCTAGGGGTGGGTAATGGGTGAAAAAAGGGGGGTACCGGGGAGCGGATAAGGAGGGTTAAGGGAGGGGGCGAGGATGGGGAGCAATGCAAAGGTAAGGCCAGGTTACCGCGGCTCGGCCCCGAGTGGGCTGCGACCGGGGGAGGGGCGAGAGATACATATGTATTTCTGTCTCCCCAGCACACCCCCTTCCCTCTAAGCGATGGCTGAGAGGCGGTGCATGCAGATGGGGAGTAAGTTTCCTGAAGGGGAGGGTGGATGCACGCGCGCAGCCCGGCGCTGCAAATTTCCACTGGGGAGGGAGAACGGCTGGATGCGGAGAGTTTGGAGTTGCTTGCGGCGGAGGGCAGGAAGGGGAGCAGGGCTGGGAAAGGGGGCTGGCGGGCGCTATATCTGGGAGTAAGTTTCCAGCATCAGGAGAGCCTGCACGCTTGCTCACTAGTAAGTTTCTGGCCGGGGAGGGCGCATGGGGAGGAGGAGAGGGAGGGGTGCATGTATATAGAAGGGGGGAGGGGGGAGCAGATTTCCTGCGGGGAGGCTGAATGCATATGGAGAGTAGATTTCCTGAAGGGAGGGTGGAGGCGTAGACGGACCGAGTAAGTTTCTTGCTGGGGTGGTGGAGGAGGTGGTGGGTTGGTGCTTTGGAAACCCAAAGCTTCCTACCCTGGGTGGGGGAGCACACTCTTGTCGGGGGGACGAGGGGCCAGGTTCCCTGCTGGGGAGAGGGGCTTGCATCTGGGGAGTATGTTTCCTGGCGGAGCGATATTTGTTTACAGGCTGAGGGCAGTACAGTAAGTGAGTAGCGCTGAGAGAAGGCGGCTGACATAAATTAATATTGAAATTACTCCATCAGCTCTGCTCGCCCCCCATCTCACCCCCCAAGCGGATACTGGTCTTCTCGTCGGATTGCCCATGCACTTGTTGCAGAAACAGCCAAGGTAGGCAAGAAGCTTATTAAGTTTCATTTTTAAAAAATTAGTTTGGGGATGCTCCTCGAGAAGACGGGGGTGGGGCGAAGTGGGGAGGGAAGAGTGGGGAGACAGAAGGAGAAGTCTCCCCCCCCTTTACTTTCACTATGCAAGCAGGCCTTCTCCCTTCTTCCCTTCTTCCCTCTCCGGGCTGCACAGCATCCCAGCAAAGGGGGAGGGATGAGGTGGGCGCTATAATTGGCAACCCTGGCTTAAAGGTAGTGATGGTGGGCTTGCATTTGAGGTTGTGATGTTATAAAGGCTTCATTCTCCAGCTAAGAAACCGCAGGACTCTGCCTTTTGGGGTTTTTGACATGATACATATGTGTATGTATACGCGCCTGCGGGCTCTGTGGGGGCTGGGTACTCCCCAGAAGTTAGTGTGGCCACCCAGATGGGAGAAATGTGTAAGGGGGTAAACCTGTTCCTTCACTCCCCAACTTCAGTTTGGGAGACTGGGAAGTTACTGCCGGTGGTCTTAAGAAACAGATATTAAAAACCAACCAAACCACTCCTTCACCAGCGGAGGCCGAGAGCACCTGGCAGGCAGCCTCTGGCCAGCACTGGACTGGAGCATGTGCGCCTGCCATCCTTAGGTTACAAGAAAACGCTTTCTGGTTCCTCCGTGTGTCTTCTACCGGCCTGTTAGAGCCAGCTTTGTGGAAACTCTTCCCCAGACTAGACGCAGCTTTGGCAAGTGCCAGTACTGAAGGGGATGGCTTCAATTCAGCATGGCCTGGGCTGTCTTGTGAGTGCGTGGAAGTCGTGCTTAGGAATGACCGCCCCTGTAGTGGCTAAAGAGTTCATTAAAAAATATCTCCTGAAAACCGGTCCAGGTGCACTTTTCAGCAGGTCATTGAGGAGAGTTTTAAGAAGGGGAGTTTTAAGTTGTCCCAGTTAGCACCCACCTTCTGCATCACTGACCCTTTTAAGAAAGGAGTTTGGCGATAGGAAGTGTGGTGTTGATGCTCACTGACTGGAGAGGATAACAGCAGGAGTCCTCAGTGCTTAACTAGTTAACCAGCAGCCTTTGCCTCTCCTTGCCTCTGTTTTCTTGGTCCTCAGCCTACTGGTTTCTGCAGAAGAGTTGTAGGTCTTAGCTGTCAGCTACCTTGATGATGCTGGGAGTTTTAACTTTGCTAGGATAATTTTAGCATCTCGGGTCCAACCCGGAGACGTTTAGTAGGGTTAGGGAGTAGCCACTAGGCAGTGGGGTTAACTGAGGTTGGTTAAGCTTTCTGCAATTCTGTAGACAGGCTCTGTTCTAGCAGGGTCGAGAAAAATGGGTTTTAAAAAACTCGCTACACATTGCTGATGGAGAGTGCTTTTTTTCTTTCCTAACTGTCGTCAGATTTCCAGATTGAGGGTTGATATTTGGCAGTTTGAGAGTTGAGTTAGTTGGGAATTAAATATTATTGCTGCTTATCAAATGTTCCTAACTAGGCATTAGTTAAGCAAATTAGCTATTATTTTTACCTGATGAAAATCTGAGTCTGGTTGTTGTATTTGCTGGGAGGGTAAACAAAATCTTTATGTATGTTCATTCCAGGGTGGAATTATTTACATGCCTAGCCTCAGAGCCAAGAGCAGTCATTCAGGTTTTTTTCCTTATATTTATGAGATTTATTTTATTGTCTTGCTTTGGCCATTAATCAAGTCACAGTAGTTTTTTTTTTTTTTCCTCTTCTACCGAGAATGTTCTTGCGGTAATAAAGGCTTGAAGGCCCATGAATCATAATTCGTTCTTTTTAAAATATTGTGGTGATTGTCAGGATCTGATTTATAGGAATTGATACCCGGAGTGACACACCTCTCTGGGCTCCGCCCTTTTAGGCATGTCCATTTTCGCCAAAGGATTGTTTAGAAGCCAGCTTGACATCCCAAAAAGAGCATTTCCCTTCTGCTGTATGAGAAGATTAATTTTGCAGGTTCCATAGTAAACATGGGTCTTTTCACAGCTTGGTAAGCAGGCTTCCACATAGCAGGCATGTGTTATTATCACATAGCATTTATGTGAGCTTGCTGTGAAAACAGTTGTTCTATGAACTGTGTGGAAAGTACTCAGTTTTGCCTCCTATAACCGGCTTGGGCCTGTGGTTTTTGTTGAGTTAGGAACTTAAAGTGTAAAAGAGGAGACAGACTGCAGTGTTCTTTGCTGCTTGTATAATAAAATGTGTGGTCACAAAAAATAAAGCTTGTTTATGATTTTCTTTTTCTCCTTCTTTAATGGGTGGGTTGGTTATAATAACCGAAAGCGTTATTTTTTTGACAAATGTAAGGATTCTCTGTGAAGCTGATTAGCCAGGAAGTGTTAAAATTGTCTTGTGTTCAATAGTTGGCTTAAGTTTACAGTATTGGTAAAGTGACAAAGAACTTAAAGTAGTTTGATGCTCAAGGCTAGGGGAAACATCACTGGAAAGAAAGGTGGGGAAGGTACCAATTTCTAGCCATTTCTGGGCTTTGGATTTTTTATCTTAAAAGTGCGTGGTTTGATCCGTGAGTTCCCTTCCGGCTCTGAAATTCTGTGTCTTGTAAGCGAGGTCTCCAGAGGTCTTGACAGTCTCTTCCTGAGCCAACGGCCAATTGCTTCATGGACTTGGGTGAGCTGATTAACTTCTGTTTTTGTCTTCTCATGGAGAAAGTGGATTTGATCCTTGGTATTCCAGAAAGGTCTCTTGAGTGGCCTGGTGATCTTGACCATCAAACACAAGGAAATACTTATGAATAAATGTCTGCCAGTGTCTTGGACAAAAAATTCTCAATTCTATGCACTAACAGAGAGTGCAGCATGTACATATCCTAGGTACCAAAAATAATTTCTGTTCATCTTAGAAGTTTCTTCTCCAGCCAGTTGGTTAACTTGTCTAATCCTTGGTCAAGTCTAAGGTTAACCAAGCTCTTATTCCCAGGCAGCAGGAGGAGATAGCTTTGGGGAGAAACTGGAGACCAGAAAGCCCAGTGTGGCTTTGCCTGCTTTCTGTGGGTAATTGGGATTTGGCTGAATATTTGTGATAAGGTTCATAATAATGATATAGTATCATTTTTATCACCAGGATTCTCTGTATTTCACTATGGGCATTTTTGGGAGAAGCTCTTGATGTTTTTATTGACTTTGGACATTGCCATGAAAAGTAAGGATTTAGGGCTGGGCGCGGTGGCTCATGCCTGTAATCCCAGCACTTTGGGAGGCCGAGGCAGGCGGATCACCTGAGGTCAGGAGTTCAAGACCAGCCTGGCCAACATGGTGAAACCCCGTCTCTACAAAAATACAAAAATTAGCTGGGCATGATGGTGGGGGTCTGTAATCCCAGTTACTTGGGAGGATGAGGCATGAGAAGTGCTTGAACCTGGGAGGCAGAGGTTGCAGTGAGCCGAGATCATGCCATTGCACTCCAGCCTGGGTGACAGAGCGAGACTCTGTCTCAAAAAAACAAAAACAACAACAACAAAAAAGAAAAGTAAGGATCTAGGCAAGTGGCTTATACCCCAGGCGGTATAAATGGTGCTCATGGTCCTGCTCTAAAGGCGGTTGAATTCAGCTCATTTTATTTCCGACCTCATAAAACTGTGTGGCTGAGGGAGGAGGAAGGATTAAAATCATCTGGGATCTTGTGGATTAATGATATTTCTGAATTTGCATGTTGAAGGGAAACCAGTAAAATAAAGGAGAACTAACGAATAGTTGATTTCTTTTGTGGAGAGAGGAGGACAAGAACAGCTGGATTCCAGTTACTGGCGTGCGTTGCCACAAGGGTGCTGTGGGCATTTTTAAGGAATAATATAGTCTCAGTAACATGAGTTTGACCCCAGGGCTCTCTTAATAAATCTTTTCTTCTGGGCTAAAGAAAACACACAACAAAAAGCCTCTGTGATATTTTCTAAGAATTTTAAGTTCTCAGAGTAGCTGCTTGTAGTAATTTGGTTTACTGAAGAAACAGATGATTCTTGGTCTTTCATCATGGAAGACGATGAGCTGGCATGGGGTAGCATATGCTGAGCTGTTGGGGTTTGGTTTAGCAACATAAACATTTCTTTTTATATGTTTGATAGAGCAGGAAGGGGACAAAGAACCCGTGTGCCTAAATAACAGTGATAACTCTGAGCTCAAAGAACGAGGGTTTTGTTTGTTTGTTTGTTTCTTTGAGACAGCATCTTGCTCTCTCACTCAGGCTGGAGTGCTGTGGCTCAATCTCAGCTCACTGCAGCCTCTGCCTCTCGGGTCCAAGTGATCCTCCTGCCCCAGCCTCCCAGGTAGCTGGGATTACAGGCGTGCACCACCATGCCCAGCTACTTTTAATTTTATTTTAGTAGAGACAGGGTTTCACCATGTTGACCAGGCTGGTCTTGAACTCCTAGCCTCAAGTGATCCGCCCACCTTGGCCTCCCAAAGTGCTGGGATGACAGGCGTGAGGCACCACACCCGGCTGCGGAACGAGGGTTTTTTTAATGCCATAAGCAGCCCTGGTTTCTTTCATACATGCGGCAGCTTCTTATTGAGGACTTACTATTTGCCAGGCACTGTGTTAAAGCTCCAGAAATATATTGATAATTGAAAGAGACATAATCATCTCCCTCTACCCATACCCCTACCCTTACCACTTCACTTACAGTCCAGAGGCAGACATGTAAAGAAATACAGCTTGCCAATTGTGATCAGTGCTCTGATGAAACCACAAGTCCAGTGACTTGGATGGATTTCATTAGAGTAGCCTGGAAAGGCCTCTCTGAGGTTTGGGGGTTGGGGGAGACAGCACATGAAGCAGAGGAGAGCCTGTGCAGAAGGACTTTGGTTTTGGAGAACTCAAAGAGGCACAGGTGGTCAAGGATGAAGGAGGGAGGGCAGCATGAGATGATTGTGCAGGACTCTCTGGGCTTTGAAAAGGTTTACATTTCATTTGAAGTGTAGTGGGAAGCCATTGAAAGTTTGGAGTGGGACTGGGCACGGTGGCTCACACCTGTAATCCTAGCACTTCGGGAGGCCGAAGCGGGTGGATAGCCTGAGGTCAGGAGTTCCAGACCAGCCTGGCCAAAATGGTGAAACACTGTCTTTACTAAAAATACAAAAATTAGGCTGCGTGGTGGCGGATGCCTGTGATCCCAGCTACTTGGGAGGCTGAGGCAGGAGAATCACTTGAGCCCAGGAGGTGAAGGTTGCAGTGAGTGGAGATCGTGCCACTGCACTCCAGCCTGGGTGACAGAGCGAGACTTCATCTCAAAAACAACAACAACAAAACAAACAAACAAAAGAAAGTTTGGAGTGGGAAGCGACAGCCCCTAATTCACGTTTTAAGAAGATTGCATTGGTGGAGAAGAGAGCAGAGAAAGGCAGAGCACAGTAAAGAGGCAGGTGGAGGAGGAGGCGAAGGAGGTGCATGGAGAGGAGTGGGTGGGTGTGAGATGCTCATTAGGAGTAGAATGGGCAGGGCTGCTGTGGGGTGGGGAGAAGCATCTAGAACTCCGAGGTTTCTGGCTTGTGCAGTTGAGTAGATGGTGGTGCTGTTTCCTGAGATGAAGAAAGATTGGGAGAGGGAGGCGGGCAGAATCAAGATATTTTAGTTGGGGCACCACTAAGTTTGAGGTGCCTATTAGACTCAAAGTGGAGATGTCAAGTAGGGTAATCTGATCTACCACCTAGCACGAGATAAAAATGTGGGAGCCATCGGCATGGAGAGAACATTTAAATGCAGGAGAGTGGACAGAATGCCCTAAGGAGCCCGTGGAGAGAGAAGAACAGGCAGTGTGAAGGAGGTGTGTGCTGTGTGTGTGTGTGTGTGTGTGTGTGTGTGTGTGTGTCTGTGTGTGTAGTGTTTCCTGAGGCTGATAAGGCCAGAAAAATCACCATTGGATTTGTTTCATCGTTTTTTGTTTTTTTTTTTTTTGAGATGGAGTCTTGCTCTGTTGTCCAGGCTGGAGTGCAGTGGCGTGATCTCAGCTCATGCAACCTCTGCCTCCCATGTTCAAGTGATTCTCTTGCCTTAGCCTCCCGAGTAGCTGGGACTACAGGCATGTGTCACCACGCCTGGCTGGTTTTTATATTTTTAGTAGAGACGGGGTTTCACCATGTTGGCCAGGCTGGTCTCAAACTCCTGACCTCAGGTGATCCACCTGCCTTGGCCTCCCCAAGTGCTGGATTACAGATGTGACCTACTGCACCAGGCCCTGAATTTGGCAAAATGGAATCTGTCTGTGACTTGTGAAGAACAGTTTCAGTGGAGTGAAGGGTTGGCTGGGACCACGACTGGAGAGAGTTGGGAGGGGATCGTGAGGGAGGAGCTGCGGACAGCCCGTGTAGTCAACTCTTTGGCAAAATTTGATGATGAAAGGCGAGGAGCAGAGAAACGGAGTGGGAGCTGGAAGGATGTGCACAAGGGAAAGAGGTTTTTTGGAAGTGTTGGTAATTTGTGTGCTGATGGGAAAGATCAGTGGAGAGGGAGTGACTGATCAAGAGAAACGAGTTGGGTCAGTTGAGCAAAAAGCCCTTGAGAAGGTCTGAGGGGAAGATCTGGCCTTTGTAAGGGGGTGGGGGATACTTCAGGAACTTGCTCCATCATGACAGGGAAGAAAAACTGATAAGGGGGCAGATGCTAAGGAGTGGGCAGGCAGGGGACTCTGTGGAGGACCGAGATGCTCTGCCTCCCCAGGCTGAGGCTGCCCTGTCCCTGGGAAGGAGTTTGGGCTTAGGACTTGATACCAGCCAGAGACTCAAGGGTTAAGACTGCATCAGAAATGGTACTGCATTTTTCTGAACATTTGACTGCGTTACTGAGCGGCACAGAGGAAAGAGTGAATTCTTTAGCTTGGAGAAAAGAGTCTTCAGTTAAAGTAATTTGGGCCTCACATTAAATTTATTTGAAAACTATGATTAGAAAAAGACTTCTGTGATTTTCAGCCCTGTTCAGAGTTGGTGGGTACTGTCATAGGTTTTGAGCAAGAAGCTCAAAAGAAAAAAAAGCAAAAAAAAAAAAAAAGCAAAGGCTGCCTGTTGTTTAGGTTGTCTTTCACAAAAAATATCCCATGGACTACCAGCCTCGGTGGTTCCCAGCCATGGGGTCTGCATGGGAGGTGGGTGGAAAAGGAGAGAGTCAGAGCTGGATTGAGATCCAGCTCTACACCAAGGCTCTGGACTAGTCGACCTCCGAGCCTCTCTACATCTGTAAAAAGAGGGCTGGTACCATCTTCACCTCTCCTCTTCAAGTTGTGAGAGGGAATCAGATCATGTATGGAAAGTGCGATGTCAACGGTAAGAGGCATAGAACAGAGGCAGCAGTGAGGCGACTTGATCTTCAGCCAGGTCTTCTTTTCAGATATAAAATCTGACAGCCAGCGAAACATTTCCCTTGTCCACTCCCACTGTTGTTCCCTACGTGTAGCTGCCTTCTATTTGGGGTTTTCAAGTTCTCTGTGATCCTTTAGCAAAACTGCTCTTCTTGTCGGAAGGCTGGCCTCAGAAATGCTGGCTGGGCAGTGCCAGTCAATACAGGTTCAAATTCTGATTCCATATTCAGAATCTGGGACCTGCCCACCCAAAGGGCCAAATAAACTTGGTTTGCTCCACAAAGAATCCTGTGAACTGGGTGCAGGAGAACCTTGAACCTACCCCAAGAAACCCGACTGAGGTTCTACAGTCTTAGCCGTCTTCATTTGCATTCAGTGTTTGTTTTGCAAATAAGGATTGTGCTATGAAGCTGAATCTACCTAAAAGCAGTCATTAGCCCTTAGTCTTACTGTGTATGCTGGAAAGTCAATTCTCATTTTAAAAAGATATCCAGTGCTTTTCACTAATCGGGCTCCTGGCCTCTGCCTAAGAAGGTGAAGCTTTATTTATTTATTTAAAAATGATCTTTATTATGAAAAAACTTTAAACATACACAAAAGCAGAGAGGCTAGTATAATGAACTCTCTTGTACTCATCACCTAGATTTAGCAATTATTGAGATTTTGCCACACCTGTGGATAATGGGGCTTCTTCTGTATTTGTATAATAAATATGTGTCGTTGATTTTGAAAAACAGTGGAACTGATAGCAATTTGGTTTCATAGAGAGAAGGAAGAAATCAACGAAAAATCAGAGAGAGAGGAAATGGAGGCCATCACTGAAATAACTCGCATTTTGTAGTTCCAAAGCCTCTTTGACATATCTTATTTGTGTTCTGCAACAACCAGAGAAGGTAGATATCCTCATTTTATAGCTGAGGAAACTGAGGCTCGAGAAGTAAAATTGGAAAATATAAATAAATGATCAACTAAGAGTCACCTGTTCAGCCAGCATCCAAAGCCCTGATTTAATGCCACAATTTGAATGGTTTCCAAATTTTGTGCACTCTGAAATAGATAATACTATACAGCATTAAATAAAAGAATGTGGTACAGAATATATGTAAAAGATCGTGGAAACCAGGAAGATCATCTGGGTGTTTTGGGCTTACAACTCCAATGAGCTTAGTTGGAAATACTCAGATGATTTAAGCATGTTTTTGGCATGACATTTTTGAAAACTTAAATTGTTTGCCTCCATTATTCTGGAGCACAAAGCTTTAAGGCTGCCTTATAATGAAGGCCAAGACTTGACTTTAACAAATTGGGCAGCTATTTGGGCAGCTATTTGCCATCTGTGTCCTACTGTCAGCTCTGTCCCTTCTGTGGGGCCCCTCAGCAGAGGGACCTGGGTGGTCTAGTGGTCATTTCTAGATGGTGTGGCCTCTAGCCCCTGGGCTCTGACTTTGGAGATAACAGGGCCCTGGACAGCTTGCTCCCTCAGAAAGAATCCTTCCTGAGGGCCTCTAGGGGTCTTTGTCATTACAGAGGCTGCTCCTAGGGCCTCCCTTGGTCTTTGGGAAACTGCCCCCAATCTAACTCCTTTGAAAGATTTTTTTTTTTTAAAGGAAAAGAAAAAAAGCTGGAGTTGATGCCCAAGGAGTTTTAATAGGAGTGTCGTTTGAGTTCCCTCTGTTGTCATTACAATAGGAGATACCAAGCTCCCTTAAATTCAACTGAAGGACACCAGTAATGAGGCTGATTCTGAAGTATTGGGGCTTGAGTTCGCTTTTCTTTGTTAATTGGGTGAATACATGCGAGCTGAGGGGTTTTCAGGGGGAGCCACAGTAAGTAAGGACATTTAGGGGCCTCTTTCCTTTTGAAGAGTCTGAGCTTCTTTAGAAGGCAGTATGGAATTCAAACCTCGCAAACGCTCATTCCTTAAGTCTTTCTTGATGGCTCTGTGTGCCTGGGCCTGGCCAGGGCAGTGGGTGGGCTGGAAGGGGCTGTTCCTGGGCTCCTGCTGCCCTTGGTTTATAAGGCTGCTGCTGTCATACTTGCAGTGGGACGTGTCTTTCACCCCTCTGGACTGGGAGCTTGGGGAAGGCAGAACTGGGTCATCACTCATTTCTGTACCCCCCGGCCTCTAGCACAGAGCCTGACACTAGTTAGTGCTGTAAAAATGCTTACTTCAGAATCAGCTGGGTTTTTCTTTTCTTTTTTTTTTTTAAACCTCTGGTTTTCTCGCCATTGGTTCTTAATGGAAGGAGAAATCCAGGCTTCTCTGCTACCAGGCCCAGTCCTTGCAGCCACTGAAGAAGACCAGACCTGAGAAATATTTTCTTCCCCCTTGCCTTGCCTTGGCCTTGCAGCCTTTAGCTGGGGTGGTTTAACTGAGCTCTCGAATGCAAATGCTGTCCCATCCCCCATTCCTTTTAATAAGTGACATTTTGTTAAATCAGTTATTCAAGGCCTTATCTATATTTCTGTCTGTGCTGGCTTAGTCAAAATAGGAAAGAGACTGAATATTAGATTTCTTCACCCACCCCCTCCTCCTTCCCCCCTTTGAGCAACTCTACGTAAGATTTCTGATAGAGGCGGGGTGATGTGTCCTTGAAGAAGTAAATGCTGCGTGCAGAAAAAATGTAGAGGGCTTTGACTTGTAGCAAATGCTGTTTTTCAGCAGCTGTGATTTTTCCATTTTTCTTTTTCTTTCTGTTTTGATTAGTGGAACTCATTGTGCTCCAGGGTTGGGATTGCACTGGGGGAGGGTGCAGAGGGAACAGCATTTACTGGGAGAGCTCGAGTTGGGGAGGGGAAAGGAGAGAAGGGATTTATTGAAAATATATGTCTACTTCTGCTGTGATAAAGCGGCAGGCATGTAAAAATGCAACCGGGAAATCATTATTGTGGTAATGTAGGCAGAGCTCGGCTTTCTCATTAACAGAGCTTAGCGCACGTGGAGGAGGGGGCAGCAGGGCTACTTTGAGAGTTGGGGTATTCAATAATAGCAGAAACTCAGGGGATTGTCTCCATCCCCGCTTCTCACCCCCTCCAGCTGCCTTCTTTCTTTCTCCAATCAGTTTGTAACCTTTTAAAAGCTGCTTGTTGGATTTTGTGGGCTCCTTCCTCACCCCTGCCACCCCAAAATGCTGTAAGAACTGTTTAATTTTTAAAGTTAGAGGGAATTAAAATACATTTTCTCTTGGGAATTTGAGGAGAATTTTGGTAACATATTGTGAGTCAGAGATTGGATATCTTTTACCTCCCAGAGCACACCAAGAAGAGCCTATTTAGGGGCTCAGGAATTTGCATAGGCCATGGGGTATCAGCATTAGGGCTCCAGATCGCTTTAGTAGTAGTAACTGCTATTTATAGAAAGCTTACTATGTGCCTGGCCTTGTGTGGATATTTTAGTCATTTCATTCTCCTACAATTGTAGGAAGCAGATGTGATGTCCACTTCACACTTGAGGAAACTGAGGCTCGGGGGGTTTCAGCAACTTGTTTAAGGACAGGTGCTGCGTGGCGGAGCTGGTATCCAAACTCAGGACCCGCTCCAAAGACTGGCTCCTGATCCTTAGACTATGCTGCCTTTAGAAATTGCCTAGTCACTGTATACTTGCTATGTACAGACCTCTAGACTCTAAGAACCTCAGCAAAATATCTAGAGCTGCAAATGAGGCCTGCCGTTGACAGCTATGGGTAGAGTGCTCAGGATGTTTAAGAGAATCTTTCCTGAGTTCCTGGAGTGAGCTGTTATTCTAAGGAAGGTCAAGGGTCTCATAGCCTTGTTAGAAGAGATGAGTGCCCTGCCCCCATCCCTGCCAGGCCACGGTGGGTGGCTTTGCTGACAACTTGTTCATCAAGCATTTATTGAGTGCCTGCCATATATTAGGATTGTCCCAATGGCTGGAAATGCCAGGACAAATAAGAGGAGCTCAGAGTCTAGTGAAGGACCGTCATGTGAACATGGAAATACGACACACAGTGATGCCCACCAGAAAAAGGCAGAATTTCTGAAGAAGTTCACAGGACATACTGTCTGGAGCAGCTAGGCTTATCCCTCTGACTTTGTTTGGGCTACTATAACAAAAATGTAATAGACTGAGTGGCTCAAATAACAAACTTTTATTTCTAACAGTTCAGAAGGCCAGGCGGTCCAAGAACAAGGCAGGGGCAGATTTGGTCTTAGATGGTCATCTTCTTACCGGGTCCTCACATGGCGGAATGGGCCAGGGTGCCCTCGGAGTCCCTTTGTTTGTTTGTTTGTTTTGGAGTCTTATTTGTTTATCTATTGATCTATTTTTGAGACAGAGTCTTGCTCTGTCGCCCAGGCTGGAGTGCAGCAGTGCGATCTCAGCTCACTGCAACCTCCGCCTCCCAGGTTAAAGTGATTCTCCTGCCTCAGTCTCCTGAGTAGCTGGGATTACAGGTGCCCGCCACTGTGCCCAGCCGACTTTCAGCTTCTTAAGGGTATACCATGTCTTATTTATTGTGTCCCCAGCACCCATCCTGGGGCCTGGTACGTACTGTCTCAGAGACAGTTGCCAGATGATGAGGCTGGAGAGGTGAGCAGGGATTGGGCAGGGAGAACCCGATGTCACGTTACGGAGCGTAGTCCTGACCCTGTAGGCAGTAGGGGAGTCACTGAAGGTTTTGGAGTTAGGAAGCATGTGTTGGGGAACGGAATCCAGTCTGGAGGGGTTGAGTCTGCAGGCCAGGAGACTACTTAGGAAAGTGTTGGAAACACAGGGGCAAGTGGCAGTGATGTTGAAGGAGAAGCATTGCCATCTTTCTACGGCATGGCCTGCCATTTCTCTCTCCATCTCGCCTGCTCTTTTTCAGTCTCTAAGAGGCACTTTCACTTCTGTGTCTGTCCCCTTTTCTTCCTTGAGGCTCCTGGCCATGTATTCTGCGACACTCCCTTTCCACTCTCCACTCTGTTGGTGGGCTGCCCTCCTTCCCCTCCCCTCCCATCCTGTGCTCACCTGTGTGATTCCCTTCAGGGCAGGCCGTATGCTGTGTCCTCCCATATCTAAACCCTCTGATCTAATCTGCACAGAAGCACAGAACACAGAGCCTGGGGTCTCAGCCTTCTGTCCTTCTCAACTCGTACCTGCTCCTTCTGTGAGGACACTTTTGGGGCTTAAATTTAAAAACTTGGAAAGAGTTTTAAAAAGGCAAGTAGCTGATATGAATCTAGTCTTAACCAGGATGGCAGAATTTGGAAAAGCACAAGGGGGTTATTTTCTTTCTTTTTTCCTTTTTCTTTTTTTTTTTTGAGACAGAGTCTCACTCTGTTGCCCAGGCTGGAGTGCAGTGGTGTGATCTCGGCTGACTGCAACCTCCACCTCCCAGATTCAAGCAATTCTCCTGCCTCAGCCTCCCAAGTAGCTGGGACTACAGGTGTATACCACCACACCTGGCTAATTTTTGTATTTTTAGTAGCGGTGGGGATTTGCCATATTGCCCAGGCTGGTCTCGAACTCCTGACCTCAGGTGGTCCACCTGCCTTGGCCTCCCGAAGTGCTGGGATTACAGGCGTGAGCCACCGCCCCCGGCCAGGGGGATTGTTTTCTTTAGGAAGGTGAGGCAATGTGCTCTGGCCATGGCGACCTTACCTTGTATATGTTGGGGGACAGGATACATTTTAAAAAGTAACAGCTGCAAGCCGCTCACGGTGGCTCACTCTTGTAATCCCAGCACTTTGGGAGGCCAAGGTGGGTGGATCACTTGAGGTCAGGAGTTCGAGACCAGCCTGGCCAACATGGTGAAACCCCATCTCTACTGAAAATACAAAAATTAGCCAGGTATGGTGGCGGGCACCTGTAATCCCAGCTGCTCGGGAGGCTGGGGCGGGAGAATCGCTTGAACCTGGGAGGCGAAGATTGCAGGGAGCTGAGATCACGCCATTGCACTCGAACCTGGGAGACAGAGTAATACTCTGTCTCAAAAATAAATAATAAATAAATAAATAAATAAATAACAGCTGCCTACTAAGTGCAGATGCACACCATCATTTTAGGTCTGTTCCCCCTTTAACCCTCAGAACAACTGCATGAGGAAGGCATTCTTATCCTTATTATACAGGTGGGGAAATGGAGGCACAAAGAAATGCAGAAGCTCGTTCAAGGTCGTATGGCTAGTAAATTGCAGGGCAGGGATTCAGACTCCGGAACTCAGACCTGGGTGACTGTAAAAGCAGGTTCTTTTCCCCCTTGCTTATCCTACCTCCCATTTCGCCTTACCAGACAGCATGACTTGAGTTTCCTTCAAAAATATGACTATGATAATATGGTGGAAGGAACACCATGCCAACCCTCTGGGGCTATTCGTGGATAGCGCTAACTCTTGGAGCCTCATTTTCCATGTCCTCTCAGTACCTTTGTTTTACTGACTGAAAAGGTTTATTTTGAGAGTAAAATGAGATTTAAAAAAATGCAAAAGTGCTTTGAGAACTGTGAAGCCATATTCTTTACTCTTCTGCATAATCATTTTCTGAGGGGGTGAAACTCTGTGAGGGTGGGATCTCAGTGCCATCCCTGGGCTTTGGGCGCGATGGGTGCGTGGTTCACACACGTTGTTAGCTTCCAGAAGTGTTTGGGGCTGAATGTGCTCTCAGGTCTGCCCCAAATTATTCCACATGATTTGGGGGAATCATTGGTGGCTGGGCTGCAAGTGGGAGGACCTCCAACCAGAGCTGGAGTGCCCTTGTGTGTCCCTAGGAGGGTCACTTCACCTTCCTGAACCTCCGTTTCCTGAGGTGGTCACATCTACTTGGTTATTAGGAAGATTAACTAGCAGAATGTGTGTAAAAATCCACACTTGCTAAGCAAGATGATGATGACGTATTTATGGAATGGAAGTCATGGGCTCTGCAGTCTCTGGATCAGGCTCATCAGCCTTTCCTGGTCAGAATGTTCTGCCTCACATTTACACCACAGTCTCCTGCCTCTAAGGCCTGGAGCAGACATAATTGAAAGCTTTGTTAGTGTTAAGACTTTTTCACTGAAATTGTATAAATGGTAAGTGAAAGTAGTTCATATATATATATATATATATATATATATATATATTTTTTTTTTTTTTTGTAGAGGGAGATTGCAAATAATTCATAGTGATTATAGAGAATTTGGAAAATACTGACACAGATGAGGAAGAAAATAAAAAAGGGCTTTAATTCCTCCCTGTTAACATTTTAATATATTTCCTTCCAGTATTTTTTCTAGGCAGTAAAGTCTAGTGATTAAAAATTTAAGCACTGCAGTCAGACTGCCTGGATTTGAATCCAGGATCCTTCATTCACTTTAAATAACAATAGGCCTGGGTGAAATGAAATGAGACAATACATGTAAAACATCTGGGGCTGTGCCTAGCAGATAGTAAGTTCTTAATAAATATTAGCTATGATATTATGCTTTCAAAATCATATTAGGGTTCTTTTGAATGTGATTTAATACTTACTAATTAAATATTTTTTGGAAACTTAAAAAAATAGTTGCTTATTATCCTTTTTTTTTTTGAGACGGAGTCTCACTCTGTCACCCAGGCTGGAGTGCAGTGGTGCGATCTTGGCTCACTACAAACTCCGCCTCCTGGGTTCACACCATTCTCCTGCCTCAGCCTCCCAAGTAGCTGGGATTACAGGCACCTGCCACCACGCCCAGCTAATTTTTTTGTATTTTTAGTAGAGACGAGGTTTCACTGTGTTAGCCAGGATGGTCTCGAACTCCTGACCTCGTGATCCACCTGCCTCAACCTCCCAAAGTGCTGGAATTACAGGCGTGAGCCACTGAGCCCAGACGCTTATTATCCTTTCATATGGACTCTATGTTCAACAGATATTTATGGAGTGCCTACTGTGTACGGGGCACTGGGTCCCATAACTTATTTATTTATTTATTTATTTTTGAGATGGAGTCTCGCACTGTCGCCTGGGCTGGAGTGCAGTGGTGCAATCTCAGCTCACTGCAACCTCCGCCTCCTGGGTTCAAATGATTCTCCTGCCTCAGCCTCCTGAGTAGTTGGGATTACAGGTGCCCCCCACCACGCCTAGCTAACTTTTGTATTTTTTTTTTTGGTAAAGACGGGGTTTCACTATGTTGGCCAGGATGATCTCGATCTCTTGACCTCGTGATCTGCCCGCCTCAGCTTCCCAAAGTGCTGGGATTACAGGTGTGAGCCACTGCGCCCGGCCTCCATAACTTATTTAACTAGTCCCTATTATTAGGAATTTACCTTATTTATCATTTTTTAACTATTATAAATAATACTTTGATAAATATCCTTGTACATAAATCTTTAAGTTCATCTTAGATTCTTTTTGGGCGGTAAATTCCTAAGAAGGAGTATTACTCTGTCACCCAGGCTGGAGTGCAGTGGCGTGATCACAGCTCACTATAGCTTTGACCTCCTAGGCTCAAGCAATCCTCCTGCCTCAGCCTCCTGAGTAGCTGGCACTACAGGAGTGCACCACCATGCCTGGCTAAGTTTTTGTGTTTTTTGAGTAGATGCACTCGGCTCTGTATACATGCCATCCATGTCTCCTCAAAAAATACAAAAACTTTTAAAGAGCTTACCCTTAATTAATGTTTTAGCCGTTTTCTGGACAATTCAGGCCACTTAAACACTTAGGCCTTTTTTACCTCCCTTATGCCTTTTGAAGTCTTGTGTATTTTAATTCTCTCTCTATGAAACCCCAGAAGACATTTTTTTTGTGTGTGTTTGTTTGTTTGATTTTCTTTCTTTCTTTTTTTTTTGAGACAGAGTTTTGCTGTTTCTGCCCAGGCTGGAGTGCAATGGTACAATCTCGGCTCACTGCAACCTCTGCCTCCTGGGTTCAAGCGATTCTCCTGCCTCAGCCTCCTGAAGTAGCTGGGATTACAGGCACCCACCACCACGCCCAGCTAACTTTTTTGTAGTTTTAGTTGAGACGGGGTTTCACCATGTTGGCCAGGCTGGTCTTGAACTCCTGACCTCAGGTGATCCGCCCGCCTTGGCCTCCCAAAGTGCTGGGATTACAAGCATGAGCCACCACACCCGGCCCATTGTTTTATGTAGACAATAATAATTTAGATTAATCCACATACTTACTCTTTTTGCTGTTCTTCATTTCCTTCCATATAAGCATGCTTCTCTCTCAGCTTAATTTCTTTCTACATGAATAACTCCTATTAGGGGTGTGTGTGTGTGTGTGTGTGTGTGTGTGTGTGTGTGTGTGTGGTGGAGGGTGTCTGCTGGTGTTCCAGTTCTCCCAGTTTTTGTTTGTCGGAAAATGCGTTTTATTCACCTTCATATTTGGGAGATTTTTTTCCCCTGGAAAAAAATCTTTATTCACCTTCATATTTGGGAGATTTGGGCTTGTTTTATTTTCTTTCAGTCCTTTGGAAATGTCATTCCATTGTCTTCTGGCTTCCTTCATTTCTGTTAAAAAGTCATCTGTCAGTTTTATTGTGGTTCTTCTGAAAGTAACATATCTGTTTTTTCTCTTTGGCTTTGTTTTTTTTTTTAGCAATTTTACTATGATGTACATAGGTGTGGTTCTCTTCATATGGATCCCCTGTGGAGTTTGGAGTGCATCTGTAAATCATGGCTCTGTGTTTTTGGTCAGTTTTAGAAAATTCTTGAAGCATTGTCTTCCAATTTTGCTTTTGCTGTTTAATCCTCTCCTCCCTTTCTCAGGCTCCTGCACATATGTTAGACCCTTTCATGGTATCCTACATGTCTCTGGAACTCATTTCTGTATTTTCTGTGCCTTTATGTATTTTTTTCTACTGACCCATCTTCCACAGCACCAGTCATTTCTTTTACTATTCCTTTTTGTTGTCAAGCACATCTATTCAGTTCTCTCTTTTTTGAAAAACAGAGACAGGGTCTTGCTCACTCTGTTGCCTAAGCTGGAGTACAGTGGCACAAACTTGGCTCACTGCAGCCTCAAACTCATGGGCCCAAGTGGTCCTCCTGACTCAGCCTCCCGTAGCTGGGACTGTAGGTGTGCTCCACCATGCTTGGATAATTAAAAAAAATTTTTTTTTTGTAGAGATGGGGTCTTGCTCTGTTTATCCAGGCTGGTCTTGAACTCCTGACCTCAAGTGATCCTCCTGCCTTTGCCTCCCAAAGTGCTGGGATTATGAATGTGAGCCACCATGCCTGGCCCTTGTAATTTTAAAGTTCTGGCTGACAACTTCAATATTTGGATACCTTCTGAGGTTTGTTTTTATTGATCGTGTATTTTTGTTGGTTTGGTCCTATTTCCTGACATGCTTGGTGATTGTTGTTTGAGTGCTGGGCATTTTACCGTGGAAAATGTAGAGGCTCAGTTAAGGCTGGTATATTTTTTATTTGCCCTTACCTGTACAATGGTACAAGAAGGCCTTGGTAGGCCCTGATTTCAGAGTTTCATCTGCTTGCCACTGTAAAACTACCAAAGCTCTGCTTAATGTGCTAGTGTTTTAATAGCTTTTTTTTTTTCTGTTTGGATTCCTAGGTTTTAGCTCTGTGCACAGAAGACTTAGGTGTGTGTCAGTGCCTTGAGGAGAAATCGCTTGCAGAACATTGGACTCATTTCTTTGGGGTTCACTTTTTTTTCTGGTATCTTGGGCTCTTAAATCTTGGATATGTTCATAGCCCTGAACTCCAGTTTTTGTCTTCTCGGCCCAGGGAGAAAGCTGCTGAAAGCTTTCATTTACTGCTTTCTGTTTTGCCTCTGTGTTCCTTGCACCAGATTAGCAAGTGTCCTGAGGGAAAACAGTAGCTACTAATACATGGCTCACCTCACTGCACCTCCCTTTCCTCTAGGAGCCTGGTCCCTCAAGTCCCAACTGCCTTGTTGTATTTCCACACCTTCAAAATGTTATTATTATAATTATCTTGTATTTTATCTATCTTATGTAGCTGTTCTGTACCAGAGGACTAGTTTAATATTCACTGCCCCATAATACCTGAAAGCGAAGTCTAATTTCGTATCCTTTATGATTAACATTAGAAGTATTTTCCATGTCTTTAAACATTCTTTAATTCTTTAGGTGACTTTTTTTTTTTTTTTTTTTGAGACAGAGTCTCACTTTGTCTCCCAGGCTGGAGTGCAGTGGCATGATCTCTGCTCACTGCAACCTCTGCCTCCTGGCTTCAAGCGATTCTCCTGCTTCAGCCTCCTGAGTAGCTGGGACTACAAGGCGCCTGCCACCACGTCTGGCTAATTTTTGTATTTTTAGTAGGAACAGGGTTTCACCATATTGGCCAGGCTGGTCTCAAACTCCTGACCTCAAGTTATCCACCCACCTCAACCTCCCAGAGTGCTGGGATTACAGGTGTGAGCCACTGTGCCTGGCCCATCATGTGATTTTTTAATATTTGCACAAGCTCCCTGTTATGGCTTTTATGATCTACTCACATTTTCTTCAATTGTCAGATACTTAGGTCATTTCACACAGTTTGCTTTTATGAATAATACCGCCACAAATGTCTTTGTATATTTTTGCTGAAGCATTTTATTCATATTTTAAAAGTGTGGAGTAGAAATGATCAGAGTTGAAAATACTAATCAGTAGTGATTGTTTTTATGCATATAGCATGTACAAAAATAAAACTATAGACCTTTTCTCTCTTGGATGGTTCAGAAAGAAGCTTTCCTTTTTAAAAAGTATTTTTATTTCTTGAGAAATATTCATATAATGCTCACCACGTGCCAGACAATTCTTTTACATGCTGTATAATACTGACTTTAATTCTCCCAAGAGCCCTAGGGCACAGGTATTATTACTGGTCCTCTTTTTTGAGAAGAGGAATCTGAGGCATGAGGGAATAGGTCACTTGCCCATGGTACAGTTGTCAGTGGCAGAGCTGAGCCATGCATTCTGACCCTAGAGCCTGTACTGTTAACTGCTATACTATACTACCATGAGCTCATCGTTCTCATTTATTATCACTTTCTTTCTAACCATTTTAGCTTATTTCAGGGCTTCCTCAGTCTTCTGTTAGTTGGGCCTTTTTTTCTTTCTCATCGGGTAGGGGGAGGGACATGAAGGTGGGGACAATTTGGGACAGAAGCTTCCATTGACAGAAGGTGCATTTGGGACCTGGTCTCAGACATGGCGGCTCACTTTATAGCTTGAGAAGGTAAGGTTGCCTAGTGGCTTATATTGTATCTATTGTGGGGTTGGGGGGTCCCTGGTGTGTATTGAGTGACAAGGGAATTTCTGCTGCCACCTCTGGCTTGACCGGCTAGTGTTGGCTGGGCCACTGCCTTTCCAGTTTTGAGAGGAAGAGTAATTTAATCTCTCTTCCCTCCCTTCCTCCAGTTCTACTTAGCGTAAGGATAAAGAGGTGTAAATAGAGGGCCCACTAATTGGAGTATCAGGGCAGCCACAGGGCAGTAGGGAATGAAAGGATTAAGCGCTGGTGCTTTGGACCTAATAAACTGCAGGGAGTGAATGAAGAGTAAGAAACCTCAGACCCTGTGGAACTTCAGTTCCTTTTTCTTTCTGCCTCTCTGTTTGGAGCCTTCTGTACTTTTCCACATATATCTCCATTTTCCTCTCTGTACTTGTCATTCTATTTTCCATTCTTATCTTTCTACCTACCCACCTTCCCTTTTTTCTCCATCTCTCGCTTTCCTCCTTTCTATTAATTGCTAGTTATATATATGTTAAGTAGCCTGTATTTTAAAATGTCTTCTATTTATTGAATAAATTTTTTCCATTTTTAGTCTAAAAACAAGCTTTTTAGCTTTTGCACTCTCAAGAAAAAATTTGCTGAATGAAATTACTCTTCCCTTGTCTTTAGTTATTGATTAACATTTTCTTCTCTTTTCTTTTCTTTTTTTTTTTTTTTGAGACTGAGTCTTGCTCTGTCACCCAGGCTGGAGTGCAGTGGCACAATCTCAGCTCATAGCAACCTCCACCTCCCAGGTTCAAGCCATTCTCCTGCCTCAGCCTCCCGAGTAGCTGGGATTCAGTTGCCTGCCACAACACCCGGCTAATTTTTTTTTTTTTTTTTGAGATGGAGTCTTGCTCTGTCTCCAGGCTGGAGTGCAGTGGCACAATCTTGGCTCACTGCAACCTCCGCCTCCTGGGTTCGAGCGATTCCCCTGCTTAGCCTCCCAAGTAGCTGGGAGTATAGGCATGCACCACCACGCCTGGCTAATTTTTTGTATTTTAGTAGAGACGGGGTTTCACCATGTTGGCCAGGATGGTGGTCTCCATCTCCTGACCTCGTGATCCACCCACCTTGGCCTCCCAAAGTGCTGGGATTACAGGCATGAGCCACCGCGCCCAGCCAACGACTGGCTAATTTTTGTATTTTTAGTAGAAAAGGGGTTTCACCATGTTGTCCAGGCTGGTCTCAAGCTCCTGACTTCAAGTGATCCACCCGTCTTGGCCTCCCAAAGTGCTGGGATTACAGGCATGAGCCATAGCGCCTGGCTTATTAATTAACATTTTCTATTTCTTCTCTTGGTCAGCAGCTCTTAAGAGAAAAAAGATTCAACTCCTTGCTTTTTGGAGTGAGGGAAGATGGTCTAATACTGATTTTGGGGGGCAGTAGGTGTGGGACTTGCCGGTTTTCTTAAGATTGTTTGAGTTTATAACTCATCACCAGAAGTCTGAGAGGGCTTTGAGCCATATTTATTAAATGATATCAAGGGAGATTACCAGGAAGAATGATGGGATGGGGTGGCAGAGAATGACAAGGAAACCTGTCTCTCTCCTGCTTACAACCCATCAGCGGCCCCCACCAAGCAGTACAAGCCAGAGTCCATACAGTAGTCCTTAGCCCCCCTGAGGCCCTGTCTTTCTACAGCTCTCCTCCTCATTCCTCCTCTCCAGCCCCATATCTGGTATGCGCTTGCCTCAGGGCCTTTGCACAGCCGTCCTCTCTGCTGGGGTTGCTCTTCCAGAACCTAGATACTCATCTGCATTGCTCCCTCCCGGCCCTCTTTCAAGTCTTGGCTCAGAAGTCTGTCTCTTTCTCAACAGGGCTTTCCTCACCTCTCCAGTTAGGTGCGCCACACCTTCGCCCGAATGACCCATCCCCTTTACTTGCTCTGTTGTTCCTTTTCTTCCAAAACACTTCAGCCTGTTCCCGTCCTCTGTAGTTTGCTTGTTCATTATCTTTGTTGCCAGTCCTCCCTCTCCTAGAATGGGTTTGTTCACTGCTGCATCCGAAGCCCTCGGAAGAGTGCCCAGCACACAGTAGGCGCTCCGTAAATATATGTCCAGTGCTGTGTCCTTGGGGGCTCGGGAGGGCCCCCAGCTCAACAGACTTTTATCACATCTCAGGATCTGGATAATCTCTTTGCCTGTAGGAATTTTTTTTAATTAAGATTTTTATCATTGTCATCCCCTTCCCCCTTCCAGTTCATTTAAGACTGTTATGAAACAAAACTCATTATGCTTCAAAATCTGACAGAGCTAAGGCCCCGGAGAAAGTGAGAGGAGGCGGTAGCAGGGGGTGCTTCCTTCCATTTCCCCCCCTCCGTGGTTTTCTCCTGTGGTTGGTTCACTTAGGACGGCCCGGAGCCTACTGGGTTGAGGTGAGTAGGGCTTCCCAGACCTCGCAGGGTCCATCCACGGGAAAGTCTGTTGTCAGCCAGAGAAGAGAATGCTACCTTCCCAGGGCAGGGGGTTTCTCCAGACACCAGTGCTCAGGATGGAAGAAAAAAGGAAGCAGACTGGAGAGGAAAGGAGAGAGAAGTGAGGTGCATTTTGCATGGCTCAGCTGGAGGAATACTGTCACTAGAGAAATTAGGAGTGTGGTCCTCCTTGGGTGTGACTTAGTTTTCACTTAAAATAATGAGTGGCTTTCATTCATTTGTTCAGTAACATTCACCCAGCGCCTGCTGGGCACAGATGGGGTTGAAGGGCATGTGGGCCTGGGACCGGAGTCAAGTCTCCAACCACAGCTCAGCCTGCTGCGAGAGGGACAGTGCCAGGGGACCTTGGGTGTGACCCAGGGCTCAGAGCCAGTGTATTGGACTTCTCTATCTGTGGGTTCCTGGGAAGTGGGAAGGCCTGCTGGGAATAATTAATGTGTGGAAGGGAGGGAGAGGGAGGCAGGGCTTCATGAGGAAGTGGCTTAGACTCCTCCCAGCATTCTTTTCTAAACATTTCCCTAAATGAATCCATCCTCAGGCCTTTCGGAGTCAGGGCTGACCTGTCCTCTGACTTCTGCAGGGCAAGGGTTGGTTCTAGGCCTCAAGGCTTCAACTGTTAATCTCCTTTGGAGTTTTGGTTTTTCCATATGAACAAAGGAAGGGAGCTTAGTGATAGTCTTGGATCACTATGGGGATAGGCCAGTCTCACAGAATTATTGACAGACTGTCAGTGTGCTGTGATGTAAGATGTGTGAATCTGATAAAAGCTGCCTGAAGAGAGCCTCAGCTCTGGAGACCTGGGGTTTCACCCTCTCGCACCCCCTCCACCCCAATCTTGGTGTCTCATCTGCTAATAAAGTAGCAACGCCCACTGATTTGAGTTTCACCTCCTTTCATTTCCTCTCTCCTGTCTTCGGGTACTCGGGCCATAATGAGCTTCAAAAAGCCAACAGCTGAATGATCAGCCTCTGAATAATCAAGTCTGCAGAACTAAAAATATTCAGTTACATTATAATGCAGATGGTACTGATAAATTAAGGGGAAAATCATTGAGCCTACAATTGTTTTCCGATGCATTGTCCCTACCAGAAGTTACATAGAAAATAAATGAAATGATTTCACCTTAGTCAGTCTGGGCCTGTAGCTTAGTTGCTTAGAATATAAGGCTCAGGAGGCCAAAATCCTACTTTGAGCCCCACTTGGGGATTATTACAGCATCTTGACTGGTTACCCAGACTTGACTCCTATTTCCGGCCCTAGATGTCATGCCAAGCTCTTACCAGCTGTTTCCCACTGCAAGCAGTGGCTGCATGATACTTACCTTAGCTCTAGGGTGTATATGACTTGGTGTAATCTTATCTCTTTCATGGAAGAAACTGTTCAAGGTATACATACCTCCTAATGATGGTGTCAAGAGTCTGATTTTTTTTTTATATATATTAAAAAGAATGTGCTGGGTGTGGTGGCTCATGCCTGTAATTCCAACATTTTGGGAGGCTGAGGCGGGAGGATCATTTGAGCCTAGGAGTTCAAGACCAGCCTGGGCAACATAGGAAGACCTTGTCTCTACAAAAAATACAAAGATTAGCCAGGTGTGGTGGCACACACCTGTAGTCCCAGCTACTCGGGAGGCTGAGGTGGGAGGATTGCTTGAGCCTGGCAGGTGGAGGCTGCAGTGAGCCGAGATGGCATACCACACTCCAGCCTGGGTGACAGAATGAGACCTCGTCTCAAAAAAAAAAAAAAGTAAGGCAGGGCAAGGTGGCTCACACCTGTAATCCCAGTGCTTTGGAAGATGGAGGCAGGAGGATCCCTTGAGCCCAGGAGTTCAAAACCAGCCTGGGCAACATAGTGAGATCCTGTCTCTACAAAAAAGTTAGCTGGGCATAGTGGTGCACGCCTATAGTCCTAGCTACTTGGGAGGCTGAAGTGGGAGAATTTCTTGAGCCCAGGTGTTTGAGGCTGCAGTGAGCTATGATTGCATCATTGAATTTCAGCTGGGTGGTAGAGTGAGACCTTGTCTCCATCAAAATTTAACAAACAATAAACCAAAGAACGTATTTCTCATTTGCTAAGCATTTATGTGCCCTAGGTGAATAAGCCTTAGTTCTTTTTTAAAAACAAATTTATTTATGTATTTTTTATAGAGATAGGTTCTTGCTACATGGACCAGGCTGGTCTCGAGCTTCTGGCCTCAAGTGATCCTCCCATCTCAGCCTCCCAAAGTGCTAGGATTATAGGCACTTTGGGAGGCTGAGATTATAGGATTATAGGCGTGAATCACTGCGCCCAGCCCTTAGTTCTTATATATTACCTTGGTTTAGGTTAATTGAAGTAAATAAACCTATAATAATTTGATATAAGGTTTTAAATGTATATAATACATTCGTAAGTGAATTTATTAATTCAATAAGTATTATTCCAGTATATGCAGAATTCTAGGCTAAGCATTAGATCAAAGATTGGCAAACTTTCTATAAAGGGCTAGAGAGTAGATATTTTTACTTTGTGGGCCGTATCTCTGTCCTAACTACTCAACTTTGCTGCTGTAGCACAAAAGCAGTCACAGATCACTCGTAAATGAATGAGCGTGTCTGCGTTCCAATCATACTTCATTCACAAAACCAGGTGTTTGGCCAGGTTTAGCAGCAGGTCATATTTGCTGATCCCTGGTCTGACGGCTTCCACCTCTTTGTTAGAGAGACAGCTACGAACAAAATAGATGTGATCATGACCCACATGGAGTTTTCATTCTTTTTGGGAATAATTATTTGTAGCATTGCTTTGAAACCAGACCTGTTACAAATAGTTGACAAGTAGCTCCTGGGGGACATTGGAAATCTAGGTAACTTTACTGAAGAAAGGTTCTAGTGAACACCCATTTCTATTTATATTACCCACTGGTGTCTGTGTGGGGGTACTGTGTTTACTCACATTTGGCATGTAGGTACTATTTTTGAGTTGCTTTCTTTTCACTTCACAGAGTTTCATGTTTATTTACATATGTTGGTCTGGATTATATAATTTTAGTGGCTACATAGTATTTCTTGCTGAGTTAAGATATGTCATGTGCCCGGTGTGTAGTAGGCATTTGCTAGATGTTTGCTTTCAGTTTGCAGTAAAAGCCTTTCAGAGTTGGAAAGGGATTGGTTTCTGCAGAACTGAAGGGGAAACCATTGACTTGGGAGAACCCTAGGAGAGATGGGCCTGGATGATGTCCGCTTGCCAACTTGCTGGGTGACACCTAGCATCTTGCAGCCAGGGAAGTGTCAAGTATGTATGTCAGTGCAAATGTAAGGGACAGACTGGAGGGTGACCTTGTATTCCAGAGCCCTGCTCCCCACGTGCAGGGAAAGTCTTTGTGGGATGTGGAGCAAAACTTGGAGCCTGGGGAGGTTTGTGGGGGCAAGTGGGGAGGAAAAGCAGCCCCATGCAGAGAAGATAAAAAGCCCAGGGGGCCGGCGGGGCACTGGCTCACGCCTGTAATCCCAGCACTTTGGGAGGCCGAGGTGGGCGGATCACGAGGTCAGGAGTTCGAGACCAGCCTGGCTAACATAGTGAAAACCTGTCTCTACTAAAAATACAAAAAATTAGCTGGGCGTGGTGGCTGGCACCTGTAATCCCAGCTACTCGGGAGGCTGAAGCAGGAGAATTGCTTGAACCTGGGAGGTGGAGGTTGCAGTGAGCTGAGATCGCACCATTGCATTCCAGCCCTGACGACAGTGCGAGACTCCATCTCAAAAAAAAAAAAAAAAAAAAAAAAAAAAAAAATGCCCAGGGGGCCGTGTCGGTTTAGGTATGTGAAAGGGGCATGGGCTCTGGGGCCACACTGGACTTGATTTGACTCTGACTCTGGGTTTGCCCTTTATGTGCTCTGTGACTGGGCACTTTCTTAGCCTCTCTGAGCCTCAGTTTTCTTTGCTGTAAAATGTAGGGGGTTGGTTGGGGGCTGTCATATTTATTCCATAGAGATGTTGTGAGGGTCAGATGAATAATCCAGTAAGTGACAGCACACTGTGTAAATGGTAGCTCTTATTAGTCAGTGTGAAGTATGTGACCCATTCTTAGCTTGCAATTCACAAGAGCAGTTGTTTTTTCACTATTATTGTTTTTGAGGAAGCATGGCTAATCGCTCCAGTTCCAGAGTGGACTTTGCCCCCACCCTCTCTGGGCCCTTCCCTCTCTTCAGTCCAGGTTAGGAGGTACCTTGTCACTTTTACCCCCATGATAACTCAGCTGAGGAGGTCAGACCCTGAGTCACGAGCCCGGGCTTTTAATAAAATCAGGTCAGAACTTGAAGACTAACTGAGTAGTCTCATGTGCTGGGTTACTCGTGCATTCATTAATTCAACAGATACACAGAGGCTCTACTTTGTGCCACTTGCACAGTATGCAGTGGTGAAGAAAATAGTGATGGGCTTTCATCAAATAATCCCACAAATGTTTAATTATGGACAACGGTATGAGCTATGAAAGAAAAGTGTACGGAGTTAGGCTGGGAGAGGATCTCTTTTTATGATGAGACACTTAATTTCATTAGTAACCAGGGAATACAAATCACAATGAGATTCCATTTCTTCCCTGTTCGATGGGCAAACGTGAAGAAGCTGTGCAGTAGCAAGCATTGAAGAGGAGATAGGACATTATGGTCATTTAGGAGCTGCTGGTAGGCGTGTAACTTGATGCAGCTGCTTTGGAAAACAGTTGGGTAGTACAGATTGAGGATCCCTTATCCAAAATTCTTGGGACTGAAGTATTTCAGATTTTGGATTTTTTTTTGGATTTTGGAATATTTGAGATAGTATAATGCACTTGTTATATATAAACAAATGCATAAAATAATTTTATGCATGAAACAAAGCTTTGACCTCAGTTGATGCAACATGTCATGGACTGAGGTCAAGTGTAGAATTTTCCACTTGTGTTGTCATGTTGGCATTCAAGAAATTTAGGATTTTGGAACATTTCAAGTTTTCAGCTTAGGGATGTTCAACCTGTATCTTGTAATGTTGTACATTCACATACAGCATGTCCTGGCATTTCCACTTCTGGGTATACAATCATTGTGAGAAACTTGCTTACGTGGGCAGCATGTATACATGACATATACTAAGAATATTCCTAGTAGCACTCTTCATAATGGCAAAACACTGGAAAGCCAAATGCCCATCAGCTGGAGAATGGGTACATACATTGTTGTCATGTGATAGATTGTTATACAGCAGCAAAATGAATGAACAACATCTACATGTAATGGTTTGAGTGAATTTTAGTAATATAATTTTGAATTTAGAAAAACAAGACTTTGAATATTCCAAACAGCATATCTTTTTATTACATTTGAAGGTCAATAAAAACTTAAAACTACATTGTTTTGGGATGCAGATTATCTAAGAAAGCCATAAATGTTGGGGGGCAGGTTTTCGAAGGTTCCTCTTATGAGAACCACTCCCTTAAATGTGTTTGTGACAAGCTCCCCAAGTACAATGATACAGATGGGATCAAGGAGGAGTCAGCTTGGGTTTTGAAGGCAGAGTAGACATTTTTGTCATTGCTTTGGAAACTTTTTTTTTTAAATAACCCGAATTATAAAATGTTAGCAATTGGAGTATGATATTAGGTGCATATGTGTGCATTTTATTTTATTTTTTTCTTATTACCACGAATGTATTTTTTGATCACTACAAATGCAGATAGGATATGGGAAACTGTGGCTGCATCTGATATCTATGGTTTCCTGCCCATGCAAGGTGGTGCTGGGAGATCTCAGCTCTGAAAGGCTGCGTTTGCAGCCAGGTGTGTGATTCCTTGTCTCGGGGCTGCTTTCACCGTAAGGGGGACGTAGATGTGGCTGGGTGATGGGGCCTTCTCGGTTTGGTTCCAGGGTTAGCAAGCAGAGCTAGTTTAGAAATGAGTAAGAAAGGGGCACTTTCTGGTTTTAAGTTTTGGCTCAAATATGCGTACTGAAACTCTTCCTCACTTTCGCTCTTCTTATTTGATGAGTTCCATGGCATCCTAATTTGTGGAAGGACAAAGAAGGAACATGTTTGTATGAGAGAACCAGCTTTTCGAGTAGAGTTACGGATGGGCTGGAAGAAACCAAGATGAGTTCCTCTGGGGATGGATAAAGCATCCTGCATGAAGGTTCAAAAAGATGCCCATGGCTGGGCACGGTGGCTCATGCCTGTAATCCCAGCACTATGGGAGGCAGAGGCAAGCAGATCACCTGAGGTCAGGAGTTCGAGACCAGCCTGACTAACATGGAGAAACCCTGTCTCTACTAAAAATACAAAATTAGCCAGGCGTGGTGGCGCATGCCTGTAATCCCAGCTACTCGGGAGGCTGAGGCAGGAGAATCACTTGAACCCGGGAGATGGAGGTTGTGGTGAGCCAAGATCGCGCCATTGCACTCCAGCCTGGGCAACAAGAGCGAAACTCCATCTCAAAAAAAAAAAGATGCTCACGCCAGGCTGCTTGAGCTGAGGCTGTGGGGCTGTGGAGAGGCCATGGGAGAAGTAGGGCAGCTGCTAGATGATCATGGCCATCCTGGACGGCAGTGATGGAAGGGGCACAGAGTGCAGGGGAAGGAGTTGGGCAGAAAGGGGTGGAGCGAAGGGGGATTGGGCAGCCCTATCTCGTGAAATTACTGCTTGAGAGAATGAAGGATGTTTCATATGTGAGACTCTGAGGTGGAAGGTGGAGCAGAGTAGATCTGCATGGTTCCAGAAGGTAAAGCTAGAAGTGAAAGGTGGAAGGTATGGCAGGAGATTTGTATTTTTTTTTTTTTTTTTTTTTTGGAGACAGGGTCTGGCTCTGTTGCCCAGGCACGATCTCGGCTCACTGCAACCTTCGCCTCCTGGGCACAAGTGATCCACCCACCTCAGCCTTCTGAATAGCTGGAACTACAGGCATACGCCACCATACTTGGCTAACTTGTATTTTTTGTAGAGACAGGGTTTTGTCATGTTGGCCAGGCTGTTCTTGAACTCCTGAGCTCAAGCAATCTGCCTGCCTTGGCCTCCCAGAGTGCCAGGATTACAGGTGTGAGCCACTGTGCCCGGCTAGGAGGAGAGATTTGGTCTTAGTATAAGTTAGTGTTTTTCTTTTCTTTTCTTTCTTTTTTTTTAATGAGATGGAGTCTCACTCTGTCTCCCAGGCTAGAGTGCAGTGGCATGATCTTGGCTCACTGCAACCTCTGTCTCCTGGGTTCAAACGATTCTTCCTGCCTCAGCCTCCCACATAGCTGGGACTACAGGTGCACGCCACCACGCCTGGCTAATTTTTTTTGTATTTTTAGTAGAGAGAGGGTTTCACCATGTTGGCCAGGTTGGTCTCGAACTCCTGACCTCAAGTGAGCCGCCTGGCTCAGCCTCCCAAAGTGCTGGGATTACAGGCGTGAGCCACCACACGCGGCCAGTGTTTCTCAAACTGTGATTTGCAATCTATTTGTCAGTTGTGCAATCAAGTTAGTGATCAAGACCAGCAATTTTATTTATTTAATTTAATTAATTAATTAATTAATTAATTTTGAGACAGCATTGCTCTGTCGCCCAGGCTGGAGTGTAACTGCACGATCTCAGTTTATTGCAACCTCTGCCTCTGGGGTTCAAGCAGTTCTCCTGCCTCAGCCTCCCGATTAGCCGGGACTACAGGCGTGCACCACCATGCCTGGCTAACTTTTTGTATTTTAGTAGAGACGGGGTCTTGCCATTTTGTCTAGGCTGGTTTTGAACTCCTGAGTTCAGGCAATCCGCCTGCCTCAGCCTCCCAAAGTGTTAGGATTACAGGAGTGAGCCACTGTGCCCAGCCAAGACCAGCAGTTTTTAAAAAGGAAATGAATAGAAAGGAAAGAGGAAAGTAGGGAAAAAAAAGTCTGAGTGGACCAGATGAACATGGGTCAGCATTTGTTTCTTGAAAATATTTGTCTAGTTTTATATATTTATGTGTATATAGAGATATTTTATGTGCTGGGTCATGATATAAAGTGTAATTAATTAGTGAGAGTAAGAATGGAAAAAAGTTTGAAAGCCATTGTTCCAAGCTACCATTTAATAATATTACCTGCTGTTTATTGATCACTTAGACTACTATGGAAGGCACTTTGCCAAGTGCGCTCTATACATTCACTCATTGAAATCTCACAACGACCCAATGAGGTAGGCATTAGTGTTACCATTACAGAGATGAGGAAATTCAAGTTCAAAGAGACTGAATGACTTTCCCAGGGTCATGGAGCATGTAAGAGGCTGAGCCTGGAATTGAACCTGAGCCCAGCTTTCTCAAAAGCCTGTGCATATTCACTACCTTCTACTGTAGGAAGAACCGTGGATGGAGCTGTCCTCCAAAATGGCCTGGGCTGTCTGGAAAAGGGCTGAAAAAGCGGGAAGTGTTCGGGCAGAGGCTGGGTGGCCCCCTGTCAGGGACAGTGGAAGCAGAATTCTTGTCCACCTTCTTCTACCTCAGTGGGAGATTGGATTGGATCATAGTAATCCCCCCATGACTTACATGACAGCATCCAAGACTCATCCTGTACCATCACTCTAAAGTCAATCCCAACTCCTGGGTTTGATTCTTGATTGAAATATGATTTAATTAAACATATTTAGGTTTGTTTATAGGTGAGATTTTCTTTTAATAAGTTTCCTGATTTTTCTGTAACAAATGTACATTTATTTTATGATTTTAAAAGTTATTAAAAATAAAATGTTTTCTGATTCTCTCTAATAAGCATGAATTAACTTTATAATTTCTATAATTTAAAAAAGTCATTAAAAATAAAATACCGCAATGCAACAAAAAACTCTAATTAAGAATTCTTCCTGGCAAGTTTTTGAGAGGCTGCCGGCAGCATTCTGTTCCTCCTCTTGTGTGGGCTGGGGAAGCTCTGGGTGGACCACGGGAGGCGATTGGTGGATGGGTTCTTTGTGGACTGGAGCTTCTTATCAGGTTCCTGGACCAGCCCATCCTCCCTGCAGAGACCAGGATGAGGCAGGGGCCATAGTTTAGGGGGCCTCTTTTCTGTTTTAGCTACAAAGTGAAGTGCCTATTGATTCTGCTTAAAGCTGGAAAGGATCTGAGAAAGTATCTCCACTAACCCCTTCATTTAGGGAAGAGGAAACTAAGTCCTGGGAAGGGAGGTGACTTTGCTTTGCCGTCCTCCCATCTCATGGATAGCAGAACAGGAGAAGCTCCTAGGTAGGTTAAATCACATTGCTTCCCCAAGAGAAAGAGGGCGCTAGAGGTTGGTTGAGGTTGTGGGGAGAATAAAGAACAAATAAAAGACAAATCTTCTAATGCTAATTTCATTGAGGAATTCCAAAATGGAGGTGAAGGGAGTGTGATTTAGTGGAAAGAACCTCTGCTTGGCAGTTGGGGGACCTGAGCTGTGGTTTCAGCATTAACACCCAGTGTGTAATCTCAGGTGAGTTACCCACCCGTGGCCATTGGAGGACAGGTTAATTCTTGTTCCTCACATTCTGCCCAGTCAACACCACGGCAGGAGTGCTTGCCCTGAGCAGGGTACATCCTCAGCCTTGTTTCCTTCCAGAGCCAATGACCTAATCCCCACCATGGAGTTGTCATTAGTTATGTGCTGTAGAACTGTGGGCCCAAGTATAGGACATTCTCCAAATCCGTGGGTGCCAGCCACTAGGGACCTTAAGGTTTGGTTGCTGCATAAGCTTGGAGTGCTATATCTCCTCTTGTAGCAGCTCTCAAGTTCAGGGATTGTGTCTTGTGAATCCCCCCAGTGTATAGTAAGGTGCTGAGGTTCTGCGCACTTTAGAACCCTAATTTGTTGGCACATGTTGGGGGATGGGTAGGAGGGTTAATTTTGTGAGTCGCATGGAGGTGGGGTCCAGGTCTGCCTTCGGACATGCAGGCCACAGGCATGCGCTTGAAACACAGGCTGCCTGATTTCAGAATCGAGCCATGATGGGGAGCACTGTGGTTTGTGAGGGGGGTTGATCTGAACCGGTCACTCTGTGCCTAAGCAGGTGACCTGAGTGAGGAGAGGGGACTCAGCAGAAGCCGGGGCGGGGGGTGGGGTGGGGCGGTGGGGGGAAGTAGAAACTTCTTCCAGGTTTTGAATTATCTAAAGAGATGGAGACAGGAAAGAAGTCTCTGGGATTGTGGCAGTTCATATCAGTTTCCAGAATCTTCTCAAATAGTTCGTTTAAAAAGCTACTACTTTTCTCTGGCACGGGCCATCCTGGATATGGGATTCTCACTGGTTAAGTGCATTTTCCCTTGACCCGGGTTGTAACGTAGCTTGACTGATGGCCTCAGCTGGGAGGAGAAGTGAATGCATTGTTGTTCAGGTTTGTTTTACACCCTGTTATCAAGGCTAATAATATGATGCTTTAAGGCTTTATGACTTGATTAGTGGCATCAGTACTTGAAAGAGCTGGCTTAGGGCACTGTGAGAGGTTACATGAAGGTAATTAGACAGCAGTTGTGAAATGCAGGGGGTGGTTTCCATTTACTATTGGCTTTAAGGCAGCCCTGCCTGTTACTGAACCCCCAGCATGAATCTTTTGAATAGAAAATGAGTTGATTAGTTTGGGTGCTCTGCCGCAGGCCACAGGCAGCCCCCAGTTCTCTCTCTGCCTGTGGTTAGTGCCCTTAATCAACTACCTACGAGCCCACTAGAGCCTTAGTATAATCTAGTACTCAAAGCACAGTCCCTGCACCAGCAGCATCACCTGGGAGCTGTTTAGAAATAAACGCAGGGCCAGGCACGGTGGCTCACGCCTGTAACCCCAGCACTTTGGGAGGCTGAGGCGGGTGGATCACCTGATGTCAGGAGTTCGAGACCAGCCTGGCCAACATGGTGAAACCCCATGTCTACTGAAAATACAAAAAATTAGTCAGGCATGGTGGCATGTGCCTGTAATCCCAGCTACTCAGGAGGCTGAGGTAGGAGAATTGCTTGAACCCGGGAGGCAGAGGTTGCAGTGAGCCAAGATCGCGCCATTGAACTCTAGCTGGGGCTACAAGAGCGAAACTCCATCTCGGAAAAAAAAAAAAAAAAAAGAAAGAAAGAAAGAGCAAAACTCCATCTCAAAAAAAAAAAAAAAAAAAGGAAAGAAAAAGAAAGAAGGAGAGAAAGAGAGAAAGAACGAATGAACCAACGAACCAACCTCTGGTCCCATCCACAGTTGTGTAATCAGAATCTGCAGTTTTAACAAGACCTTCAGGTGATTGGGTGCACGTCAAGTTTGAGAAGTGCTGGGCTAGCACAGATGCCCCCTGAGGTTAGAGATTTGTGGCAATGTGGTTTTTATTGTGTAGTGCAGTAAAAGATTTAAACCCTAGTGCTGTGGTATGATTCCAGTCTGCTCTCTGTCATTAGAGCCTGGAATTGTATGTGTGTGTGTTCATTGTCACTTGTGGCATCAGCGCAGGGTTGTGGTTTATTCACCCTCTGCAGCTCACCGAGTTCTTGGCGCAGCTAGCCATTTCTTTGAATGCAAGTCTGGCATCATAGACTGTTGGGGGGGTGTGACCAAAACACCACTTTCTTCCTGTTACTCCCTGGAGCCCACAGGGGCTCTGGTTGTCTGCTGTGTCATGTCCAAACCTCTTGCTGGGGCTCCAGGGCCCATGTGTTCCAGGTTTATCTGGCCCCTGCTCTGGCCAGGCAGATGGGCAGATGCCGGTCTTCAGCCTTGCCCTCTGTCTCTTGCTGGATGTGGGTTTCCTGGCCGGCCAGTCGTTCCTCCTCTTTATACCCTTGGACCACTCTCTGCTGCACTGTTTAGTGCCTCATCATACTGGGCTGTTTCCTGGGGGGCTTTTTGTTAATTGTGGACAGGTCCTAACCCTTCACTCAGGTGACACACTCTTAGAGGGCAGGACCGGTGTATAACAGGTGCCTCAGCCTCTGCCGGGTGCCTGGTGGACAGGCATACACATGGATCCCTTCATACTGTGCATAGGAGGCAGAGGATTTGGAGTGAGTGGAGTGGGGTCCGTGGGGTAGGGGCTGGTGAAGGCTCAGAAAAAGAAGCCCAGACAAAATTAGAAGGGCCTCCACTGAGAGGGGAATGGGCCATTTGGCTACATAAGAGAAGGTAAGGCGAGTTTCAGCAGTCCTTCCCTGATGGCATTGGAGATGGGGTGGGCAGGGTTAGCCCCCATGTTGCTTTGGAGTATGTTTCTGGTTTGTTGCAAACCTGTCTGTCCTCTTTTTTTGTGAGTCTGTTGGTGAGAAAAGATGAGGCCTTAAAAAGGGCAGGGAGGAGGGGTGCAGTAGCTAGGAACCAGGCTGGCTGGGCGTTGTCCTGGTAAGGTTTGGGGTGGAGGCTATATTTACTTCTTATAGTGATGCTGGTAGGATCTTTTTCTATGTTTAGAAATAGTTTATATAACATGAAAGTATGTGTTCTTAAAAAAAACACACACAAAAAACCCAGACACTAGAATAGAATAAAATTTTAACAGACCAATTACCATAGAAGAAATGGAGAAAGTTATCAGAGCTATTCCTTAAAATAGTCCCAGGACCAGATGGTTTCACAGGTAAATGTTTTCAAATATTGAAGGTACAGGTGATTCTAATGCCATTTACATTGTCCTAAAGCAGAGAAAGAGCGCTTAAATTCTTTTTATGAAGCTAGTGTAACAAAATGTGACAAAAAAACAGGTGTGCACACAGAGCCACAAAGTGGTCTCTGTTTTGAATACTGAAGATGCGACATTCTAATAACATAATTAGAACCCAGCAGCCCATTTAAAGAACTCCATGGTCACGGGAGTTCCAGAACAGGAAGGTAAGGATAGGTTAACTTTAGGATTTCTGTTAATAAAAATTCATTGTATTAAAGGATCTAAGGAGAAAATAAGATGCTGAAAAGGTTTATGAAAAATTACACATCCGTTTCTAATAAAAACTGCTATAGAAATAATTGGATACCTCCTCAACATGGGAAAATACATTTTTGTCAAGCAAGTAGCCAAAATTTTGCTTAGTATTAAAATGGTGAATGCTAGATGCATTCCCATTAAAATCCCGATTAAACACCATAATTATATAACCTTGTTCTGGTGGGGATAAGCTGGTGTAATTAGATAAGAGGTATAAAACCTAGAAGGAAAAGGCAAAACTAAAAGACAAACAAGAGAATTCAGTAAGGTAGTTTGGTGCATAGTTAATGCACAAAAATCAGTAGTACTCCCCCATAAATATCCAGCTAGAAAATATGATGGAAGAAAAAAAATCCCACTTGTATAAGCAACAGAAGAGATAAAATATCTAGTTATAAGCTTAATAAAATTATATTAACATATAATCTCAGCACTACCAACGGGCATAAAAGACTTAAAGAGAAAAATAATATAATCTTGGCTAGAAAGAGTCAGTGTTATAAAAGTGTCACTTTTCCTATACATGTGAAGTGTGATCATAATAAAATTACCACTAGGATTATTTTGGGTGTAGAAAAGCTGGTTCTAAGTTCATATGGAAAAATTAGCATGCATGAAAAATATAAAAAAGAAAAAGGAAGTTCTAGCTCTGATACATGGTAAACATTTTAAAAAACTACAATAACTAAGATCACTTGGTACTAATTGGCTGAATAAGTGATGGGACAGAATAGTGAGCCCAAAATAAATAAGGGTGTGTGTATACATGTGTGTATTTTGTGATAAACGCAGTATTTCAAATGTATGGAAAAATATAGGATCTTCATAACCAGATAGCTATCTGAGAGATAAGAAAGAGCAGGATCCCTAATACATGCCTTAGACCAGAATAAGCCTATCAAACATAGGTCAAATGGTTAAATAAAGAATGAAAGCGTAAAAGCCATAGAAGAATTTTTCTGTTGTCTTGGAGTAGAGAGACCTTCCTAAGTTTGACACAAATCCCAGAAGCTATAACATAAAAGACTGATACATTTGACAACATCAAAATGAGATCCACTTCATAAGAGTAACACTGTAAACAAAGTCAAAAGATACATGATAATCTGAGAAAAATAATTTGGAAAAAATATGATAAAAGGAGTTAATTTTCTTAATATACAAAGAGCCCTTAAAAATAAATAAAAAGGGTCATTAATTGAAAAATGGGCAAAAGGACATGGATAGAAATTCACAGAAAAGAAGTGTAAGTGGTTCTTAAATATATGAAAAGACCCACAACCCTCTTATAATAAAAAGTACAAATCAGAGCTGCAATAAGAAGGCATTTGTAACCTATCAGATTGGAAGAGATCAAAATATTTAATAATACACTGATTTGGTGACAGTGTAAAGAAAAATTACTTTCATACATTGCTGGTGAGAGTAAATGGATACGATTGCTTTGGAAGGCAATTTGTGATATTTATCTAAATTATGAATGCCCATCTCTTAGAACCCAGCAGTTCCACTAATAGGTATCTGTCCTAGAGAAACACTCACATGTACAATGTTCATTGGACATTATTGTAATCATGGAAAATTGAAGACAACAATGTAAATATCCATCAGTGGGAGATGGGCTAAATAAAACCTGGGTTGTTCAGACCTTTAGTGCGTCAATAAAATACCTTAGTGGGTTTTGACACCGTGTGAAACAAAAGAATAGAAGATAACGGAGTGCATTGCACATAATGTGGCTGAATAATTGGTGAGCTTTTGTTTCAGTTTTGTGTATTCACAAATGTGAACTGGATTGCAATGTAAAGTGTATTTCTTACTGTGTGATTCAGTCAAAAAAGTTGGAAAACACTGCAAGAGTAGTTAAAAGGAATATATTAAGTTAGTAACTAGTCGTAAGACTAGATCTCAGAAACGTAATTTGGAGTGAAAAAAGCAAGTTGCAGAGTAATAGTACAGGGTGACACTATTTTTGAAAAAAGAAAACGCACAAAACGATATCATGTTTTTGACAGTATAATATTTTTGATGGAATCACTTATTCATGCAAAAGAGGCCTGAAAGCTGTGAACCAGGCTTGTAACAGAGGTGCCCTCTTGGGACAGAGTGGTATTGAGAGAGGCCTACACTTTATGGCGCATTAAAAAAAAGTGTGAATGTTTTGCCTGTATATTTAAGTGGCTAAAAAATGTTTACACATTATTGAAAGACCCTCCAAGGATGCTTTAAGTCCAGATGCTTTCCCCTTGGTTGTTTTTCACTTACTTGTTGCTGCTCAGTTTGTGTCTCTCCTTTTGCTTTCATTTGGGTGTCTTGTAAATTTTTAAGTACCGCCCTGTTGATTTTGTCTTTCAAAGTTATTATCTGAAGATTGCACATAAAATTCCTTGTATCAGTGGCACTTTTATTGGGTCTTTGTGTTTCTTTTCTAACTTTTCCAGTTTATTCCTTTGAAATTAATTGGGCCCATGGTTTATTAATTTCACGAAAAATTTTCTTCCCCAAAGGGCCAACTTTTGGCTTTCCTTCTCTTCCCTGACATTTGCTCACATTCTTGTTACTTGTATTTTCACTTTTAATTTTTCTTTTATCTTTCATTTTTTTCTTATGTAAATTTTGGCCAACGCAAGCACAGCAGTGCTTCTCAAACTTTAAGGTGCACACGAAGCTCCTTGGGTCTAGAGCTCTTGTTAAAACGCAGATTCTGGGCTGCCGCGGTGGCCCACGCCTGTAATCCCAACACTTTGGGAGGCTGTGGCGGGCGGATCACGAGGTCAAGAGATCAAGACCATCCTGGCCAACATGGTGAAACCCCATCTCTACTAAAAATACAAAAATTAGCTGGGCATGGTGGCGCGCACCTATAGACCCAGCTACTCAGGAGGCTGAGGCAGGAGAATCACTTGAACCCAAGAGGCGGAGGTTGCAGTGAGCTGAGATAGTGCCTCTGCACTCCAGCCTGGTGACAGAGTAAGACTCTGTCTCAAAAAAAAAAAAAAAAAAAATGCAGATTCTGATCCAGTAAGTGCGAATGAGGCCCCAGATGCGTTTCTAACCAGCTCCAGATGGGGTCTACCTTTGGGGAGTGAGAAAGTAGAGAAAATGATACCTGTTCCTCCACTGATATTAGGTGGAGGATATTAAGTGATATTAAGTGATACTAAGTACCCAAGTATCCAGTATTGAACGAATACACCAACTGTTAAAAAGATGATACTTCTAACTATTGCAATGAAATTCATCCTGTTTTCTATTGAAGTGGTGAAGATGAGATGCCCTGACCCACCTAATCACTTTTTTTGGCTTCATTAGTGGCCGTATTCTTTCTAGATGGTCCGAGAGGGTAGAAGATGGTTTGTGGCTACAAAATTTCTTTGGGCACATTTGGTCGGTTGACCTGACTGCTTTGGCTAAGCATTGCTGTCCTAGCCTCCACTGATTTAGCTGAGTTTTCTTTTCTTTTTATTTATTTTTGACACAGGGCCCCACCCTGTCACCCAGATTGGAGTACAATGGCACAGCCATAGTTCACTGACTCAGACTCCTCACAGCTTCAGACTTCTGGGTTCAAGTGATCCTCCCACCTCAGCCTCCCTAGTAGCTGGGATGACAGACACATGGCTGTCATGTCTGGCTAATTTTTTTAAATTAATTAATTTTTTTTTGTTTTTGTAGAGACAAGCATCTCACCATGTTTCCCAGGCTGATCTTGAACTCCTGGCCTCAAGTGATCCTCCTGCCTCAGCTTCCCAAAGTTCTGGGATTACAGGCATGAGCCGTCATGCCCCACCACTGAGCTGACTTTGTAGGTCCATTTGGATCAGTTAGTTGTTAGTTGTTCTTAACATTTTTGGTGGCTGACAGACTTCTTTGGGAATATGATGGAGGCCATGGACTTTCTCTTCAGAAACATTCCCCAATTTTGTATTCATGCACACCAAACTCCTGGTTTTTATTTCGCCTGTGTGAGCTGCAAACCTCCTAAAGCCTGGCTAGTTATGACCATACATAGGACCCCTGATTTAAATGGTGCTGTTAAGACTGTACTTTCAGGAATCATTTCTATAGTTCATTACTAGAGAAATTTCTCTGAACATGTAGAGCACCAGAAAATATTTTTAAAGATTTCTTTAGGCTGGGCGTGGTGGCTCACGCCTGTAATCCCAGCACTTTGGGAGGCCGAAGTGGGCGGATCATCTGAGGTCGGGAGTTCGAGACCAGCCTGACTAACATGGAGAAACCCTGTCTCTACTGAAAATACCAAAATTAGCCAGGCATGGTGGCGCATGCCTGTAATCCCAGCTACTTGGGAGGCTGAGGCAGGAGAATCGTTTGAACCCGGGAGGCGGAGTTTGTGGTGAGCCGAGATCGCACCATTGCACTCCAGCCTGGGCAACAAGAGCAAAACTCCGTCTCAAAAAAAAAAAAAAAAAGGATTTTTTAAAAAAATTCAAATAATTGGTGGTGTTAAGGCAAAGAATCCCCAAATGAAAAACAGAATCCACGGTGTCTGCAGAAGCCATCTGGTCCAGCCGTGTTCATTTACAGATAAGAAAACCAAAGGCCAAGATTTTCAGACATTTATTCAAAGTCAGATTCTCCATGTTCCACAGCCTCCCTCCCATTCTGAGTGCAGCTGATGTTGCCCATGGTGGGAAGCCTGTGTCACTACACGTTGGTTCTCTGTGGGGTCTGTTGGGCTGAGTGGTGCACACCCATCCAGACCCTGCCTGCCTCATCCCTGGTGAGGGCAGCTCCTTGGCTTATTTCCTTCAGCCAAGCCCTGCCCTCAGGTCTTATAGTCATGTCTGGTCTGAGGAAACGGAGACTCAGATCCCTTCTGGCTAGGATTCTGGGCTCAGACACTATTCTGGCTTTGACATGGCAGGGCCTCCTGCCTCGTTCCTGTGTCCCGTTTCCTTCTCTGAGTCTCAGTTCTTCTAAGAGGCTTCTGTGTTAGTTCCTGTTCTGCTAACGTGCCTGATATCCAGGTCCCGAATTGGGACCAAGACCCTGTCCTGTCCCTTTGTTAGTGATAACCAGGTGTGGTGGGGAGACATGGGTTTGAATTCTAGCTCATCTGCTTACTGGCTGTGTGACTCTGGGTAAATTACTTAACCCTCCCGGACCTCAGTTTCTTTATGTATGAGACAGGAGCAATAGAATATACCTGACAGGGTGGTCATAGAACCAGTGCACAGTGTTTATTGATAACTAGTAGCTGGCATCACTAGTCCTACTCTCAGGGGTTGGAATCTTGCCCAGTCCAGCCGGATGGATGGAGCCTTAGTAACCTTCAATAGATGTCCTGATGCCTGAGTTGCAGAGGGTTGCCCATCCTGACTTCCCCCATCATAGAGCTTTGCCCACTTGTTGGGACTATTCATAATTTTGTTCTAGGCTGTCCCCTTCCCCACAGTCCCTGTGAGCCCAGCCAGCTAGAGATTGCCAGCATCTCTCCAGACAGGAGGCCTGCCCACTGGACCACAGCTTCTCTGTATGTGCTTGGAACTGAGTGGGCTTGTCCATGCCCTGCTCATTTCAAGAAGGAAATTACAGATCAATTTCATGTAAACACACAGCTGCAGAAGTCATCAGTGGAATAAATAAATAGGTGAATGACTTAACTAGGAAATGTTTATTGCACATCTACCATCCAGTAGCCATAGTAGTTAGCCCTGGTGATATACCATGTCTCTGTCCTCAGGGCACTGAGTCCTGAGGGGAATCAGACACATGGCCATTGATTGATTGCATTACAGTCCCTGTGTTAAATGAATGTGGTGATGGAGGGAGGGGGGACTGAGGAGCCTCCAACTCTACTTCAGAAAGGCGAGGGTAAAAAAATAAAGGTGAGGTTTGGGAAGGCTTCACAGAGGAGATGTTTGATTTGGGTTTTGGAGGTTGATATCTCAGTATTCTTTATTAATTTTTCCAGATGAATTTTATGGTCACTGAATGGGCTCTTTAAAAAATGAGTGTTGAGATCAGGTACAGTGGCTCACGCCTGTAATCCCAGCCCTTTGGGAACCTGACAGGGGAGGATTGCTTGAGCCCAGGAGTTCTAGACTAGTCTGGGCAACATAGTGAGACCCCATCTCTACAGAAAGTTAAAAAAAAAATTAGCCAGGCACAGTGGTGCATACCTGTGATTCCAGCTATTTGGGAGGAATCGCATGGTGGGAGGATTGCTTGAGCCCCAGAGGCTGAGACTCTGTGAGCCCTGATCATGCCACAGCACTCCAGCTTAGGTGACAGAGTGAGACCCTGTCTCAAAAAAAGAGTCTTGAAATATCACCAAGCAAGGCTCGTCTCAGGAATATAAGTCTGATTCAACACAGAGAGGCCAATATTAATAGAAAGAAATCATAAAAATCGGAATACCTATTATTCAGCACGGTGCCTGAAATATAATCAGTCAACAAATGTTTGATGGATGAATGAATTTGGTCTCAGTGGATGTAGAAAAATACTGGAAATAATTACATATGCATTATAAAGCATCAGAAGAGTAAAAAAATAGGTGTGTTGGGGGATTTACCCCTATGTAGGATAAAGAGCCTGTTTGTGTATAACCGTGTAGCAATCCTTACACAGGGGCTGCAGATACTGAGTGGGGAAATACTAGAAGTGTGCCCTGAAAAACAGGAACTAAACCAAAATGCCCCTTATCTCTACTCTTATTTAACATAGTTTAACAGATGCTTGTCATAACAATATAGGAACAAAGAGAAACTAGAGGGATTGGTATAGGGAAGGAAGAGATAAAAATATCGCTGTTTGCAAATGACACAATTTTTATTCAAAGAAAATTACAAAATCCTACATGGCTGCTTCTGATCAGAAATTAAAGCATTAAAGGGTCAGCATTCCAAAGTTTATGCCTAGATTTCATGCCCTTTTGGCATTTAAAATTCCAGTGAAATACTTCATAATGCAAGAACATGATAATTATAATAATAATCAGGAAAAATTGGTGGACATGCATATCAAAGGATGTTTTGAAAATCTTTTAGGAGCAAGACTTCTCTAAGCAAACAAGGCAGGCAAGCAGTAGTTATTAAAATTGTACAATAGTAGGATAAAGCAGGAAAATGGAAGATCAGTACAATAAATAGATCTAAATGAATGGAAGACATTTATTTATTTATTTATTTTGAGACTGGGTCTCACTGCACCCAGGCTGGAGTGCAGTGGCGTGATCACGGCTCACTGCAGCCTCAACTTCCTGGGCGCAGGCAATCTTCCCACCTCAGCCTCTTGAGTAGCTGGGACTACAGGCATACACCACCATGCCCAGCTAATTTTTTGTAGAGACAGGATTTTGTCATGTTGCCTGGGATGGTCTTGAACTCCTGGGCTCAATTATCTTCCTGCTTCAGCCTCCCGAATTGTTGGGATTACAGGCATGAGCCACCGCGCCTGACCTGGAAGACATTTATATATGACAAATTTGGAGAGGCAAACAATAGTGAAAGAAATAATTTTACAATAAATAGCTCTTGGGAAAAACTAGATAACAGTGTGGAAAAAGTGAACTCAGATTTATATCTCACATCATATGTTATAAATTTTAGATGTATTAAAAAGTTAGTTTTACAAACTCTTAAAACTCAGAGGAAGCAGGTGGTATTTTTTCCTCGAGAGCAAATGTGTTTGAAAATTCCATAAAAATGATCATTAATGGAATGAGATGTGTTCAACTATAAAGGAATAAAATCTATAAGATAAAAATAATAAAATCATGTTAAAGGATGTCAGGGTGCGGTGGCTCATGCCTGTAATCCCAGCACTTTGAGAGGCCAAGGTGGGTGGATCACCTGAAGTCAGGAGTTGGAGATCAGCCTGGCCAACATGGCAAAACCCCATCTCTACTAAAAATACAAAATTAGCCGGGTGTGTTGGCACATGTCTGTAATCCCAGCTACTCGGGAGGCTGAGGCAGGAAAATCGCTTGAACCCGGGAGGCAGAGGTTGCAGTGAGCCGAGATCACGCCACTGCACTCCAGCCTGGGCAACAGAGTGAGTGAGACTCTTTCTCAAAAAAAAAAAAAAAAAAAGATATATATATATATATACACACACACACACGTGTATGTATATATATATATACACACACATGAGTATGTATATATACATACACACACATGTGTATGTATATATACATACACACACATGTGTATGTATATATACATACACACACACATATATATATATATATATTTATTTATATAGCGAAGTTAATGGAAGAGGGAAACAGTTGTAATAAACCAATGGATAAGACATGTTATCAAAGTTAAGCACAGAACTGATGAAGTTCTTTAAGGCAAATACTTAGACTATATTGGTGAAATAACCCAGGCATAGGAACACATCATTTTGTATGAAGCCTGGATCATAAACTGAGAGATACAAAGGTGTTTCACTTTCTTTTTTCTTTACCAAATGCAGGTAATTAGGGAATAGTTAGGCAAATGCTGTGAAAACAATACAGTGGAGAACTCAAACACTTGATACGAGATAGACAGAGCAAAGTTAAGTGCGACAAGAATATGGAATCGCTTACCTGTGCTGATGATGACCTGGTAAATATCTGTGCGCACACGTCCATAAGAATCTGGACAGGTATAGGGCTTATTTGATGTACTTTTGATTAGGTTTTTTTTTTCTCTGTAAAATTGTAAATATGTCATGGAATGTTGGTTTTTAAAAGAAGAAAGGAGGGGGGAAATTCTGTAGTAAAAAGAGGAAATGCGTTGCGGTGGAGAGACGGCACTGGGAAGTCTTCCACATGGAGCTGGATTTGAGTCACTACGTTATCATGTGGTTTTGGACAAGTCACATCTCTCTTCTCAAGCTCCCAGTCTCCACCCTGAGAGGAGGTAATGGTGACACCCACAAATTAGATCACAGGAGTTCTTGACTTCTGAGCAGGCATTCTCTTTGTCGAGCCGGTTTTATGGAATCCTGGAGCCCCTTGCCCACTCTCCCTCGTTTTGTCCCATCTCTGCAGAATGTCTGTAGTTTGGGGGCAGATCCAGGACTAGCGTGACAACAGAGACGGGCAGACAGACAAACACAGCCCCAAACAGGGCAGCCAACAGAGTCATTGCGAATAACGGTGAAAAGAGACTGCAGCCCCCAGCAAATAAATATGTGCCCTTTCCATTTCAGATCTGGAGATGTGGCCTAAGAGGAGAAGACAGAGACTTAAAGAGAGCATTTTGTTGAGCAGACTTAGATTTACCATGCAGTTGAAACTTTTTGTAAGCCTGGTTTGTGGAAAAAGCAGGAAGGAAAGGAGGCCAGCCACTTATCTGGTGTGTTTAGGACACTTTGGGGCATAACTAATGAATTCTAGTGTTGAGTTCCTTTACTTGGGAGCTAGATGACCTTGAGCTTCTTAGCCCAAGCCCCTGTTTCTTCATGTTGAAATGGGAATAACCTCTGTGTCTCCCTGGTTTGTTGTGAGAATGACCTAAGATGTAATGCTTAAATGTTCTTTGTGCTTTTCAGTTACTATTTGTCAAGGTTTCCCCTGGATGCATGCCAAAACAGACACAATGCAGGATCCCATAGGGAATGTGGATTATTGTCCCTGCCTTTGGGGAGCTTGTACATCCAGAGGGAGTGGTTACACAAATCCCTGCAAAGGCTGGGGAGGAGGGGGGTGGGGGGTAAGTGTCATGAGAAGGCAGCAAGGCCAGGGATGCTGTTTTTAAGACGAGGGACATTGGGGCCACTCAGGGCAAGGGGCTAGTGACTGGCTAAGATGCAGTATGGGGGATGCCGGAGAGAGGCAGCATTTGTTGAGGAAGGTTCCAGAAGACATTAGGTAGATTTGAGCAGTCGTCTAGGATATACTGGACATACCCAGGTCTGTTAACTCATTGGAGCCCGATTGCAACCTGTGAGCTGAGGGAACTGGGGTGTGCAGGGACTGGGATGTGAGCTCCTTTCTGGGCTGACTTGGGTCCAGGACAGAGGCCTCTGCCTGCTCTGCCTGTGGTCCTTCCTCTGTACCAATGCCCTTTCAACAAGAGGAGTCATCGGCACTGGCCAGAGTTCATCTTCTTCCGTGGAGTGAGGAGAGGGGCAGAAGAGAAGAGGGTGAAGGGCAAGAAGATTCTGAGATGAAGAGGGAAGAGGAAGGTCAGGAACCAGGAAGGGGGTCTGACTGATTTTCGGGAAGCAGTTGATAGGATGTGGGACCTGGAGTTAGTCACCTGGGGCCAGGTCCCAGCTTTACAGCTGCCAGCCTCCATAACTGTGACCAAGTCAGCCAACTTTTCTGAGCCTCAGTTTCTCCCTCTGTAAAATGAGGATGACTAACTTACCTCCTAGGGATATGAGGAGGACTAACTGAGTTGTATCTGGAAAGTGCTTGGAACTTTCCAGGTCTTCCATACACACTAGCTGCTGCTCTTGTTATTTTTGTGATCACAAAGGATTCTTGCCCCTTGGAAATGACGGTGCTTCTGTGTCATGGGCTTTGTTGCATGGTGGGTCAGTAACACTTTCCCTGTACTCCACAGGGGCAGGTAGTTGCTTCCCCCTGCCTGCTTCTCTCTGTCTTGATCTTCTGCCCCTTCCCTATTTTTTTTTTATTTTTTTTAATTTTTTTAATTTTTTTTTTTTTGAGACAAGGTCTGGCTCTATCGCCCAGGATAGAATGCAATGGTGTGATCGCAACTCACTGCAACTGCCACCTCCCAGGCTCAAGCAGTCCTCCCACCTCAGCCTCCCAAGTAGCTGGGACTACAGATGTGCATCACCATGCCTGGCTAATTTTTGTATTTGTTTGAGAGACAAGGTTTCATCATGTTGGCCAGGCTAGTCTTGAACTCCTGACCTCGGGTGATCTGCCTACCTCGGCCTCCCAAAATGCTGGGATTACAGGTGTGAGCCACCGCACCAGACCCGTCTATTTTCAGTTTGAAGCAGCACCTTCTGTGTGCCAGGCATTTTGCTTTGTAATTGAACGTACATCATCTAATTTAAATCCTCCCAATAACTCTTCTGGGTGGGGCTAATCATTCTTGTTTTTCAGATAAGGAAATGGAGGCCTAGAGAGTCCCACAGGAGGAGATTCAAATTCTGTCTCCATCCCTGAGCACACATCAGTATAACCTTGTGTGCTGGGGCCTCGCATCTTAAGGCTGTGTGAACCAAATTCCCTCCCTTCCTTGTAAGTGACCTCACTGGAACACAGCTGGGATGGTCCTTAACTGCTGCCTTTTCCCTTCCCAATTGTAAGACTTTGAGTCAGAGTACTTAACCCTTAATGCCTCACTTTTCTGTCTATAAAGTGGCAGTGATAACAGCACCTAGTTTGGTAGGGTTACCGTGAAGATTAAATAATACCCAGAGTTCTGGAGCACAGCTGTAAGTGGTGGTTGCTGTTACACTGGTCTGCAACTTTGAACCCTATCCAGCCCCCTGAGAAACTGACCTATCTGCTGACTGTAGCCTGGGGGTGGGTATATTAGCTTTGACTAAATATGTAAAACTTTTAGTGACCCTTCAATCTCCCTGTCCCACCCTTAGGCAAGAGGAATTCTCTTAGTCCTGCAAATGAGAACTGTTCTCTTTTGATGAACACAAAGAAAACCCAAAGTGAGAGTTTCCTAGTAAGAGAAAGCAGCAGCCCTGAGGTATTAGCTCCTTAGGGCCTTGGATTCTGCACTTGCTTAGCTCTGATAGGAAGCAGGAATCGGCACAGAGAGCGGTTAGACGGTAGGATCAAGAGGCAGGAGGAGAGTATCCTGCTGGGGTGAGAGGATAAGGAAATGAGGTTGGGTGGGGCTCCTGACAGGGTTAAGGCCTGTGAATCACCAGAGGCCCTCAGGCTGGGTGCAGTGGGCTGGAGGTAGCTTTTCTGAAAGCCGTGCTTCTTGGAGTCAGCATTGGCTTCACATTCAAGACGGCTGGATTGGGGTGGGGGTAGGGGAGAAAAGGGGGAGTCTTAGAGGAATGAAAATGCATCACGTGGCCACAGCAAGAATCCAGAGAGGAAATGATTAGAATTGTGCTATGGAGTGAAAAAGTAGGACTAGAATGGAGAGATAATTTTGTAGTTCCCTGGATGTGGAGGTGTGCAGGGGAGTCTACGGTGACCCCCAGCTTTTAGCATGTTACTGGATGCTTGGTGGCACCATTGACAAAGATGAGGAGGAACCCAAGAGAAATAAGGTGAAAGATGTTGAGCTGAGATTACCTTTTGACATGTTGAGCTTGAGAAACCCATGGGAACTACAGTTAGAGGCATCTGCTCAGAAGAATGTCCTGGCTGGAGTCGGGCACCATCTGCAAACAGATTCTAGTACTTGAGTCTAGTACTCAAGACTCCCAGGCACAGCATGTTCCCTCTTGCAGGTGGGGTGGGGTCAGGCAGAGTGGTGAGTGGCCGGAGAGGCACCCACGGAGTGCCCCATACATGCCTGGCACCAAGTTGGGAGCTAGGTTCTCTGCAAGCGGGCTCTGTGGCAAGGCCTGGGGGGGGTCTCATGGAATTTCAAGTCTGTCAGTGCGGATGAGCCCAGCAAGAAGAATGTGGGCAGGGAAAGCATGGACAGTGGACAATGAAGCCCTGGAGGACACTAACAGCTCTAGGACTGGAGACCATAGATTTGAAGGATATAAGCTCCGGTTACAAAATGCGCTCTGGAATGTATCCCATTCTGCTGCTTACAATCTGCCCCACACCTGCAGGGTGGAGTACAAACTCCTTAACACAATGTGCACAGCCTGCCTGGACCTTGCCTTGTCTTAGCTTTCTAGGGCTGCTGAAACAAAGTACTACATACCGGATGACTCAAAGCAACAGAAATGTCTGCTCTTGCAGTTCTGGAAATTTGAAATCAAGGTATTGGCAAGGTTGGTTCCGTCCAGGGGTTCTGAGGGAGAAACTGCTCCGTGCCTCTCTCCTGGCTCCTGGTGGCTGCTGGCGATCCTGGGTGTTTCTTGGCTTGTAGCAACATCACTGCAATCCCTGTCTCCATTGTCACGTGGCATTCTCCGTGAGTGTGTGTGTATGTGTGTGTCGCTATTTTCTCTTTTTATAAATAAGGGCATCAGTCATTGGATTAGGTGAGCTTAAGATGAGTATAACCTCATCTTAACTAACTATGTCTGCAAAGACCCTATTTCCAAATAAAATCACATTCTAAGATTCCAGGTGGCCGTGAATTTTTGGGAGACAACCTAGCACCAGCCTCGTTTTTACCTGCTTTTTTGGGCCTTATTTCCCTCCCACTTTCATGGCCTTTTTTGGGGAAGATGTCCAGAATCTACCCCAGCTGAGGTTTGCTGTCTCTGTCTCGTGAGCCGCTCCCTCTCTGTGAGCACCCCAGTACTTTCTTTTTTGCACCCCAATACTTTCTTTATTGTCCCTGTCCTAACTAGGCTCCAGCTTCCTCAGAACAGGGACTGGACCTCGCTCCTCTCTCTTTGTCAGCAACTTGGTGGCTGAGAGCCTCACCTTCAGGGTGCCACAGAAGCGGGTGTGAGTCCAGGCTCCCCACTTAATTAATGTGCGACCCTGGGTGACTTCCCTGACCTCTCCTAGCGTCAGTTTTCTCATCTGTAAGATGGATCTATTAAATGAGAAAAGGTATGTAAAGCAGCTAGTCCGGACTTAGAATCTCCATGAGGGCAGCATTCGATCTTGTTTTGCTCACCTTTGTGTATCTGGCACTTAGCATGGTGTCTGATGTAGTAGGTGCTCCGTTAATATTTGTTGAATAAGTGACCACATGGGGAGACTTAGCTTGATAAGAAATGACTTTATAAGAATTCAGAAGGGTAGACATTTGGTAATAACCAAATCAACAACAATAACAAAAGAAATGACTTATAAGAAGTGAGTTCTGTGTTTATGGATGTGACCCTTCCTTAGAAACCCCCCTTCCCCCTGCCTTCAGTCCCTAAGAGCTGGGTAATTACAGTTTGAGTTGCAGCTAGATGCTGACGAGTAGCGGTGAACAGGGGTCTCAGTTTTAGTCAGGCTCACAGCCCTGCACCCGGTGTTTCTCTTTCATGTGGATGGAACAAACTTCAGCTTATTACATTAGCGGTACCTATGGTGGCTGCAATAGATGAGTCACCATTTACTGTAAAGCTTTCAGATGCCCGGCAGATGCATGCCAGTTGGGACTGACAGGGCCCTCTGCAATACAGGCAACCCAGCCTCAGGGGTCTAAAAAGACATAGAAAATCCTTTTTATGGTCCCAAGTAGTACCAAGGTCTTGGGTGAGGGTCCATAGCCATCTTAACTTCTTCATTCCTAAATTTACTACTGGAAGTTAATTTTGGTCTCCAAACAGTGGAAGGCACATTTTGGAGCCAACTAAACAAGTCTGTGCAAATTGGTGTTTACTTGCTTCTAGACTAGAGGTTTATGTTGCATCTGTTTTGTTTTTATGTAAAATATTAATTTTTAATAAAAGGACCCACTCTTATTTCTTCGTTATCGGCTGCTGAGAGGAATGCTTCAAAGCCCAAGACCTTTTTCCTTAAGTAGAAATGTAGTTGGCTCCTGTCTGCCTGCAGGTGGTGGTTTTCTTTTCAAGAAATGAATCCGTGAAGTTCCATTTGGTCTCCAGTGGTACACAGGGCTTGAGGCATTTCAATCTTTGGGGATGAACTCAGTTGTGAAGAACTGAAAAGACAAGACTCCCAGGCACAGCATGTTCCCTCTTGCAGGTGGGGCGGGGTTGGGCAGGGTGTGGAGAGTGGTAAGTGGCTGGAGAGATACCCACGGAGTGCCCCATCCATGCTGGCACCAAACTGGGAGCTAGGTTCTCTGCAAGCAGGCTCTGAGGCAGGGCCTGGGGGTCTCATGGAGTTTGAAATCTGGTGGGGCGGATAAAATCTTTTTGTGCATGTCTGTATGCTTATCTGTGCCTTGGAGCTCTGGTTAAGTTATGTAGCCTCTCGGCCTCAGTTACCTCATCCGTAAAATGGGGATAATAACAATTTTCCTGAATTGGGTGGTTTTAAGCATTTGATGAGATATTTAAAGTACCTGGTGTAGGCCTACAGCATAGTAGGGCTGAAAAGGTGTTAATTGTAATGATGAGAAGTGTTGTGAATCTTTTCTTTTGAGAGCACGGATGGTGAAGGGAGCCTTTGGTGAAAAGAAGGGTGTTGAGATAGTCCTTCTGGGTAACTGGTAGTTGACGGCCTGGTTTTTTATGGTAATTAATTCAGTATCTCAGATTGGCCTCTGTACTCATTTGGCTGGTTGCTGCCTCTCCACTGAGGTATTTGCTGCTGGCCCCCATAGAATACCTGCCCTTCCCACCCTCTGTGGCCTGTGCCCTCCTCTTCAAAGGCTTCTCAAATGATTGGCCCCGGATGCTTTGACAGGGCCGTGCTTTTCTGGTGCATTGGGAGGATGGCCAGGGGCCCCTGCAGTTTAGTTCACACCCCTCCACCTTTCTCTGGCCAGTGAAGCAGAAGAGGTGGTGAATTCTGTCCTTTCCAAGGCCCCAGTTGGGACTCGGGTCTCCTAGACAATCTTGTGTCTTCCTTGGGAGCAAGACCTGTCAAGAACATCTATTTGAGATTCTGAAATGTGGTGCTGTCTGGGACACAGCCAGTGTTTATGGGGGTGGTGGTGACAGACTATTTGACATTGGGACTTTGGGGACATTCAGGATAATGGTTGCCATGGCTGGACACCCATTACACCTGCCTCCTTTTTTATTGCTGGTGTCTTCTCCGTGAGTCCTCGTCTTCTCCCATCCCCAGCTTTGTGGGGAGGTGATTGTCCTAGAGTGGAGCCCCCTTGCTTCTGGAACCCACAGTCTCACAAGGATGCTGCTGTTCCTCCAGCCAATGTTTACTGCCCTTCTAAGGGCATGGGCCCTGGTGGTGGTGGGTGATTGGGGTTGGGGAAAGGTTGTGTTTTGTTTGCAACTGCATCCCCAGGTGTACCCCCAATAAGCAAGCCAGTGTCAAGCAATCGTGAATGCTTGTGCCAAAGGAAAGCCCCTCACAATGAGATGGGGTGAAACTGCTGCCCCCGCCCCACCTCACAGGATAGTTATATTTGTTATTATCTAGCTGCCTTACTCCTCCTTCTTGGCATGTGTTTGCATGCTGGGCTGCGCAGCTGTCATCAGCTGTCATTTGGGTTGTATCACATGGAGCCGTACGAGACCCCTGTGCTTGGTTCTCCATTGTGTAATAGTGGTGCTGCATTTAGGGTGTAGCTGGCTGAGGTTAGGTTTATGGTCTGTGACTGGGACCAGGAGTATTTTTCTCCACACAAAAGATGCAGGTCCTGTGACTCCTCTTTGGAGACGACTGGATCCAGTGAAAGCAGGTTTTCCTCTGGGGTGGGTTCCATTGAGTGACAATCAGGATTCTAACACAATTCTGATTCCAAAGAGTATGTTCTTTCCACAGTCTCACAGTGACTCCTGGAATATCAGATGGCTCTAATACAAGAATTCCATCTATTTGAGGTCCTGTGGGACCCTCTTGGAGAACAGAAAGAGTGTGGATTAATGGTGGGCAACAAAAGTGACTTTCTCCATTCACTACCACACCATAGAGGATCTGACCATGGGGGATGGATGGGAATGAGAAACTAGGGTAGAGAAGCTGGCCTCTGTTCCCAGAGCATTCAGTTACTACCAGACATGTTCAGAATGCCACAGTTCTAGTCTCAATGACCCACTGGAGGTGTTCTCTCCTCCCTACTCCCTCTCCTTCCCCATGGTCAAGTTCTGGTTACTTCAAATCAGCATTAGGCCTGGAACAGACTACAGCAATGCATGTGACTTTTCCAAAGTCTTAAAACTGGAAGAACTTGCTTGCTCCAGTGTTTTAGATACAAAGCTACACCGGGACTGCATTGGCCAGGGACCCCAGCGCTGCAGCCGCTCCAAGGTCTGGGTTCTTTCCTGGTTGTGTGCTGGCATTTGGGTGTTGGCTTCCATTCAGGAGGACCTCTTCCTTTCATGCAAGCAGATACCTGAAGACACCCAGGTCCCTCGCTTGGTAGTCTGGAACGATTTCACTGTCAGGGGAGCTCTGGGGTGGAATTTAGTGTGGTGGGGTCTATACTTTCTCTTTGATCATTTTAGGTTTAGTATGTTTTTGTCTGTAAAGGGAATGATAACTCCAGCTCATTACTATAATTTGACTACAGTATTGGTTTAATGAGAAACCTATGAGAGGGACCTACTTCCTTCTGATTTTTGTTTTATTTAAAAAAAATTCTGTACATTCTGTTTCATTTCTCTTCCATTGGAGTTTTCTTTTTAAAAGTCACCAAACAACAAAACCATTTAGAAAATAAAATGGACCCTGGGGACTATGTAGCATTTTCTCTCCATGCTGCCTGACTTCCTTCCATCTGGTTAAATCTCTCCCTGTGTTTTCCAGGCGGCAGGTGGTGAGATGGAGAAACTGAGGCCCATAGAGGGGATGGGAATTGATTGAGGTACACACTGGATCAGAGCTTGAATCAGGCCTACACAATGTAGGTTCCAGGCCAGTATTTCTGCTGCTCCCCAGAGCATTGGTGTTACCTGTGGGATGGTCTCCCTAGCAGTGCATGATCTCCTTGTAGTTTCACTGGCTTACTTAAGATGAGCTCTCACTACAGAATTGCTTTGATCATGCATTTTACATGGTGTCAGGACAATCTTGAATGGATTCCTTCCCCATACATTCGTCCATCCAACCACCCATCCATCCGTCTATCCATTTATTCACCCGTTCATCCAAAATCTTTCTTGATCTGCCATGCACAAGGCAATGTGCCAGGCCCAGAAGGTTTGGGGAATGAGAGAGACAAGATCTCACTTCTGGAGAGTCTTTTCTTTGGAGTTGGAGGGGCAGAACCATAACATAACTGTAATACCAAGGAGAACAAAGTAAGCACACAGGCAGAATGGAGTAGTGGAAGCGGGGGGTTAATTTTTGTTGAGAGATGCAAAGATGGCATTGGATCTGAGTTTTGAAGGATGAATAGAATTTTGGCACTGGGCAAATTATGGAAAGGTGCTTAGGAAAATAAGGACCAAGGGCATGTGATGGCCACACTCTGGATTCCTTATTACCATACTGCACAAACTCAGAGGTGATTCTGTCCTGGGTTTAAATGGTACATGCCCTATAATGGTTTTGCAAAATGTTCAGACCTGCTTCACTTTGGGGGTAGGGTTGGAGATAGAAGGAAGGCATTAGGAGAGGGCTGGTATTTATTGAATATTTTGTGTATGTTCATCCAGTCCGCATACATCATCTAATCAGGGGCACACAGCTAGCAAGTGCTGGAGCTGGGATTTGAACTCAGGACTCTGACTTCAGGGCCCCTGCCCTTCCCATCCTACTGACTTATCACCTTCTTCTTGGGAATCACTGATGCTAAACAGTCATTCCCAAATAATAATATAGGATTCAGGTTGCAAAGTGGAGTTGGCTTCTGACCGGTGGGAATGCTTGTGAAAATATTTTGCTGTCTTAGCTCACATCACTCAGACTTTCTGCGATGAGTGGAAGGAATATTCTATTTTGGCCATGCTTTCTGGAGGACCCCTCCACAGTGCCACTGCTCTGTAATGTTGGTCTTTGGCTGGTTTATCAGACGATTGCTGTATATATTATTTCTCTAAGAGCAGATATCTTCTGACCTATGACCTGCCCAAACTAGCAAGTCATACACTTCGCTTGAGTGGGTTATTAATGCACTTCTGATGGAGACAAGCTTCTGAGCTGGCACAATTGGCTGGGTGTCCTTCTGTTTAATAGAGTGGGGTTTTTATTGGAAAATAAATGCTGTCCATGAAACCTGAAAAGACAAACAACGAGGATGAGTGAGGTGAGGAGTGGTGGCTGAATAGGAGGTGGCATTTCCTGGGGCAAAGGCATTGGGCATTTTGTATCTGTTTTCCCAGAAGATGTCTTGGGACATAGGGGATTTTGTCAGGCAGGTGAAAGCCATTCAGGGAGTAGGGTGAGTGTTTGAATCTTAATCAGTAATTCAATATTGAATAATATCTTAATCAATATTAATCAGTGATATAATATTGTCATTCTACAGTACATCCCGACGGTGCCTGTGTCCTGTCATTTGACCCCTCTAACCAGGAGTTTGTATAGAGAATACTTTCTGGGGAAAGTGCCTGAGGCTGTTGGTTTTTGTCTCACAAATGAGATGTAATCCTCATGAGGTCCCAACCCAGTTACACATCAAATTTCTTGTCTCCATACTCCGATGATGCCCTCTGTCTCCTTCCTCTCCTTTCTTTCTCCCCCTTCTCTGTTACAGTGTAATTTTAGTTTGTAAGTTTCTTCCAGGGCTGCAGATCAGTTAATCTTAGAATCCACTGCTCTGAGAGCATCTTGCCTTTTATCTCTGTTCTCTATATTGGGGTCTGTGATTCTGCTGCTAAAAAAAGTTTGAAAACCAGATGCCTAGATCATTTCTGCAGTGTTCCTTGTCTGCAAGGGTGGCCCAAGGGGGTTTGTGGGTGAGGGCCGCAGCGCCTCCTTCAGGGTGTGTGTATGGGTGTGTACAGGGGCCTAGATAGGGTAGGGGACTGATGTGCCTGTCTTGTCGTTCTTACTCTGCTTCTGAAGTCTGGGTCCTTCTAGTTCTTGGGGTACTTGTAATTCTCCTCCCACCATCCCAGGCAGCTGAGGAAAACAGTTTGTGGGTTTCATTGTGGAAACAAATGAATAAATCCCAAGTTATATATGTTCTCTCTTATAATACACCCTGTACAGACAAGAAATCTCGAAGAGGTTGAGTAGCTTGCCTGAGGTCACACAGCTATTAAGTGAGAGGGTCTGTATTAGAATCCAGATCCTGATTTCAGAGTTCATGCTCTTCACTACTACCTGCATCAGCCATACTGTTACAATAAAAGTATTTTACTGTAAAAGTACTATATTTACTTTTACAATAAAAAATATTTATTATTCTCTATCATTTCCCCCTCTTGGGAAGATGGGCTGGGTAAATTTAGCACTGTGTAAATTAGTGTAATATGCATATCTCACTTTTATTTGCCTTCAAAGTACTACCTTTGGAGGGTGGGGCATTCTGGGCTTTGAGTTGGCCATGGTGGGAGGAGGGGTGGGGGCCCAGATTTGGGGTTCTTGTTTCAGTCGGTCGGAGCAAGGGGAGAGGTCTGGGAGGTTTATTTCTCAGCTCCTGAAGCTGGATAGTAAAGTCACACATATGAGAGCTTCAGCGCGCAGAGGCCATCAGTTTCCTTCCAGTTTCCTCTACATCTCCTTTTTCTGACCCTTTCTGATTTTCTACTGGATTCTGATGGAGTCCTTAGAGGGTGGCTCAGAAGATGACGAACTGGGAACAGACCTGCTTGGGACATTCCAGGTGTGAAGGGGAGCAGGGCCTGGGGAAGACCAGAATTGTGTGTGTGTGCACACATACACGTGTGCATGACCATTGATCAGATGGCAGTTGCTTATCCACTGATTGCAGGAATTGGAATCACATGTTGGTTGAACAGTGTGGTCAATCCACAGGTCTCAGTGAGCGTGAGGTAGTTTGATGGCATCTGTAGTACAGAGATGTGAGCTACGCATTTGTTAAGGCCGTGCTTCTCCTTGAGTTGTGAATGGTAATTGTATTCCCCTTTTCTAGAGTGTCTCATTCCTTTGCTTGAGGGGTGATCATGGACCTACTGTAAGGGCTTAGATACGCTCATGAAACACTGGAAGAGAACCTTGGAAAAAAATCCATGGACTAGGTTGTTGGAAGAAAAATCCAGCTAGCTTGTAGGCCCCTCAAGCCTCAGTTTCATCCAGAAAACTGAGGAGAGTTTTCATTAGCTAGTAGCTTCTCTCTTCGGTCTCTTCTCTGACCCAGTCACACTTACAAAGCCAGGTATGGCATCAGGGACTCAGAGTTTGTTGAGTCCGAGTGGGCAAAATCTCTCCGATCTTGCCTGAATGGGACCAAAGGGTGGCCACAGAGCCTTCATTGCCAAAGCCTTCCTGCGGGCTCAATCCTCTGTCCCCCTCCTGTTGTCAGACATTTCCTGAGAACTGAATACTGCAAGAGCCAGATCTTAAGAATGACAGCAGCCCCAGGTCACACCAATGAATTTAGCCCTGCTCTACCCCCATCTTGGGTTGCTGTTCATTTTCTGGGTGTTGGGAGGTGGGTGGGGCATCTGGGCTTTAGCCATAGAGCTGTACATTTAGATGGGCCTTAGCGCTCCTTTTAGTTAGTCCACCCTGACTTTGTAGAGGGGAAGTTGGCTGTCACAAGGTCACACAGCCCCATGTGGGCTGAGCCTGGTCACGGAACCAACTCTTTGCAAAGGGCTCTTCTGAGGCACAGCCTGGACTCCCCAGAAGGGTGCCGGCCCTGTCTACCCCACCTGTCTTGTTTTCCTGGGAACAAGTGCCGGTGTTACAGATGAGAATTTTATGACTTCATTTCAGAGAATGTGGCTGGGTACAGTTTGCCTGGTGGGTGCCTAAATTTAAACGAAGTGGGCTGTGGTGGGCGGTAGTGAAGAAGATTGGCTTGGTGCTTTCATTAAAGCACAATGTGTTGGGGGGAGGTTGGGTTTTTATTTTTACTTCACTGAATGAGGGTTGAGCGCAGAGCTGAGGTTTCCCCCTCCTTTCCTTTTCTTTCCTTTAAAATGATTAAATATCTGTTTTTTTTTAATATTCTCAAATCAGGACTGGTGGTACATTTCACTTTCAGCCTGAGTATAAATGAAAAGTTGAATTGAAATTTTTTTGCATTAGTATTGCTATATTATTATTGTTTTGCATTTCCTAATGGCCAAGTGCAGTTGTTGGGCAAGCCTCTTAAGCATCTATAGACCATTTCTGGTTAGACTTGGTTTTTATTCCCAATCCTGGACACTCGCTGGCTGAGTGAGCCTGGATATTATTTCTGAACTTCAGTCTCCTCTCTGGAAAGTGTTGGAAGCAATGACTAGGTATTAGAATGAATGTGTACATCTGCAGTCCCGTATGTGAAGCCCTGGCTTACTGCACAGCACATGGAGGGTGCTCATGAATTACTGGCTGTGCCTGGCTTCTCTGCTGTGCCTTCCAAGCCTTGTCCCCCACCAAGGTGGGCGTTGATCAGGGGAGGGTGTAGACAGGATAGCCTGCTGACGGAGGAGGCACGGGGATGGTATGGAGGGATGTGCTGTTGTTAGTGTGTTGTGGGGGGAGAGTTGGAGTTTGGGGGTGACCTGGCTTGTCTCTTTGGAGTATATGGGGAAAGTATCAGAGGCCTGAGCACCTGGACCTTCACCCTAGAGGGGTGTCTTCCTGGGCGTTACCTCACTGATTCTTTGTAGTCTTCTCAGGCTTTGAAAATCCAGATTTAAAAATCTGGTCCGTTTACTGTTTTATGGTCATAAAAGCAACCTGTTAACAGAAATAAGTTGGAACATATAGGAAATCATAGAGAAGAAAATAAAAACATCCATCTTTCTGGAAGAAACCAGTGTGAGGATTTGGAAGTTTACATCCCAGTCTTTTTTTTTTTTTTTTTCCTGCATATATACATTGGAGAGTTTGCCTGCTTGTTCATTTTTACAGAACTGGAATCATATTGCACATATTGTTATGTAATGTGCTTTAAAAACTCTATTGTGAGGATTTCCTAGTTGTACACTGCTCTTTTAAAACCTGACTTTCTGTGGTGGCACAGCATTCTATTATGCGGAAGTTCTATAACTTATTTAACCAGCTCCCCTATATTTAGTCATCTAAATTGCCTTCCATTTCTTTTGCTCATTCACCTAATGCTGCAGCGGATTTGGGAATGCAGATTTTAATAGCTAGGTCACTGTTTTAGGAAAGAAATTCTCTGGTGAAGCACACTGAACTAAATGGTTGCATTAGTTTCAGGTTTTGCCAGGCCTTGCACACTCCCGTGACCTTTGCACTCTGCAGGGAATTCACCATCTGCTTAAGTGCTGTACCTCTCCTGAATCTCTGTTCTGACCTTTACTTACTTCTCATCGTCCTTCAACCACTTCTCTGAGAAGCCCTCCTTCTCAGGGGCAGAGGGGATGATGAGAGGCCTTGGCTGCCCCAGAAGATACTGGTTCAAGCCCTGACAATGTCACTCACTTGCAGAATGACAGTGAAAAATTTGTGGTACTTTTTTGAAACCCAGTTTATTTATCTGCAAAATGAAGGCAGGAATGCCTTTCTGGCCAGGTGGTGAGGATGAAATACAGTAATGACCTCTGATGTGCTTTGTAACCTGAAGTACTACAAAGATGCTGGTTGTTAGCACTGACCACTTGGCCCACAGCCCTTGACCTGTTTGAGAGATTATTGACAATAGGACCTAGATCGGTGATGCGTGTGGAAGCTGGCTCGCACCAGCTCGTGGGAGTTAACTGTGCATGTCTCTTCCCAACTCCATGTCCAGTGGCCCTCGCGTCGGCAGCTTGAAACGCCATAGTGGGAGTATTTATACCATGGAAATTGACAACTGCTGTGTGTGTGTGTGTGTGTGTGTGTGTATGTGTGTGTATGTGTGTGTGTGCTGCTTGTTAAACATTCGCCTTACCAGCGTTTCTCAGGACTTCATCTCCAGTGTACTCATTTGACATTTGACATATGTTGTCTTGAGTTTGAATTTATAGGTCACCTTTCATATGTTAATGTCTCATTTCCCCCAGCTGGACTGTAAGCTCTTGAGGGCAGGAATTAGGTATTTGAAGACTTTAATTGCTGGGATGATGGCTATCAGAGACCCATAAAGCAACCTTTGTGCAAATGAGCTTATCACTTTCAGGGACATGAAAAGATTTTCTGCTAAGACTGATGCTCTGAGGGACCCATAGTATCTATGCAGGCCCATGGCTCAGGCCTCTCTTAATGATCCTTTCTGGATAGGTCTTACACACACAGAATTTCAGTTAGTTAGCCTAAAAACTGCCCAGGGTATAATAAAGAGGCTTTATTTCTCTCTGTTTCCATCAGTGACTATAATAATAATGGCTAACAAGTAATAGCTAACGTTTATCGTTGGTTTGCTGTGTCCCAGGTACGTCCTAAATGCTCTTATGATCATTTTCTTGTTTAATGATCACTCCAGTCACATAAAGAATACATGATTATTATCCTCATTTTATAAATAAGGAAACTTAAAGATGTTAAGTGACTTGGTCATGATTGAGGCACATCCAGGATCAACTGCTTATTCATTCACTCATTCATTTCTTCATTCATTTAGCAGGCATCACACCCCTGCCATGTGCCAGGTGCTGCCCTGGCTGCCAGGATAGACAAAGCCAGCCCCTGCCCTCATGGAGCATTCCTTCCAATGAGCAAGACAGATAATAAGTATACGTGTACACATCTACTACAATGTCAGGTGTCGATGAGGTCTGCGAAGAAAATCAGTCATGGGAAGGAGATAGAGGCTGATGGGGTGAAGCTGGGCTTCAGCTGTTTGGATTCCAACTCTGGATGTCTTTCTCCCAGTTCCTGAGACACAGCCCAGCCTGACCCTGGCCAAGCACCTGGCACATACAGGCCTTCATCACATTTTAAGTTTTATTTTATTTTGGGAGCAAAGCTTTACTCTGTGGGGAGGATTCCAGAAGACACATCGAGAGCTCATGGTAAACTCAAATTAGGTAGAAATGTACATAGAACCCTCCAGCCCACTGCTCCATGTTCTGAGGGCCCACAGATGTTCTAGGCAGGTAGAGTAGGCGGGAAGGCTGAGGGTGAAGGTGGGGGCAGAAGAATGAGCTCTGTGGTGGCCAGCAGATGGGAGAGTATAGGCTCTTAGGATCCGAGGCCCACAGGACCAGCAGCTTCTTAGAGATCGTGTTCAAAGGGTACACGTGGATGCAGGAAGGCATGGGGGTGGTGGGTGTGGGCAGGAGGACTCCCTGAGGCCATCTGCTGAGACTGTTCACCAGAGGCTGGAGCCCAGCTTTTCATTCCCTGCCCTGTGACTTGTGCAATATCACCCTGTCTCCCAGAATTGTTCCCCCCGGCTGGGAAATAATGGCAGATGGGTGCAACAGTCTAGCTTAGGGACCTGTTGAAGGGCAGTCCTTAACCCTAGGCATTTAAGAGCCAGAGTAGATTATGAGGACAGGCTACTCTAACCCCCAAAACATCTTCTGGAAGATGGGACCTCCTGGTATCAGACAAAAAGTATTTTAGGGTTGCACTCTCCACCCACCATGCATTGCAGTCCAGTGTAGCTGAGCCAACATTTATTGAGCACCTGCTCCATGTTCGTTTGAGAAGATCTCGAAAAGCCCTGTTCTGGGAGATGGGAGAACTGGGATCCAATACCTGGTCTCCTGTGAGTAAATTAGCTTTGTGATAACAGCTCTTGGTCCTGGTGTCCTCTGTAACAGGAAGGGTCTGGCCAAATGGTGTCCATGTCCCCCTTTTGTTCTGACCTCTGTTCTAAGCTGGAGATAAGACAGGGTCCCACTCACAAAGCATTTCAGTCTTTCAGTTCCTTTTCCCAGTGGTGATCCCTCCCTGGAGTGCAGGGCTTGGGCAGGTGTTTGGAGAGGCCCTAGTAACCTGCAGAGCCGGCTCGTGTATTTCTTGGTCTGTGGGTGTCAAGTGTTTTTTCCCCTTGCCCCCAGCTGTAAGCCACTTGGTACTAACTAATGGTTAAGTGACCATTGCCCACACAGTGTGCTCCCCACAAAGTAAAGCTCGCCCACAACTGTTTTCCTAGCACCCCCACTGTTGACGGGAGCGGTGAAATTTTGGCTGTACTTTCCTGAGGGCCGGGCGGTTGTGATTTCTGTCTTTCGTACGGTCCTGTCTGTCTCAGAACAGTACAGAGCCTCCTCATCCTGGTCTCTCCGACGGCCTCCCACTGAAACCTTACAGTGATACCAGTGCGAACGCATAGGCTTCAAAAATAAAAAGTTACGAGGTGAGGAAGCAACAGGAAGTGGGGAAGCGAGTAGAACAAAGCTTGCGATATGTACTCAGAACGCTGTTGACCTTTTTTTTTCTTTTTAAAATCACATAGCTCTCTCAAATGGTTGGGTTAGAAGCTCTTGTTTGTTTTAAATGGTTGTGCCTCTTATGAGGCCTGTGGAGAGAATGAGTAGTGAGTGTGAAACAAGTTTGGGGAAGATGTGACTCCCCCTCCACACACACAGAACTTGGCAAAAGGTATGCAAATTCATGTCAGAGGCTGTTGATCCTTTCACTCTACTTTGCTTAATTAAAGGCTGGGAAAGTTATTTAAATTGTGCCTCTTGTATATCTTCGTTTGTAGGACTAGATTAGCTCTTGTACTCGAAGACGTGGGGAAAGTAGAATTCTCCCCCGACACTTTTTCTTTCTCTGCTTCTACCTCCGTTTTTCATTTCCACCTGATGACTTGAAGAAGGAGAGAGGCGATTCAATAATTAGTTTCCAGGATTGTAAAGGGCCCACGTATATTAACTTTAACAAAACCCCGTCAAGCTTAAAATGCCTCCTGTTGGGGAAGGCACATTTCACACATACAAGGGACAAGTCACTGGCTGGCCAGATGGAGAGAGAGATTGTTCCTTTAGACAACTAGCTTCTCATTTGAAGAGCAAACGTGGTCCTGAGAAATGAAGCTTCTGATAGGCACTCCCTCTTGGGATATTTTAGCTCACTTAACTCAGGTTGAGTTAGTTCTGTAGGGGCTTTGAGTGGGTTTGAGCTCACAATAATAGCTGTGCTAATGATAAGAGCTATGTGTTTGTGTGGGCTTCACCTGAATTGCCTCACTTTACCTTCCTATCAAGTGTTTGAAGTTGGGAGGGAAGGCATTATAGGTGCTTAATCAATGACGGCTGGATAATATTAATAATAAAAGAATGAAAACAGGAATGGTGAGCCCATGCTTACTGGGCACATTCTTTGGGGTTCAGAGGCTCCGTGCTGGGTCACTGGTCCAGTCTTATTTAACACTAAGGGATGCCAATGGAGAGATGGACAATGGGGACCTCCAGCAGTGACCCAAAGTGATGGAGCAGTGTCCTGCCTCTTAGTTCACTCTTGTCACAGCCTGCGTCTCTCACGTTGCCTTCACTGGCATCAGTTTCTGAGAGAGCTGGGCTTGGAGTGTGGTCTGTAGCCTGGCAATAGAATGTCTCTCTAGGGCCAGCTTTCCCTTGTCCAGGGCACATCCTGACCCGGAATCCTCCAGCTTTGCTGATAGATAGGCAGACTGGCCACTGACACACAGAGGTACCTCGCTTCTTGCCTGTGCCACAGCCTTACAGATTTCAGTGTCAACTGTATTCTACTGGAAGTGCACCAGGGAGTGGGCTATTTTAAAGAAAAGCTAATGGTTGTCTTGATTTTTTCTTTTTAAGTACCCCCTCTCTCCAATTCTATCTTATGTCCATGGTATTTTGTCTTTGTCATTCTCAGATTGTGTTTAAGGCCTGCTCTGAGTGTCTAGGTTCCAGTCTTGGTGGAAGGATTCAGTAACAGAGGCTGTTTTCACCTGCAAGACCCTGTAGGCACACAGTGCATCCAAACTGATCCACACTGGGGCCCATGACTTGGATACCTGCCTGCCTTCCTGTGGTTTCATTTCTGTTTTGTTTTGTTTTGTTTTTTTCTCTAATCTTGTTTGGTGGAGGCATGGAAGCCATAAGCTGGACTGTCTGCTAATTCAGTGAAGTTGTACACAATGAATGGAACACATAGAGCATGAGACTGAAACCATTTTTAAAAACCAAGCCGATTGCCTCTCATGGCTGTTTGACACTGCTGGGCTAATTCTGGGAGTTCTAATCAACTTACTAACGGAATCCTCACCTTCTGAAAAACCCAAGCCTTAGGTGTCTCTTACTCTGGCAGTGCCACCAAGCTGTTTAAAGGTGTTCTAGGTGGTGGTAACTGGCATTTTTCAGGTGGATGAAACTTGGGGGAATGTACAGAGAACTTTCAGGCAGATCTCGTGGCAGTCTGATTTTCAGCTTTCTATGGCAGCTGTACCAACTTGACTGTGGTTGGCGGCAACTGTGCGGACTTGATGCCAGGCCAGCCAGCACTGAGTTGAGACTGTGTAAGTGTGCTGAGCTCGTATTTTTCCTAGTCTTCTGGTTTTGAAGGTTGGGCACCATCTACCTGTGTAATAGATGATTAAAAACAGGTGAAAAATAATTCGAACCCAACTTCATGTTAGTATTTCCCATCCTGTTCCAGTACTGCCTGAATAAAGTTGCCTAAAAAAAAAAAAAAAAGAAAGAAATCAAAACTGCATCTTTTAACAACATTTATTTGAGTTCAGCCCAGGTTCTCTTATCTCCCAATTGGTTTTGATACCCTGATAGCCAGGCAGCTCGCTGGCTAGAATCTTTCATGTTAAATGCAGTGTCTTGGGCTGGGTGCAGTGGCTTATGCCTGTAATCCCAGCACTTTGGGAGGTGGAGGCGGGAAGATCGCCAGCCTGGGCAACAAAGTGAGACCCTGTCTTTACTAAAAATGTAAAAATTAGCCAAGCGTGGTGGCATGTACCTGTGATTCCAGCTACTCGGGAGGCTGAGATGGGAGGATGGCTTGGGACTGGGAGGCAGAAGTTGTAGTGAACTGAGATTGTGCCACTGCACTCTTGCCTATACGACAGAGCCAGACCCTGTCTCAAAAAATAAAATAAAATAAAATAAAATAAAAAAGGTAGCATCTTGGTTTACTGATGTAAAAATTCTTGTGGGAAATGTGGCCCCGAATGTGAACATATGAAATTGGCTTTTTTCCCCCAATTAAAAAGTGATTCACTATCTTTGTTTGATTATTGAAGTACTATAATGAATTCAGTGTTCAGCACTGGGGAGGCGTTGCCTCCCACACTCACCCATGAACAGAGCGAGTGCATTTGAACATAAAATTAATAGAGTTTGTGGCTTAGAAAACCACCTTGTCATTAACCACCAGTGCATGCCAGCCTGAAAGATGTTCTTGTGCCAGAGTAAACCACAAGGTTGTGGAAGAACGTAAAGGAAATGGGGGGTAACTTAATAGTAAAAGGTAAAGGCTGGTAGGTAGGGGATATGTTGGAGGGGCTACAGAATAGGGAAAGAAGGAAAGAAAGCTAAGTCTGGCTGGAGCTTCTCGGCCCTTAGGCAGGCTTGGACTTCGCTAGTAAGAAGTTTGCAGCGTGTGAGCTAAATATTGATGTTCTAGTTTCTGCATTTCCTTAGATTTGTATTTTGAAACTTCTGAGAAAAGGCAGTGAAAAGGAAATAGATAACATTTCTTGGGGCAGAGTGGGTTTACCCCCAGTGGCCCACCTTTGTTAAATTAGACTTAATTCTTAGATCCTGTGTATAAAACAACAGCAAAAAAATTTTTTTAAATCCCCCAAAATAAATAAAAATTTAGACTTAATTCATCTAGGACAGTAGTTCTCAAGTCGGGGTGGTTTTTGCCTTCAGGGGACATTTGGCAATGTCTGCAGATATTTTTGGGTGTCATAATTGGTGATGGTGGTGATGATGGTAGGGGGTGCTGGCAAGTGATAGGTGAAGGCCAGGGATACTGCTAAACATCCTACATGTACAGGAACCCCATCTCCAACAAAGAATGATCAGCCTGAATGTCAATAGTTGTGAAATCTTGACCTAAGAGCTTAGTTGCTGCGCATCTCATCCTCAGAGAGAGCAGTGTCTCAGCACTGGGCTGTGAGAAGAACATCCTTCTGCTGAAATGCAACCCCCCAGCTCCAGAGAGCTTCCCAACCAAAGATCCGGAAGGGTCCCAGGAGTTGGCTTCTTGATCCATCTGTGATAATTTTGCAGCTTAGAGGTGTTTCCACCTTTTCCTTCTAACATTTCTCCATCATGTCTTGTTGCTGCACAGACCTGTCCCCTAACATTAATTCTCTAATCCAGTGCCTTTTGTCCACGCTCCATGCCAAGTGCTACAATTTGGGTTTTTCTTGCTTTTCTATCTATTCTACCCATTGGGGGAGTCTTTGGTCCTCTTTAGGGAATCTGCTTTTTTCTTTCTTTCTTTCTCCTTTTTTTGAAACAGGGTCTCGCTATGTCGCCCAGGCTGGAATGCAATGGCGTGATCTCGGCTCACTGCACCCTCTGCCTCTTGGGTTCAAGCGATTCTCCTGCCTCAGTCCCTGAGTAGCTGGGACTACAGGCACCTGCCACCAGGCACTTTACTAGTCTTTACTAAAAATACAGTCACTGTATGTCAGAACCTGAGACATTTGAACTGATAACATGGCAAAACCCCGTCTCTACTAAAAATACAGTGCCTGACACTGTGTTTTTAGTAAAGACAGGGTTTCACCATGTCGGCCTCAAACTCCCAACCTCAGGTGATTCGCCCACCTCGGCCTCCCAAAGTGCAGGGATTATAGGCGTGAGCCACCGCACCTGGTGAGAATCTGCTTTTTTTCTATCCCAAAACAGAGATTAATGAATCTCTGAATTGTTATTCTGCATAGGATATGTTCTGTGTGCCATTTCCCCCCATATAGAGAATTAAAACTGTGAACTATTTAATAAACTATAGGCTTACCGCCAGTCAACTGTAAAACACATACCTCTTTCAGGCCACTTTCTGACAAGTTTCAGGTAAGAATGATAGCATATTAAATTATTAGGCAGTTTTATGACTGTGCAGAGAAGATTTATTCTTTGATGAATAAATATTGCTGTAGCCCAATTTAGAACTTGACAAATGCTGATTTACAGCTTAAAATATAAGGGTTATTTTATGATGAAGTGGCAGTGGTGGTGGGGTAGGTTTAAAAGTGATGTCAGTGGTGCCTTTGAGTAATATGCCATTAAAACACTGCCACAGGCAGAGCTGCAGGGAGGATTCTCAGGTGGCTTCTAGAGGTGCCTGCCACTCCCGATAGGTTTCGGGGTCCAGGTCACTTTGTGCTGCACAGTCTCAGCTGATAGTACTTGGAGGCATTATCGAAAGTGTGAGTGCACCTGCGTTCCTGGCAGTGGTTATTATAGTGCACCTTCTAAAGGGTTCTGCCTGCCTGTCCACGTAACTTCAGGGTGGTGGTGGCCCCAGTGTCAGTGACTGTACATTTTTCAGATGATGGGAAGGTAATTTTGAGGAAGAACATTTTCAAAACCCTGTTAAGAAGAGAAGCTGGTGAGCTCCTTGTGTATTCTTGTTATGTTGATCATCCTACTTTTGAATCAGAAAACCAGGATCAGGTCGGGTGCAGTGGCTCACACCTGTAATCTCGGTACTTTGGGAGGCCAAGGCAGGTGGATCACTTGAGGTCAGGAGTTTGAGACCAGCCTGGACAACATGGCAAAACCCCGCCTCTGCTAAAAATACAAAAATTAGCCGGGCGTGGTGGTACACCCTGTAATCCCAGCTACTCAGGAGGCTAAGGCAGGAGAATTGCTTGAACCTGGGAGGCAGAGGTTGCAGTGAGCCGAGATCGCACCACTGCACTCCAGCCTGGGCAACATGGACATGGTGAAACCTCATCTTTACCAAAAATAGAAAAAACTAGTTGAGCATGGTACCAAATGCCTGTAGTCCCAGCTACTCAAGAAGCTGAAGTGGGAGAATTGCTTGAACCCAGGAGGTCGAGGCTGCAGTGAGCTGAGATCGTGCCACTGCACTCCAGCCTGGGCGACACAGTGAGACCCTGTCTTGAAAAAAAAAAACCCAAAAGACAAAATGAACAAATAAAAATAAAACCCTGAGACATTTGAACTGATGCGTATGGGTACTTATAGGAATAGAGGATTTAAAATTGTAGCTGACTATAATGCGTGTTGCATGCATGCACACATGGTGGTGGTAGAACTAGATCAGTTACTTAGAAACTTTTTCTTTTTGCTTGCTTCCTATTGATTGATTTAATAGTTGAGGTGTGTACATGATATAAAATTTGCAAGTTATGAAGAGTCTAAAGTGGGTTAAATAATTCTTTCTGCCCCCAGCTACCCATTTTTCCTCTCAATAGGTAACCACTTTTATTAGCTTTTGGGGTATCTTTTCAAAGATAATCTATGCATATAAATGTGTATATGAATATGTACTATTTTTCAACAACTGTTGGCATACTATTCATGTTATTCTGTGGCTTGCTTGTCTTACCTAGCAATATACATTGAAAATTATTCCATATTATGACATAGAGGATGCCCTCATTCTTATAAAACATTTTTTCCTTTATTCTTTTTTATAGCTGCATAACATTCCATTTTACAGAAGAATCATAAGTTATTAAAGCAACCCTCCAAATGGTGGATATTGTAGTTACTTCCAATCCTTTGTCATAAATCATACTGCAGTGAGTATCCTTGTGTATGTTTTTGCATATATAGGAGTATGTCTGTAGGATAAATTCCTAGAAGTGGAATTACTGGTAAAAGCATCTCTACATTTGTGATACTGATAGACATACTAAGTATCCTTTCAAGGAGGTTGTAGCAATTTACACCGAAACCATCAATGAATGAGACATCCTCACCAACACAGTGGTGAGGATGTCTCATTCATTGATGAGTTACCAGTAAGTTATCAGACTTTTTTATCTTTGCCAATCTGATGGATGAAAATTGGTATCTCAGTTTTAATTTGTATTTCTTTTATGAGTATGGTTGAACATCTTTTCACAAGTTTAGGATTCATTTGTATTTTCTTTTGATTCATAGTCTGTCCATGTTTCTGTTGAGTTGTTGGTCTTTCCAAGTCTTTTAGATTTGGTATCTCTTTGACCCATTTCTGTATTTTGTGTAGCCCACTCTGGGGACTGGGGCAGCCTGTGCATTCAAATGAGGCTTTGGTGAGTGGGATGGATCAACTCTCTGGTGATGAAAACGAGTCCATTTTCTTGGGTGTGGCCATTGCTGCATTGGAGGCTGCTGGGGGCTCCAAGCTTGGTGGTTTCTGGTCCTCACCCCTACAATGCTCGTCGGAGCGGGGAACAGTCTGACTCATATGGAGAGCAAGTGCCTCCTGGTGGGTTGAACACGTGAGGAAGGGTTGGTGGGGAGATGGACACAAATGAGACTAGGAAAGCCAGGGTTGGGAGGAGGAAGGGGGTGTTAGGGGGTATCCAGAGCACGGAGTGTTTGCATTTAGGCAGCTTCATAGGAAAGAGGCATGATAGTGACACTGGAGATTTTCAAATACACAGTGTCCCAGAAGTCAGGAGAAATAGGATACATTTGGATGTAAACAGTATGTGAGTTACATTTTCAAAACTATGCTCAATATGTTTTTGTTTTTGTTTTTCAAGACAAGGTCTCACTCGGTCACCCAGGCTGGAGTGCAGTGGAGTGCAGTGACAGAATCTCAGCTCACTGTAGCCTTGACCTCCTGAGCTAAAGCAATCCTCCTACCTCAGTCTCCCTAGTAGCTGGGACTACAGCTGTGCACCACCACACTCAGCTAATTGTTTTATTTTTTGGAGAGCCAGGGTCTTGCTATCAATATGTTTTTTGCCCCAACCTCCAGACAACTTTTCAGATGTTTATCTAAACACAAAGCAGTGGTTCTCAACTGGGAGTGATTTTGCCCCACACCCACCCCACCCCCCAAGCCCCAAGAGGCACTTGGCAATGTCTGGAGACATTTCAGTTGTTGTGTCCTGGGAGATGGAGAGGAAGGAGAATCCTACTGGCATGTAGTGGGTGGAGGCCAGGGATGCTACTAAACATCCTTCAGTGCAGAGGAAAGCTTCCTATTTTAGCCCCAAATCCCACGTTCAAGACATGAAAGCCCTGATGTAAAGCAAAATGGGGTCTGGTTGTTAATATGAAAAAAAAAGCTGCACGAATCCACTGTTTCCTTCTGTTTTCAGACATTTTGGACACTCTTTTATGGCACAGTGGGACTCACTGATTTGCATTCAGAAAAACTTCACCTGAAAAGGTGTGGAGGCCTAGGAAAAACATGGAGAATTTTAGTTGAAAGTGCAACCAGCACACTGTTTTTAAAATAAGTCAGTACCCTGTGTCCTAACTTTTCAGATTGTGAGAGGTGAGACCTGTCAGTGACCACTGGTTCCACCCTACTGCCTTCTGCTTGGCAGCTTTTTTTTTTTTTTAATCACGTCTTTGAGAAGGATTTTGCTAAGAGAATCACTCTTTCTCTTAAGGATACTCTAGACACGGGAGATAAAATGTTTTAACCTGAGGCTGGAAGGGTCTGAAAGGGTCATTGATGCATCAGGTGGCATTTTCAGTGTGTCCGTGCTCCCCACATGGTGAGACCCTGTTGTGCTATGAGTCTCCTGTGCCGTCAGGATGCCCATCCCTGGGTGGCCTTCCATGTCCAACCCTGGAGACTCCGAGGAACCGTAGAAACACCCAAGGATTTGGGTACCACACTTGGGAACCACACTGAAGGGTTGAAATCTTCACTCCTCACTCCTCACCTGTTCATTATTTTGGGCAGGCCTCAGTTGCCTTGTCTGTAAAATGGGAATACTATTAGCACTGTAATGAGGATTAACTGAGTATGGGAAAGTGCTTACAATAGTGCCATTAAGTGTTAGCTATTATAATTGTGATTATTATTATTATTGGTTTCAGCCATTGGCAGTTCCAGCCTTCTTGCCCCTCCTCTTCAGTCCTGTGGAAACCCTTTGCCAAGAACAGCCAGCACACTAGATTCCAGGGGAGCCTCTGATGGCCTCCCTGAGCCCTCCTGTGCTTGAATACTTCTCCCCAAGTCTGGGGTGGGCTCTGCTTCTCCCAGGAGGTGCTGAAGCTTGTGCTGAGCCACTTCCCCTGCCTTCTCATCCACCCTTCCCTCCTCCGTTGAGGGAGGAGTGGCCCTGCCTCTCTGAGATGGGCTTCTTATCCTGAAAGCTGAGAAGATGGTTGTAGAACCCAGCTTCAATCACGGCTGGGCTGGTGGGCTCCCTGCTCTTGGTCCTCAAGGTGCATTTCAGCTCAGCCTCACCACAGTCACCAGAAAGGGCTATTTATAAAATGAGGACAGCCTTTGGTCCTACCCTATAAACAGCCTTACTAGGAAGTCGTTAGGTGAAGCTGATTTTTAATTTCTTTTCATTCAGCATGGAGCTTCATATTCAGATAGGTTAATGGCTAGGGATCACAGGCTATTATGCCTGGGTGGGTGGTCCAATCCCTGGGTGGTTCCTTAAAACAAGGCGCTGGTTCAACCAGCGCCTTGTTTTAAGGAACCACCAAATACTGAGACGCCTTATGGGATGCATTGAGGTGACAGAGGGAAAGAGGCAGATAAACCCTGTCTCCGGGGAGCTTGTAGTCCAATGGGGGCAGCACAGCCCCTGCCATCAGGGACTCCCAATCTGTTAGGGAGACACAGCCTCTGTCCTCAGGAAGCCCCTGTCTGAGGGGAAAGGCATAGAAGGAGGTGCAGGATGAATTCAGTCTGATGGTGCAACAGTTCATGTTCTCCAGGACCTCCCAGTCTGATGGGGGAGAGACAAACCCTGCTTATCCAGCCTGATGGAAGATATTTGAGTCTTGCTTTCTGACTCAGTTTGATGATGTGTGATACAAAGAGAATCCTCATGGAAATGGATGTTTCCATTCTTAAACCCCTAACTTTCTTTCTCCCAGGACAGAAGTGGAGGAGGCAGGAGGGAGAGTGTGGCAGCCTGGGCAGAAGAGATGTAGTGGTGCCTGCTGATGTGGCCCCTCTGTGGGCCCAACCCCACCCTGGAGCCCGTGCAAAGGCTGTGCTATCTTTAGTGGTTGCCCTTTGTAATCTTTAGAGGACATTGCTGACGTGGCTGTTTCCTGGGTTGGACCTTTTTCCCTAGAGAGCCATGCCCTTTGGGGAGTGAGAAATTGCTATAAGGTGGGGCAGGCGGTGGGGAATTGCTGGGGGCTTCTTGAACTTGGCTGCTGTTCCCTACTTTCTCTCAAGTCAGAGAGTGAGACATTTAGACTCTTTGGGCAATCATAAGACTTTTGAAGAAAAGACATAAAGTATCATCTAGCCTGACCTCATGTCACAGAGGAGAATATGGAGGTCCAGAGAAGGGAAGGGTTTTTATCAGCATCACACACTGCTTAGAGGCTATGCTGGGCTTCAGCCTGGCTCCTGAGTCTAGTCCTCTCATTGGCATGCCCCACACAGGCTGCCTGGTAATAGCAGTGGTCGGGGAAGTCCTGTTAAGGCTTGGTCAGGTCAGTTGTTCCCTGGCTCAGAGCCCTGCATGCTCCATCTCCCCCAGAGAAAAGGCCAAGGGCCTAGCTGTGGCCTCAGGGCCTGTCTGCCCTGGCTCCCACCACCCCCACCCACCCCTCACATTGCTAACCTGTCCCCTCCTCCTCACTGTTACCACACTGGACTCCTGGTTGTTCCTGAGATTCCCACCTCGGGGCCTTTGCACTTGCTGATCCTTTGCCTGGAATATCTTCCCCCAGGTATCTGCATGGCTGACTCCACTCTTCCCCCAGAGACCTCTGCCCCAACCGTCGTAGATAAAATGCCCTCCTTCCTCACCATTCTCGATCCCTCTCCTCCTGTATTCCTTTTCTCTAGAGCCTTTATCACCGTCTGGCATGGCATATAGATATTTATTTAACTCTTTCTTTGTCTCCTCCCTGTGGAACGTAAACACCAAAACTTGTTCTGTTTTGTTCACTACTCTGTCCCCAGAACCTACAACATGCCTGGCACAGGCTGGGCGTGATGGCTCACACCTGTAATCCCATGTCATCCCAGCACTTTGGGAAGCCAAAGTGGGTGGATCGCTTGGGCTCAGGATTTCAAGACCAGCATGGGCAACATGGCGAAACTCTGTCTCTACCAAAAATACAAAAATTATCCAAGTGTGGTAGCACACGCCTGTGGTCCCAGCTGCTTGGGAGGCTGAGGTGGGAGGATTGTTGATGCCTGGAAAGTCAAGGCTGCAGTGAGCTGTGATTGCGCCACTGCACTCCAGCCTGGGTGACAGAGCGAAACTCTGTCAAGTAAATAAATAAATAATACATGCCTGACATATAGTAAGTGCCCAGTATCTATCTGTTGAAAGAAGGAAGGGAGCAAAGGTGGGAGGGAGGGGAGGAAGGAAAGATAAACACAAATGGAAATGAAAGGCCTCCAGGCCCTTGGTTTTAAGGATGGTTTGATTTGGTTAGTCTCCTCTATAGGAAAAGGACACAGTGGGCTGGGGTGGTGGAGACTCCATTGCTTTCCATTGGCCATGTGGATCCATCTCTTTGGCATGGTAGGCTGGCAACATTTCCTGAGCTCCATTCATCCTGCGTGGCCCTTGTACCTACCATGCCTAGACTCCCTTTTCTGGCAAGGAAAAGACAGGTACTAGAAGATGAGCTGAGGACCCAGGGAAAGACTGTGGGGGGTGGTACACACAAAATATATTAAAAAAATTTTTTTTTGAGACAAGCCCTCACTCTGTCACCCAGGCTGGAGTGCAGTGGTGCCATCACGGCTTACTGCAGACTCTACCTGCTGGGCTCAATTGATCCTCCCACCTCAGCCTCCTGCGTAGCTTGGGACTACAGGTGCATGCCACCATGCCTGCCTATTTTTTTTTAAATTTTTAGTAGAGACAGTGTCTTACTATGTTGTCCAGGCTAGTCTTGAACTCCTGGACTCAAGCAATCTGCCTGCCTTGGCCTCCCAAAGTGCTGGGATTAGAGGTATGAGCCACCGGCCCAGCCTACAATATATAAATTTTGGTTGTGTTCATAAAATTGGGAGGTTGGGAGGGGAAGCTGAAAGCTCCCAGGTTTAGGTCCTGCCCCTTTTTTGTGGGTAGCCTTGGACAGTTACTTCCCCTCTCTCAGCCTCAGCTTCCTCATGTATAAAATAAGAATTGGACTAGGCATCGACTCTCCTAGGGATCCATGCAGATGGGCTTCGGGGGTCTTTGCCTCTGACAGACAAGGGCCAGTGATCTAGGTTGTTCCCAAGGTCCCTTCTAGTACTGAAATCCATGTAGACCTCTGCATTTGAAATTCTGCCCTCTTTGGATTGAATATCAGCTTTTTGATGAAACCATGACTTTCTTGATATGCTGAAAATAAAGGTGACAGTTTAAAAAAGTAAATATTTAAAAAGTTTTCTCAGTGCCGGTTACTTTAGTAAATGTGGGTTTTTTTTTTTTCTTTTTTCTTCTTGGTCTCAACCTATAAGCAATCACAAGATCAAACAAGTTTCAGTTTGAGTTCCCTCTGCTTGACAGTCTGAGCCTGTATCGCCTCGACTTATCAAGTTTGCTTTCAGCTAGTCTGGCTGTTTTGGGGAGGCCTTATCAGCCAAGTGTTCAGCCCTCAGCGTAGGAAGATATGGTCTTGGGCTTTCTTTGGAAGCTGGTACCCCTCATCCGCTTATCTCCACCTCCCTTCAACCCCTCACCTGCCCCTCAACCTGGCCAATGAGCTGTTATAACACAGCAGTAATAGTCCCACTAGCTTTGGGAAGATCACCAAATTCTTCCCCCTTCCCAATCCCTTGCCTCTTACCCAGAACTAGTTACATAATTTACTGAGCTCAGTGCAAATGAAAATGTGAGGCCTCTTGATTAAAAATCATTAAGACTTTCAAGATGGTGACAAGAGCACCTTCAGCAAGCATGGGGTCCTGTGAGACCGCACGGGCTGCATGTTCCTAAAGCCAGTGCTGCCCTTGCCACTTCCATCTTAGGTTACCAGGACCAACCATGGAGATGTATATAACACAATTTGAGAGGCACTGAACATTCCCTCGGAAGGAATTTGAGTTATTTCTATCATGGCCTGTGAGATTCAGGGCTGCTATCCTGAGCCACTGTGCGTTTGGAAAATCCGTACAACTGGGTAGGGAGGGTTTGGACAGTGCCCATGAGTCCTGGTAGAAGGGGCAGAGAAGGATGATTTATAAATGTTCATACTGCCCAAGCAGCCCCACGGATGCTGACAGCATCATTTGTTCTGTCCTTTACAAAGTATTTTCATGGATAAATGAAATGTGTTATATCCATACAATGGAATGTTATTCATCCATAAAAGCAGTTGGAGTACTGATACATGCTACAACATGGATGAACCTTGAAGACATTATGCTGAGTGAAAGAAGCCAGTCACAAAAGGCCATATGGTGTACAATCCCATTTATAGGAAATGTCCGGAATGGGCAAATCTGTAGAGATAGAAAGCAGCTGTCAGGAGAAGAGAGGAAAAGAGAGTGACTGCGAATGGGTACGGGGTTTCTTTGGGATGATGAGAATGCCCTGAAATAAAGTAGTCATAGTAGTAGTTGTACCACCTTGTGACTATCCTAAAAATCAGTGAATTGTACACTTTAAAAAAGAGTGAAGTTTTTGGTATGCTAATTAAATTTTTATTTTTAGGCCTGGCACAGTGGCTCACGCCTGTAATTCCAGCACTTTGGGAGGCCGAGACAGGTGGATCACCTAAGGTCAGGAGTTTGAGATCAGCCTGACTGACGTGGTGAAACCCCGTCTCTACTAAAAATACAAAAATTAGCCGGTCATGGTGGCTCACACCTGTAATTCCAGCTACTTGGGAGGCTGAGGAAGGAGAATCGCTTGAACCCGGGAGGCAGATGTTGCAGTAAGCTCAGATCGCGCCACTGCACTCCAGCCTGGGTGACAAGAGCAAAACTCTGTCTCAAAAAAAAAATTGTTTTTATTTTTTAAAAGTTAGCTAGAGGAGGCCAGGTGCGGTGGCTCACGCCTGTAATCCCAGCACTTTGGGAGGCTGAGGTGGGCAAATCATAAGGTCAAGAGATTGAGACCATCCAGGCCAACATGGTGAAACCCCGTCTCTACTAAAAATACAAAAATTAGCTGGGCGTGGTGGTATGTGCCTGTAGTCCCAGCTACTCGGGAGGCTGAGAAAGGAGAATCGCTTGAACCCGAGAGGCAGACGTTGCAGTGAGCTGAGATCACGCCACTGTACTCCAGCCTGGCGACAGAGTGAGACTCTGTCTCAAAAAAAAAAAAAAAAAAAAAAAAAGAATTAGACGAAAAGTCATGAAGGTTTCAACATTTAACCCTCTCCCCTCTGCCCTTCTGGGTGTTGATTCAGCACAGGAGCAGCCTTCTGCCTTCCATGTGCATCTCCCTCTTACTCCTGTCTCTCCCCTACCCCAGCCACAGATCATCTCTCAGACATCCCTCACGCAAAGCCTGTTTTCCAGGAACGATCCTCTGGAAGCATTCATGCTAAGCGGATATGTGGCTGCTAAGACTTAGCCTCTCCAAGGCATTTGCATATTAGCTTATAAAAGGAGAAACCTTTTAGGTGAGAGGAATGAACGTTTAATTTTAGAATTCCAAGTAAGAGCAAGCATGTGTGAAAGGTTTTTATTTTGTTTGGGGTGGGAGTGCTCAGTGCCCTGGAACTGGGGGTGGCCAGGCCCCCTTCACACTGATTGGGCTGACCCCAACATCTGGGGAGCTTGGTGGTGAGTGGTAGGCCGAGAAACATCCCCTTCAGGACAAGCAGTTTCCCCCAGACCCAGCCACACCGCCTTCACATTTCCTAAAGGGGGGACATTGTGACTTGTGAGGCTGCCAGGAGGAGACAGCTTCTAATCGGGTTTCATTTCTTCTGTTTAATGTGCTTGGTTTTTGAATCAAGGGGGCCCCATTTGAGACAAGCCCCTTGCCTGGTTCTTATCTGCTCTGGCCCCTGTGAAGTTCACTTCTGCTTGCCCTTGTCCAGGGGTTCTCCAGGCTCCCACTTCCCTCTTTACACCTCCTGCACCTTCCCTCTCCTTCCCCATAGTGATCGTGATCACAGCCCCCCATAGTAATCACAGCCGCAGTCTTCAAGACCAGTTTAGTTCAGGCTTCTTCACCCATCTTTGAGAATCCTCTTTAGTCAGTCAGTGTGTAGCCTTCCTCCTTCATGTTCTTCGTGGTCCCTGGACCCTGAGACTTTTGTCTTAATCGCCTTTGGAACTTTAGTGCCTGGCATGGTGCTTGGACATAGTAGACACTTAATAAATGCTTTTGGACTGCACAAAACCAAGGCTGTGTTTGGCCCTGTGAGGGCATGAGGAGCAGCGAAATCAGCAAGAGAGGTGACGAGACAGCTGTCAGCCTCAGGCATTTCTTGCTAAGAGAGGAGGAACTAGCATTTGTGTGGATAAAGAAGAGGCTCCTCTGAGCTTCATGTGCATGGGATGATGAGCAAAGGGTGGCTCCGGAGCTGCTCCACAGAGCGGTGGCTTTCATGGAGTATCCAATTCTGCAGGATCTCTTGGATTTCGGGCTTGCATCTTCAGCCAGAAGGCATCTTCATGAACAGGTGTTTATGAAGTGCCTACCATATGCCAGGCACCCATCTAGAGCCTGTGACTTTGTTGGCGCCCCATTGTGTGATGGACTTGGAAGAACACAGAAGGCCCTGCCTGGGCTGGGACAGTCGCTTTACCCTGAGCTTCCTGGGTTTCTTCCAGCTTCCAGGGGTGTTAATTTCCCGTATAATTACTTTTGGGCAAAACACATTGGTGCTTATGTCTTTTTTTTTTTTTTTTTTTTTGACAGAATCTTGCTCTGTTGCCCAGGCTGGAGTGGTGCAACCTTGGCTCACTACAACCTCCATCTCCCAGGTTCAAGCAATTCTCATGCTTCAGCCTCCTGAATAGCTGGGACCACAGGTGCACGCCACCACACCCGGCTAATTTTTTGTATTTTTTTAGTAGAGACAGGGTTTTACCATGTTGCCCAGAGTGGCCTCGAACTCCTTAGCTCAGGCAATCCACCCATGTCAGCCTCCCAAAGTGCTGGGATTGCAGGTGTGAGCCACCACACCTGGCCAGGTGCTTATGTCTTAAACACTGCCGTTCACATTTCTACCTCTGAGGAGATGGTAGGGGGTGAGGGTAGGACCGGGCTGTCCTCTCAGCCCCATCTATCTGGTAGGTGGATGTAGGTCTTGCTCTGTCAGTCAGAGCTCTGGCAGGAAATGACTGGTACACACAGAGGGTTTAACTGGAGAGGACTATTTACAGATGTGTGGGCATGGTGAGGGAAACCATCTAAGGCTGGTGAGGCTCCCCAGAGCTGACAACAGTGGGAAGCTATTACCTCCCCTCGGCCAGAAGGAAGGAGCCCCAGGGATGGGTAGAAAGGGCCTCGACAACAGCTGTGATGGTGACGAGACACAACCACTGTCAAACTGTGGTGAAGAGGAGGAAGGGGGAATAAATGCTCTCACTTTAACTAAATCCAGCTGGAAGCCCAGAGAGCCCAGCTGATATAGCCAGTGGTCCAGGAAGGGCAGAGAACAGAGTGTGTAGGGGCAAGCTGCACACACCCGCCCCCGGCTGCCTGGGCATTCTAAGGCTTAGCAGGCTCTTCCCCTTCTTCTTCTTCTTCTTCTTCTTCTTCTTTTTTTTTTTTTTTAAAAAAAAGACAGAGTCTCACTTTGTTGCCAGGCTGGAGGGCTATGGTGCCATCTCGGCTCACTGCAACCTCCGACTCCCTGGTTCAAGCAATTCTCCTGCCTCAGCCTCCTGAGTAGCTGGGATTACAAGCACGTGCCACCACGCCCAGCTAATTTTTGTATTTTTAGTAGAGACAGGGTTTCACCATGTCGGCCAGGATGGTCTCAATCTCCTGACCTCACGGTCTGCCCACCTTGGCCTCCCAAAGTGCTGGGATTACAGACGTGAGCCACCACGCCCGGCCTTTTTTCTTTTCTTTCTTCTTCTTTTTTTTTTTTGCTCTTGTTGCCCAGGCTGGAATGCAATGGTGCAATCTTGGCTCACCGCAACCTCTGCCTCCCAGGTTCAAGCGATTCTCCTGACTCAGCCCCCTGAGTAGCTGGGATTACAGGCATGTGCCACCACGCCTGGCTAATTTTTTTTGTTTTTTTAGACGGAGTCTCACTCTGTTGCCCAGGCTGGAGTGCAGTGGCGCCATCTCGGCTCACTGCAAGCTCCGCCTCTGGGGTTCATGACATTCTCCTGCCTTAGCCTCCCGAGTAGCTGGGACTACAGGTGCCCGCCACCACACCCAGCTAATTTTTTGTATTTTTAATAGAGACGGGGTTTCACTGTGTTTGCCAGGATGGTCTCGATCTCCTGACCCCATGATCCACCCGCCTTGGCCTCCCAAAGTGCTGGGATTGCAGGTGTGAGCCACCGTGCCCAGCCTAATTTTGTATTTTTAGTAGAGACAGGATTTCTCCATGTTGGTCAGGCTGGTCTTGAACTCCCCACCTCAGGTGATCCACCCACCTGGGCCTCCCAAAGTGCTAGGATTACAGGCGTGAGCCACCGCACCCAGCCTCTTCCCCTTCTTAGGTGACTCAGGATGTGCCCAGTCCACCAGTGCTCCCTTCTTCACAACACTGTGGCTGTTAGAAAGAAGAAAGTGCCCCGGCCACACCAGCAGGATGGCCACTGGTATTTTGACTGTAGCAAGAATAACAAATTATATTTATTGACAGCATTTTATGTGCATCCTCTCATTAAATCTTTACAACAACCATAGCATGGGTACCCTGATTATCCTTGTCTTCATCCTGTTACTGAGGAAAAATGTGGAGCTGAGAGAGGTTAGCAAGCTACCCAGTTGCTCAGCTAGCCAGAGGTAGAGTTGAGCTCAGACCAATTCTGACGTGACTCCCGAACACACACTCTTACCCTTTGCCTGACTCAGGGTCTCATTCCTCCGTAGTGGGGCCCCACCCACCCTGTGGTCAGTGCCACGTGTGTGCTGGCCCACTGCTTGGGATGGTCTTCCTACTTCCTCTCCAGTTGACCCCATTGAACCCATTTTTTGAGACCCAACTCAGATCTCACTTCCTCTGAGACCTTCTCATCCCTCTCCATCTCTCTATTAGGCATCAGTGGCAGGCGATTCTCTGCCATCCCTTGGGATGTTGTCTGGCTGTTTTGAGTGTGCGCATCTCCAAAGTCTCCAATGAGAATCCAGCTTTCTTAGGTGCGAATCCTAGGTCGTGAGTTTTCTTTCACTCAAAAGGTTTAGTTGAAGAGACTTTAAGTTAGTTAGGGGGAAGGGAACTGACTGGGAGGATACAGCACCCAGAGACTGGACTCTAAGTGGTCACAGGGGAATGGTCCTGTGGGGGGAAGCCATTGCCACTCTGAGGCCTGAAGGAACTCCATTGGAAAGAACTGTCCCTGTAGCCCAGTGAGAGCCGTAGCTGTTGGACAGAAGCCTCATGTAGGAGCTGATGGGTTTGAGAACTGGCTTTCTACTTGGTTAGTAAGAGCTCAACAAAAGCCAACAGGGAGGACTTTCTTTAAGGCAAATGAAGAACAGAAGCTAGAGCTGACTCTAGTAGGAGCTTACAGTCTAGTTGAGGGGTTTTTGTTTTTGTTTTTGTTTTTTGAGACTGAATTTTGCTCTGTCACCCAGGCTGGAGTGCAGTGGCTTGATCTCGGCTCACTGCAACCTCTGGCTTCTGGGTTCAAGTGATTCTCATGCCTCAGCCTCCTGAGTAGCTGGGATTACAGGCACCTGCCACCATGCCCGGCTAATTTTTGTATTTTTAGTAGAGACGGGGTTTCACCATGTTGGCCAGGCTGATCTCGAACTCCTGACCTCAAGTGATCCACCCTCCTTGGCCTCCCAAAATGCTGAGATTACAGGGATGAGCCACTGCGCCCAGCCTTAGTTGAGATTTTGAGGGAGGGAAAACAGGCACATACCTCCTACTTAAACAGAACAGTGCTGCTACAGGGCAAGATTTCCCCCTGAGCAGATGAGCTTGCCATATACAAGCACAATGTGGGGGGACATTTAAGGAGACAGAATTGCCAATGGCTTCTTTCTTATAGGACAGGGGCTGAATGCTAGTCCAGCTCTGTAGGGTTCCCCAGAAGGCCTCACACAGGTCACAGATGCATCTGGTTGAGCATGCCAATCTGTGTTTTGGCACTCTTGAAGTCTCAAAGTTCTTTAAAAAGCTACCTCGAGAGCCCCAGAAGTTTGGATACATTGCAAATGTCCTTTGCCTTTGGAGCTGATGCCAAGGAGGGGGTTGAGCATCAGGTCTCTTGGCCTCGGGAACCGCTACATTGGGAGGACCTCAGTCTGCCTCCTGTGTGGGGCTGCTTAATCTCATTTCTTTTTTCTCTATTCCTATTTTGCCACCCACTCCTGTTGGCCTAGATCCTCCTAGACACTGGAAGGGTAGATCAAGTGAGGAAGCATTTGGAAGGAGACACAGCAGATGAAAGGTTGAGAGTTCTTTGTTTAGGCCCTTCTTTGCTGGCCCTTGTGAATTTTGGTAAGTTTCCTTAGAGTTTTCTCTCTGCTAGGCCTTGGACGTGCTCAGAGACACTCCAGTTATCCTGAATGCCTTTTACTTCCCTGAACACATCACCTACCCTCTGACCTCCAGGCCTTTGAACTCTCAGTTCTGTTCTTGCTGCCTAGAGCACTCCGCCACCCCTCTTCACTGCCTTGTAAAACATTAGGGAGCCGTGGGGACTGTGGAGAATCCCACCGTTTGCACTCCATCTAAAGAGTTTCTGGGCTCCTGATTTACAGGTTGTGGGCCTGAGGGTTACTTGGATTGTATGTGGCTGCTCCCCTTTGCAGAGACTCAGAAAGCCTTGGGGAGCATAGCCTGGGAAAAACATAGAGGAAAACAGCGAAAACCAGGGCTCAGAGGAGACACTCAGGAGAGGATAGTGGATCCTCCTCAGGGGCCAGGGAGAGCTGATAGGGGGTGACCTCAGAAGGCCAGAGAGGCTCTGGAAGGGGCTTTATACCTATGTGAGGACATTTCTTCTGCATCTGTTCTTGGGGGCTGGCAGGGCCAAGGGTTGACTTGGGGTCAATGCCAGTGGTAGACTCAGGACCCAGGCCACGCACAGAAGCCAGGAGGGCCTGGCTGGGGAAGACCCTTCATTTTACAGAAAAGAGATAATTCTCTATGCCAGTCTGTGACCTGCTCTGGTACCTTTGCTTTTTAAACTATGTAGGTTTCGGACATCAGATAATGCCTTGGTTCATGGTTTTTGTTTAAAGAGATGGGATCTTGCTATGTTGCCCAGGCACTCAAGTGATTCCCTTGCCTTAGCCTCCCAAGTAGCTGAGACTATAGGCATGTGTCACCATGCCCAGCTCTGGTTCAGGTTTTAAACTATTATTTTTTCTTTGTTATGTAAACAAAACATAACAAAGATAACAAAGAGGAAAGGGAAGTGAAAATAATGTCACCCATAATCCCACCACTCAGATATCGTTTACATTTAGAACCTGGACATGCATACTTCCCAGACAATTTTTTGTGTTTTTATAAATACAGAAGCAAATCAGAGATGCATTTTGTAACCTGCTGTGTGTATGTGTGTATGTGTGATTTGTGTCCATTGAAAAGAATATATGCTTTCCCAAATTCGAATGGTAGGGTATAAAGAGACCCCCCCTTCCCCTGCATCCATCCTTTACCCCCTAATTCTGCTCCTCAGAGGCAGCCTCTTTGAATAGTTGCTGGTATATCGTTGGTAGGGGAGACATTTAGAAGGGATAATGTGTGTGGAATAGCAAAACTGTTAGTATGGCTTGTACAGATGTTTTCATGTGGAGGTCAGGAGGAAGGTGAAGGGTAGGTTTAGAGGGACTGGGAAGTAGTTTGTGGTTACAGAAGAGACTTTCAGAAACTGGAGTTAGAGAAGGAGGAGACGGAGAAGTTTTTAGGCCTGGGTTTTGATTGGATTTGTCATAAGGAGCAGGGTGAGTGAAGGTGAATGCAACAGTGGGCGGGGCCAGATATTGTGAAATTTTACCTCCTGGGTGGAGACTGGGCCAGAGAGGGCAGCAGGTATGCAAATAGACAAGAGACACATCAGGAAGTGGTAATAGTATGATAACTGGTAGATATTTGTAAAATACCTTTGCTTGACAAAACAAAAGTTGGCAGCCCTAGTTAGTCCCCTCTTTTGTTTGTTTGTTTAAAAAAAAAGTTTTAGCAAATCTGTGAATACCAAAAACCTGAGCAAACGTGTAGAACCGGACTGGGTGGGGGTGCAGATTTTAGATTCAGTTCTGGTTTTGGGTCTGACTGACTATGCAGTTTTGGACTCCTCAGTTTGTTTGTTTGTTTGTTCATATTTTTTGAGTTGGAGTCTCGCTCTGTTGCCCAGGTTGGAGTGCAGTGGCTTGATCTTGGCTCATTGCAACCTCTGCCTCCCAGGTTCAAGCGATTCTCATGCCTCAGCTTCCTGAGTAGCTGGGTGGCACCTGCCACCATGCTGGCTAACTTTTGTATTTTTAGTAGAGACGGGGTTTCACCATGTTGGCCAGGCTGGTCTGGAGCTCTTGACCTCAAGTGATCCACCCGCCTTGGCCTCCCAAAGTGCTAGGATCATAGATGTGAGCCACCGTGCCTGGCCTCCTCAGTTTTTTTTAGATCCCAGCCTTCTTATCTGCAGATAAGCAGTTCTCAACCCTGTAGGCACATTAAAATCACTGGGAAACTTATAAAAGGAAACAGTTGATGTCAGAGCCCCACTCCAGACTGAATGTGTCAGAATCTTGGGGAGCCTGGGAATTTTTTTCAGAAATGCAGCTAACATTGGGAACCCCTGGATTCGGGTCATCTTAATTGCTCATTTTAGCCCTAAAATGTTACTATTCTCTGTATTGTATCATATAATTTCATTCCTTTCAGATACTGTGCACAAATGTCATAAACTTCTTACATACCAAGAAGTCATTTTTTAACTAAAAAACTCCCCATAATTCTCATTAGGCCTGTGATATAATGCCTATGTCCTGCAATCAATAAATTAGAATCATAAATGTAGTAAAACATCAAATAATTACTTTTTTGACCCAGAAGTCCAAAGCGTGGACTTTAATCTTTAATTTCTCATTCCCTCATTTTGAAAAAACTACTGCCTGGAGTCCTGGGGCCATCTCTATTTGTAAAGAAGACGCTGAAACATTGAGACATTACTGGAAGTGTCTTTGCTAGAAGAATTGTGTATACCGTAAGTTCCAAATTAGGAGGTCCAGTTTGGGGAAGCTTTATCGGATCTAAATTCTACATGGAGTGGGAGGTGTTTAGAGTCTTGGTGCTTGCTGTTTTATCTTTACCATTGAAGTTCTTGGTTTTGTCTCTTCCTAAATGAGTCATTTTTTTAAAAAGGAACCTAACTTGGGGGGGCGAGGAAACCACTGCGGGAGGTGCTGTGTGGGGGCGCCGAGGAGCCAACCATCAGGAGACTGAGTTTACAGCTGGGCCCTCCACTCAGGAGGGGTAGAGGGACCTGTCCTTGCTGAGGGTGACTCAGAGACAAGTGGGACATAACCTGGTTGGGGAGGTACAATAGGAAGGTATTGATGTTGTGTATTAATCTACCGAGTATTTACTGGAGCACAGCCACCAAGTATACTGCCTGGATGCAGGGCCCATTCCACGGGCACTTGGGAGATTGTGAACAATCTCCCAAGTTTGTCCTCTACTTGAGATGAGACACAGATTGTGTCCACATTTGCCTGCACTTTCAGATAAGTGAACTGAAGTTATCGAGCCCCATACTGGTGTGAGCAATGCAAGTAAAAATGTTAGGGCCAGGCAGGGTGTCAAAGTGGAAGGAGATGGCAGCTGAGGACCCCATTGTGGAATGCTAAAGGGCCCGATGATACAGACGCTGGCCGGGCAGCCAGATGGAGATCAGATCGGGGATGGGAGCTCTGCGGGACCTCTGTGTGTCACTTCCCCTTTCTGTGCTAAGATCTCCCAGCTGAAAAATGGTCCCCTGCTATACACCTCAGTCACCAGGCCCCTGCCAGCTGTTGGGAGTACCTGATGTCCTAGATGCCTGAGTGGGTAGGGGTGGGAGAGAGAGCAGGAGGGGGTGAGCAGAGCCTGGCTTTGGAAACCAGAGCAGCTCCACACATTTTGGCCCAAATCCCTCCCATGCTTGGGGTGAGGAGAAGCCCAGGGTAAGGGTGCCTCCCTACAGCCAGGAAGATCTTGGTGCGGTGGGAGTGTTGGCTCTGCACGCCTCTCCTCCACACAGAGCCCCCAGCAGGGCCGGATTTCATCTTTTCTCAGTGGCGTGCAGCCTCTTGCCATTGTGCATGCGTGTTTTCTAAGTTTGTCACAAACTTCCTGTTTAGGTACAATCAGAGGCTCGGAGCTTTGTGTGTTTTGAAACCCGGGCATTCACCGAGGTCCGGTGCTTCTCTCTTACCAGCAGTGGGGTGGCCTGTTTGTTTCTTTGCGGACTTCTGCCATCCTTCTTTGCAAACCTTCTTGCTGGGAAATGCTCTGTGGCCTCTGTGCTTGTTTCTGTTAGTAAGAGTGGAGAGAGCTGTGAGGTCTGAAGGCTGGAAAGGGGGAGGGGAGCAACACTGAGTGTGCCCCTTATGTAAGGCCAGGCCTGTGCTAGATATTATACTTCTATACACTTAATTTTATTTAGGCCTCACAGTCACTCATGCAGAGCCAGCCTCCAAGAGGTGAAGGCTGACCTGGCTGACGAGGTCAGGATTTGATCGCAGGCCTGACTCCAGTGCTCCTGTGACTTCAGCTAAGTCCTGAGGAGTACAATGCCCCTTTGGTTGCCCCTGGTTTGGGCAGATCCTGATTTCTTATGGGGCATCTTGGTGACAGCATCCCCTTGAAACCTGTGGTTTTCTCTCAGCCCCATGTTACCCAGATCTGCCTGTCTGCCTGGGGTGATCAGATGGCCCTTGAGTGTTTTGCTGATTTTCACCTTTCCCAGGCATCTCCCTCTTGTGGCTCTGGGAATCCCAGAATTGTTAGATGGTGGTCCATAGCTGGTGATCGAAGTGGATCAGTCCAGCTCCTCATTTCCCAAAATAGAATATTCTTTTTCCTGCTTCTGGTTGCCCAGTCCTGACTGTTCTGCCAGTCACCATGAGCTTCTCCACACAGCTGGATTTCTCACATTTCAAGCTCTCCCTTGAAGAAGGAAGAAGAGAGTATATCTATCTATGTCTACAAAAGCATGTGAAAGGGTGGTAAAGGAAGGACACCAAGACCTTGAATATGCAGGTGCAGGAAGAGGAGGGAGGAGCCAAACCCAGCCATCCTCCTCCCCGTTAGAGTGGATGTTAGGAGGTGCCGGACTCTGGTGCCTCCTGCACAGGAAGAATAGGTATGCCTCCCAGCTTCAAGAAGGCCCTGTGTCTCTTCACTTGGCCATCTTGGTTCTCCTACATTTTCTGAAAAACTTCTGGAATCATATCACCTGAGCATCAGAATTGTTCTGTGGATCAAATAACTGAGACACTGTGTTGAGCAGCGGGCAGTTGCAAGCATTGTCAATACACGATTCATTGCCCTCAAGAAGCTGGCAGTCCACATGGGCACAGGGAGCTCTTGCCCAGAGAAGCTAGATGCAGTGAGCTCAGAAGAGCCAGGAGAGCTTGGTAAGCTGGGTTGGTGCCACCCAGCAGACTGCAGGAGAGGGCTGGAGCTGGGTGGCCAGAGGGCAGAGCTGCAGGGGAGGAATGTGCTGGGTGTTAGGACCTTGACGGGGTGCATGGACTGGGCAGGGGATTACAGATGGGGTGAGCAGAGGTACGCATGGGAAACAAGATTGAAGAAGGAGATGTGCACCATTTATGAAGGATCCCAAGGGATGGCTGTGGAGCTTGGAATGTTCCTGTATTGAGGAGCCTCCAAAGCCAAAGCATGGAGCCGGGATTAGTAAATGCAATGCTGTAAGAAGATCCGTCTCGATTTGTGAACTGTAAATGGGCAGTGCTGGGAGGTAACTTAGGAGACATTTATCATGTCAAGAGTTAGGAATGAAATGTTGAGGACTTGGACTAGGGTGGTGGTAGTGTATGTAGAAAAGACGAGAGGGAAGTGGAAGGTTTCAAATCTTAGCTCTGCCACTTGCTACCTGTGTGCCCTTGAGCAAATTACTTCATCTCTTTCAACCTGTTTTGTCATCTATAGATAGAGGCTAAAAACACTTCACAGGACTCTTGTTTGAGGATTTTAACTTGTAACACACCCAGCACTTAGTAGGTGCTCAAGGAATAATGAATCTTCTCATGCGGGAAGAGGCATGGTTTTGTGACTGGGAGGGATTAGGGGAGTGGAGTATGAGGTTCTGAGTCTGGGAGCCCGGGAGAATGATGAAGCCTTCACAGAAAGAGATGGAACTGCTTGGGGCCTTTGAATTCAGCTTTAGGAACTTCTCCTCCTAAACCCTGGCTACTGAGGGCTGTCACAGAAAACCCCACATCCATGCAGATTGTGCCTCTACGAAACCACGGCCTCTGGCTAGAGCAGGGCCCTCTGGGATACTGGCCAGCAGCTGGCTGTCTCCAGTCAGGGTGTGGACTAGGGTGAGAGAGTAAGCCACCTAGGGCAGAAACGTCAGGAGGTGCTGGGTTTCAGGGCCACGCCCGCACTTGATACCCACAGTGGGACGTGCACCCCAGCCTCCTCTCCTGTCTGCCCTTCACCACTCAGGAGACAACCTGGCTTCTGTGTTCACTGAAAATATTACTCCACGGCGAGCCCACTCAGGTTCCCACCTGCCCTCCTGTGTGCTGACCTGCATCTGGGCTCGTTCCCACCTGGTTTCCTTGCACTCAGAGAAAGAGACATCCTTCCTCCTGGCCAGAGAGAACCCTCTCCCTGGACAGGGATCCCCATGCTTCCTGCGGCCCCTGGGACCTCACGCCTCAGTCCTGCAGCAGCAACTTCCTCAGCCCTTCACACCCCTCAGCCTTACCTTCTCTTTTCTCCTCCCCTTACAGATGGATGTGTGGAAATAATCTGCCTTCGCTAACATAGCCCACGCAGGCTGGCCTCCACTGGTGGGGGCTTATGCCTGGTCCAGAGCAGGGACCCGGTGGGTTTGCTGCAGAGGCCTCCTGCCTTCTGCAGGGGCTGCCCTCTCTAAGGTCACCCACGGCTTCCATGTTGCCACACACAACGGACACTTCAGTCCTTATCTGTCTGGGCTCTTTGCTGCTTTTGACACTGGACAGCTTCCTCCTTCTTGCAACTCTCTTTTCTCTTGGCTTCTTTGATTCCATCATACAAAGTCTTTCAACAGCTATTTCTTGAGCACCTACTATGTGCCAGGCTCTGGGCACACCATAATACGATGTCCCTGCTCTCAGGGAATTTACAGTCTAAGGGAAGTGGGGAAAGGGGGATGAAAAAAATAATAAATGTCAGGTGGTAATAAGGGTTGCAAAGAGAAATACAACAGGGAAGGAGGCTAGGAAGGGGGCCGGGGTTTGAGGTGGGCCTCACTGCAAAGGACGTGAGAGCAGAAACCTGTAGGAAGTGACAGATGCCTGGGGGAAGAGTGCTCCAGGGATGGGGAAGAGCAAGTATGGAGGGCTGAGGCAGGAGCCTGCCTGGATGTTTGAGGAAGCCATTGTGGCTGGAGGAAATGGAGGAAGGGCAGAGTAGGAGGAGAAGAGGTCAGGTGTCTCAGTCCATCAGGGAGGAGGCCCAGCCAAGTCATGTGGACTGTGGCCATTTCAAGGACTTTGGCTTTTACTTTGATACAGATGAAATACTACAGGAGTGTTCTGAGCAGAAGAGTGATTTTTAAATGATCACTTAGGCTGCTCTGGGGAGCATGCTGTATTTGTTAGCTTGGGCTGCTATAACCAAGTACCACACACTGGGTGGCTTAAACCACAGATTTATTGTCTCACAGCTCTGGAGGCTGCAAGTCCAAGATCAAGGTGTTGGCAGGGCCATGCTCCTCTGGAGACTCCAGGGAAGGGTCTGTTTCGGGCTCCTTTCCAACTCTGGGTAGCTTCTTGGCTTGTGGCAGAAAACCTCCAATCTTCCAAATATCCCCTTTTTATAAGGACACCAGAGTCATTTTGGATTAGGAACCCCCATCCTACTTCAGTAGGACCTCGTCTTAACTATTTATATCATCAATGACCCTGTTTCCTAATATGACATCTTCAATGACCCTGTCTCCTAATATGCCACATTCTGAGATCCTAGGGGTCAGGATGTCAACATAGGAATCTTGGGGAGACACAGTTCAACCCCCAAGACATGGTTATAGAAAGGTGAGGGGAGGAGTGGGACAACTAATTAGGGGGTTATCACAATAACCTAATGAGAGATGCTGCTTGCTTGGACTAAAGTGGTACCAGTGGAGGTGTCGAGAAACGGTGAGGGTCTGGATATTACTTTACGTTGAAGCTGGCGTCCTTTGCTGATGGATTAGACGTGGGGTGTGAGGGAAAGAGGAAAGCCATGATGACTTGGGTTTAGAGCCTGAATAACCAGAATGAAGTTGAACGTCTTGGTCTCCTAAGTCCTCTTCTCCCCCGGGACCTTCCTCAGCAGCCTTTGCTGGGTCCTCGTCCTGGGTGGGCCCATCAGCTGCTGGGTTCTTCAGGGCTCCATCCCAGGTCACTCCTCCGACCTCTCCCTGATTGATACTCACTGTTCCCATGCTGAAGCCAGATGTCCTGACTGTGCTCTTTGGGTCACTCCTGCAGGCCCTGGCTGTGGAGAATGCTGAAGGAAGAAGACGCAGAAGCAGGACGACCCTGAAAGATTCAGCCTCTTCATCCTCAAACAGGTCGCTTCTCGGGAGTTCTTGGTGTTGGAATATTTTACAGCAAAGCAGTCGTAAGACCATTTCTTGGACCCATATGGTGTGGAGAATGCCCCAGGAAGTGGAGGAGGGCTGCTCTGGGCCTGGACATCCATTAATTTCTAGAAAATTTTCTCTGGGAAATGGTCAGGGATTGTGGATTCACATAATGGTTTTTGGCAGCTTCTGGAATGGGGCGGAGGGTGTCTCTTGATTTTGCAGAGTTGTAAATAGTTGAGGATCCAATGGATGTCCATGGATGGTAGTTCTAGAAGTGTTTAGAAGGATTTAAAAATGTCTGGGATGCAGTGGAGGTGTAGAAGGCCACTGTGGGAAGCTCCACAGAGCCTGCCAGAGGCGGATTGCTGGACTCAGGAGCCTTAGCTGGCCCTGGGGCATTCCTCGCGTTTTTATCAGGTCTGGCCTCATGATCCCTTCCATTCTCAGTTTGTCCCTCCATAAAATGGGCATACAGCTATGATTCCTCTGCCGGGCCTCCCACAAGCTGTTTCAAGGGTCAGTAGTTTGTGCATAAATAGAATTTTAAGCTTTTATTTCAGGTGTAAACCCTGATCCGGCAAGAGATGGCTCCATCCTCCACACATTCTTGGCGACAGTGGGGAAGGGGGGTGGTATCTGATTTGATTATTTCGGTGTGTGTGGTTTTGTTTTCTTGGCATGTGCCACGCTTTCCATTCCTCCTGTATGAGGCTCAGAATTGATTGCTTCGGTTTCTTTTTTATTGTGCCTGATTCTGATTTAATTTTAAAGCCATTGTGTCTCGGGGTTCCAGTCGGAAACACGTGGCTCGTGCAAATGGGGTAATTGAAGAGCGTCTACTGAAGGGAGTCTTTATAAGGATGCAGGCAGAGTTAAGAGAAGCCAAGAAGGGATGCTGAAGCACCCAGGGCCAGCAGTGTCAGGGAGCTGTTACTGTGCCTGGAAGGAAGAGGGAGGGACTGGCTGTCGGGATGGGAAACAGGAGCTGGAGAGGTGTCCCTGGTAGAGGAATGCAATCAACCTACAGCAGCATGGCCAGGAAGGAGCCAAAAGAATAAATATCCTTATTGAACCCCTTGGATCTCCCATCTCCTGATGCCAGTGCCTCCCATTAGGCAGCCTCAGTCAGAGCCAGAAGGCAAGGGAACTGGGTGGATGCTGTCCACGGAGGGCAGAGCCTCTGTGGGGCAGAGCTGCCTGAAGGAGGATGGAGGGTGGATCTGCGGAGCGAATGGGAACAGTCTCACAGAGTCAAGAGTTGCAGGTCACTTGGATTATAAGGACGTTTCTACTTTAGACCAAAAGAGGCTTTTGTGTATGTTTGAGTGAAACTTTGCATTGTGAGGTCAGCTACGTAGATGTGCCGGCTGTGAGGGATGGTAGGAGCAACGGAGATCCCAGTCCTTTTCAGACTTGAAAAGACCCAGGGAAGTCAAGGGATTTGCCCAAGGCCACTCATTAATTCATGAAAGTGTTTCTCGAAAGCCCCTTACATTTTCTCGGGAAAAACAACACAAAACATTTGAAACAGTTTAAAAACAAACAAACAAAAAAACCCAAAAAACAACATAAAACAAAATCTGAGTAAGTGCCAGGAAGAGACTGTGGATTCACACACATCGTAGTCTGTTTGGGCTATTATAACAGAATGCCATAGATGTGGAGGCTTATAACCACCAACAAATCATATTTCTCACAGTTCTGGAGGCTGGAAGTCTGAGATGAGGGTGCCAGTATGGTCAGGTTCTGGTGAGGGTTGCTTTCACGTTGCAGACTGACAACTTCTTGTGTCCTTACGTCATGGAAGGGACCAGAGCTCTCTCAGACCTCCTGAATAAGGGCACTAACCCTGTTCATGAGGGCTTCACCCTCAAGACCTGATCACCTCCCAAAGGCTTCATCCCTAACACTATCACTTTGGGGATTAGGATTCCAACACATGAATCTGGGAGAGACACAAAACATTCAGGCCATAGAAGCTCGTTTCCCATTTATCAGTTTGGATTCTTTCAGGCTGACTACCAAAAATCCTAATTCTGAATACCAGAAAACCTAACTCAGGGGCTCCCACGGCACAATGAATTGATTAATCAGCTCATGTACCTGCCATGTGCAGGGATAGGGTGGACTGCAGGGTGGGTGTGAACCAGCAGCTCAGCAGTATCCTAAACCATCCAGGTTTTTTTTTTTTTTTTTTTTTTTTTTTTTTTAATCTCTCCACTCCTTCCTCCCTGGGTCAGTTCATCCTCAGGCTGGCTTCTGCACCAGACTGGCTCCTGCACCAGGCTGTGGGGAGGCTGGGGGTGTGTAGAGTTCTGGACACTTTGTCAGGGTAGGAGGGAAATAGAACTTGGGAGCCGCAGCTGACATCCACCATACTGTACCACCCATAGAAGTAGAATAATACCTTACTAACTTGGACCAGTCATTGGGGATAATAGTGAGAGGACACTCAACCTTAACTAGTAAAAGTTTGAATCTTCAAGTGTTTTAATGTGGTATAGTGTCAGGCAGGATCTTCCCAAACACATCCTGTTGGAAGCAGTTAGCATCTGTTTTTCAGTATGTCTTAAAACGTACGACCTTCTAGTAGGTTAAATATATCTTCTGAAATCCCGTTTAATTTCTAATTTGCTTATTCAACCTTTTAATAGCCAGAGTAAACACTGAACTCAAATTCTGGGTTGGTGAAGATTAAATTACAGTAATGAGGTTCCTCATTTATAAGCTCATCTATAAAATGGAAATAAGAATAGCACCTACTTTATAGGTTTGCTGTAAGGATTAACTGAGGTGATCTGAGTCAAGCGCTTAGCCCAGTGGATAGCCCAATAAATGTTACCTTTATTAGTGTCATATATTGCCAAATATTGTCACCTTTATGTTTTTATGTGCATGTTTAACTAGAAAATTAATTCTCTTCGTAACAAATATATTATCTGCTGCTGATTAGTTCTGTTAGAGAGGAGGTAAATAAAGGTATTAAAATATTTAGTGTTTATGGATTCTTTTTTTACCGAAGTTTTTTTTTTCTGTTAGAATTCATTTTGGGGGAAGCCTAAATACAGATAAGTTTAAGGAGCATACAACTGAAAATAGATAGAACCTCTAGAATATAGGGATTTTAAAATTTTATGGCAATATGTTCTTATATTCTTAGTTGAAAAATCTCTTAAATAGTTGATGGCCTGTCATGACCTCATGACCTATCCCAGCTGATTTTTGGGGTTTTTTTTGTTGGTTTTTTGGGTGTTTTTTTGAGACGGAGTCTCGCTCTGTCACCAGGCTAGAGTGTTGTGGTGCGATCTCGGCTCACTGCAACCTCCGCCTCCCAGGTTCAAGTGATTCTCCTGCCTGAGCCTCCCGAGTAGCAGGGACTGCAGGCGCACGCCACCGCGCCCAGCTAATTTTTGTATTTTTAGTAGAGATGGGGTTTCACCATGTTGGCCAGGATGGTCTCAATCTCCTGACCTCATAATTCACCCACCTCAGCCTCCCAAAGTGCTGGGATTATAGGCGTGAGCCACTGCACCTAGCGATTTTTTTCCTTATTCTCAGTCTGGAGGCTCTGGAGGGATGAGTGACCCCCGCTTGCCTTTGGTTTCCTGAACCAGCTACACAGTCAGACTGTCCTGGGAGGATGGATGGATTTTCGGATCACTGGGATTGAGTGAGATACTGCAGTACTGAGAAACTAGTCTTGGGCATCCACTTCAGTAGAATTTCAGCTGACAATATGATGAATCATTCCAGAAAGCCTCTGGTGCCACAGGGCTGACCTCTCAGAATCCCAGGAGGGTCAAGCATCTTGATTTGGGGTTCCCAGATTAACGGTGCGGAGAGCACTGGTTGGCACAGGGCCTCCAAAAGCTTTACCACCTGTTCCAGAACCAGGAGGAGGAGGCTTTGACGATGGAGGGGTGAGCATGTAGGGTGCAGCAGGAGAACAGTGTTCCATAGTGGCCAGGAGCTTTGAAGACTACATTCTTCATCCCCACTCCCTGAGTGTTGACTAAAGTTAGACTTCCGTCTTCTGTAGGTTGTTAGTTGCACTTGGGGCTTGCCACCATTTTGATACCTAGATGAGCACTGGTTGACTCCAAATTCCTTGGCTCAGAGAGTGCTGTAAACTAGTGGTTCTCAAATGAAGATTGCCTGGACCCAGAAAGCACTAGGAGAAAAAAAAAAAAAAAAAAAAGCTTTAGGTCATTGACCTAGGGCTCCCAGTCTTTTTTATTTTGCCAAGTTAGGACATTTTAAAAACTCTTAACACTCATCACAAAGCTTTTATGAAAAAACCATCTTGATGCCAAAGTAGTAGGAAAAGATAATATAAGAACAAAACAAAAATCTTTAAATAGAAAACACTCAGCTTTAGGAATAATTTACTACATTGTTCTTATTTTTCTGACATCACCTGTGAAAACTCCACCAAGGGAGGGTGGGCACTGCCCCGCATTTGCCCTCCAGGTGTCAGGTGCCCACCTGGTGATGTGGAGTTAGCTGCTGAATGTGCAACTGTAGGGAAATACACCCTACTTTTTGAAGCCTCACTTGGAGCCTAAGAGTTCTCTAGAGTCATATCTTGATTGGATTTATAAGTTAAAGTTGGGGGAAAATCCATTTTAATACAAGTTTTGATAAACCCAATTTATTTTATAAGGAAGGAGCCGTTTACCCTGCAGTCATTAACTTAGAATTGTTAGTTTAATTTTCCACCAGCAGGAAGAAAATCTTGCAATACCTAAGTAGTTCAAATTAGAAAGTGTGTCAACAGTTTTTCCTTTTCCACTATTTAACCCTAAAAATGATAAATGTCTTCAATTTGATCTGACTTTCAGTTGTATGGTATGCCTCTGTAGGTGGGAAAGGGTGTGTGTGCCAACCCCACCCCCAACCCCCCACATATGCAGAAAACTTGGTTTGATCCCAGGAGCCCCAGAAAGGAAGGGGTGCTTGTGAGAAATGTTGCCGGTAAGTGCTAGTATTAATACTTGTAGCAGTCACTTGCTGGTGTTAGTACTTGTAGCAAAAGTTGCATCTCAGAACTGCCAAAATAGTGTGACTTTTTAAGACGCCTTTTGGAGTCATTAAAAATCCCCAAACATACACCCAACCACCCCTGCCATCCAGAAGCTTAACTAAACATTACTCATTCTGCTTTCATTACACGTCTGCCTGGCTTTGCCACAAACACACTTTGCCTTCCAGTCAGGATTAAGCTTCTGTGTTAGGCCATGACTGGTGTGAAAGTAACCCCTCTGTCCTTGTTGACTGGGACAGAAAGACTGCTCGCTCGCCCGTGTGAAATTGTGAATGGAATCATGGAATCCTGGAGCCAAAGCAAGTTGGTTGCCTTCCTGCAGGACTATCCTAATGCTCATCACCTTGACTGGCAAAAGGTGTCCTAATTCTAACGTTTCATGGGTCTCCTGTAAACAAGGACGTGATCTCAGATGTGGCTTTCTCAATAAAAAGAAGACCATTCTGTGGCACACTAACACCTACAGTTATTGTCTGTTAACCGCATTCTTAGGCAAAGCGTTACCGTTTGAGTCCTTCTAGTAGCCTCATCTGTGCTCGTATGCTTATATGGCACAGTTCTTGCATGTTCTAGCAGACACTGGATTTTTTTTTTTTTTTTTTTTTTTTTGAGACAGAGTCTTACTCTTTTGCCCAGGCTGGAGTGCAGTGGTGCAGTCTTGGCTCACTCCAACCTCTGCCTCCTGGGATCAAGCGATTCTCCTGCCTCAGCCTCCTGAGTAGCTGGGATTACAGGCACGCACCACCATGCCTGGCTAATTTTTGTATTTTTAGTGGAAACAGGGTTTCACCATGTTGGTCAGGCTGGTCTCGAACTCCTGACCTCGTGGTCCATCTGCCTCGGCCTCCCAAAATGCTGGGATTACAGGCGTGAGTCACCGCACCCAGCCAACATTGGGTCTTAATTTGTTCAGACCCCTTACCACTGGTTTCTCTCAAGGCATATCTTGCTCCACGGCAGACGACATTGTGCTTTTTGACAGACATTACCACAACATTCTTGTCTTAGCTCAGGCTGCCATAACAAAATACCATAAAGTGGGTTGCTTAAACAATAGAAATTTATGGGCCGGGCGCAATGGCTCACACCTGTAATCCCAGCACTTTGGGAGGCTGAGGTGAGTGGATCACGAGGTCAGGAGTTTGAGACCAGCCTGGCCAACATGGCAAAACCACGTCTCTAAAAATACAGAAAAATTAGCCAGGTGTGGTGGCAGGCACCTGTAATCCCAGCTACTCGGGAGGCTGAGGCAAGAGAATCGCTTGAACCCGGGAGATGAAGGCTGCAGTGAGCCGAGACTGTGCCACTGCACTCCAGCCTGGGCAACAAGAGCAAGACTCCATCTTAAAAATAAATAAATAAATAAAAATTATTTTTCACAGCTCTGGAGGCTGGGAAGTCCAAGATCAAGGTGCTCAGCAAGGTAAGTTTTATTCTGAGGCCTCTTCTCTTGGCTTGTGAGTGAGAGCCATCTTGCTGTGTGCTCACCTGATCTCTTCCTTGTGCACTCAGAGACAGGAATCTCCTCTTCCTCTTCTTATAAGATCACCCATCCCATCGTGGGAGCTTCACTCTCTTCACCTTACCTAAACTTAATTATCTCTCAAAGACCTCATCTCCGAATGGCATCCCATTGGGGTTTAGGGCTTCAACATAGGAATTTGGGGGAAGAGAAACATTCAGTCCGAAACAACTCTTGAGTCTTTATTTGTGGTGCCTGTGAAGTGCTTATAGGGTCACTGGTCCAGGGGCCCTGCAGTACAGAAAGCCTTAGAGCGACAAGTGTTCCTTGTTGTGGAAGAGGGGAAGCATCCTAGGCTGCAGATGGCACAATAAAATGGGAAGTTGGAAGACCTTTACCACAGAGCTGGAGGTGACCTGGGGCTAGACAGAGGTTCTCCTTGTCTCTCCAGGTCTCAGCTTTCCTAGTTCCGAATGTCAGTGGTAAAGTTGTGGTTGCCAACTTGGTCAGCCTCAATGAAATTTGAATGGTTCAACACATCCAATATTCCATGATCACCTTCTATAACCTTCATGTGCCTCTTAAAAGGAGGCTCTTGGAACCAAAGCCTGGGAAAATGTGTTTTTTTCTGAACACTTTATCATCTTGGGCATTTACTCCCTTTTCATGGGGGAAAGAATGGCCATAAATTATAATAGAGCTGTTCCATTTGAGATCAGTATCTTACATGTCATTCTAAATGTATACTAACATGGTAATGTCCACGTGGACACACACACACTCATACACCCCTGTGCCAGGTGGAATATTTTAAGATATAAAAAGGCCTTTGAAAATCCTTTTAAACTCTCAAGGAACAGATAATTCCTATGTTATATAAACTGTTGCGGGATTGAGAAAAAAGATGGAAAACTTCCAGATCCTTCTTTCAAGCAAGCAAGGCCCTGATATCAAAACAGGCAAGTCCCCAGAGGGAGGATCTATACCAGTCTCACTTAGGAATGTAAAAGTTTTAAATAAAATTCTAGCGAGTAGATTTCAACAATAGAGTATGTGAATGTTCTACCATAACCAAATAGATTATATTCCTGGAATGCAGGAATAGCTTCATATACATATATTTTCCTATGGTTCATATAAGTTGTTCAAATAAAGATATGTAATAACCTCATTAATTCCAAAAGTGTATTCAATCAGTTTTTAAGTTTTTATATACCACTTTAAGAGGAATATATAAAGTGACCAATCTTTAATATTATAAGGAATATCAGGTTCATGCAGCCCACTGCCGCTATATACTTACTGGTGAAACAATAAAGGCATCACTCGTTACCTCTTCAAGTTTTAGTCAATGCAGAGAGTCATAAAATAGTAACTTGGAGAATAAATATTATAAAGAAAAATGACAAAGTTATTATTAACTACAGATTGCTTAGTTGTAGATGAAGAAGACTTAAAGAGTTTTACTAAAAACCCTATTTCTAGATAATGAGCTTGAAACTAAGGATTTGGATTCTTCTCAAATTAGTTCATGAGTCTAGTACCATTCCTCTGAAAGTCCCATCAGGATGTTTTAAATTTCACAAGATGTTTCTATGTCTGCTTGGAAAAATAAATAGATGAGAACATCGGGGGAATTCTGAAAGTGGTTTTGGGGAAAGGGAGTTAGATCTATTGGATATTAAAATATATAGCACTATGAGGTATTAAAATGCAATATAAAGTCTTTGTAATTAAAATACTGTGGTGCTGTCATAAAAGGAGGAAGTAGATTAGTGAACTAGGATAGTTCAGAAATAGACCCTTGCATAAATAATTTAATAAATCATAAAGCAGTCATCACAAATCAGTGGGGAAGGAAAAATTATTCAATAAATAATTCTGATGCCTCATTAACAATTTGGGAAAAATCATTTTGGCTTCACCAAAATGAATTACAGATGGATTAAACAATTAAAGTGCAAAATGTAGAGGCATAGGAAATCTATAGCATTGAATATTACTTAGAAACAAAAGAAAAGCATTCAAAAAGGAAAAGAATAGTCAATCAAACTACAGGAAAATGAAGCGTTTATGTGAAAAAAAAAAAGGGAAACAACAGACTGGGGAAAGACTGGCAATAATATGACAGAATTAATCTTTACACTGCAAAGTGCTCAAATTAAAAAGAAAAGTACTAAACCTTGTTAGAACACTTGAGTAGATAACTAAATACAACACTAAACAAATATATAGAAAATGTACAAATTCAGCAGTAATAAGAAATATGCCCTCTCATGGCTCTGCAGGCTGCATCTGGACCCTTCCCCCAAGCACTGACACAATCACCCTCCAAGGCAGCTGGATCCAAACCCCAATCCCACCCATGCCTCACAAAGGGCCTCTGGCCACATTCCAGCTCTTACACTGAGACCCCTGAAGATCTTCATCCAAGCTGGTAATGGGTACATATATTCTAGCTACTTTTGTGTACGTTTGAAATTTTTCACAATCAAACATAAAAAAATTAAAGTAATACATATCCATTGTTGAAAGCTTATAAAATATAGCAAATATATAATTCCAGAACTACCATCACGATTTTTATTAAAATCCTCCCATAATCTTTTCTTATGCATTTATAACTATGTTTATATGTATACACGCACACACACATTTTTTAAACAATAAAGAAATTATACTACTTGAATTGCTTTATAGCCTGCTTTTTTACCTTATGAGCATTTTTATGCTTTGTTCATTTAGATCTTCAGCATAATTTTAATGTCTGTACATTGTTTCAGTACATGAATACACAAACACACATATATCATAATGTATTTAACCAGCTCCTTACAGATAGATAGCTGAGTTGTCTTTTTTTTTCGTTTGTTTGTTTTTGTTTTTTGAGGTGGAGTTTCACACTTGTTGCCCAGGCTAGAGTGCAATGGCGCGATATTGGTTCACTGCAGCCTCCACCTCCTGGGTTCAAGTGATTCTCCTGCCTCAACCTCCTGAGTAGCTGGGATTGTAGGCACCCGCCACCACGCCTAGCTGATTTTTTATAATTTTACTAAAGAGAGCGTTCCACCATGTTGGCCAGGCTGGTCTCAAACTCCTGTCCTCAGATGATCCATGCGCCTCGCCCTCCCAAAGTGCTGGGATTTCGGGAGTGAGCCACCACACCCGGCCCTGAGTTGTTTTTTTTTTCCATCTTCCTATTCAAACAACTCTGGTGTATACTTTGCATACTTGTTTAATTATTTCTTTCAACAAATATCTAGAAAATCAAAGGGGGTTTTGGTTGTTTTTTGTTTGTGTTTTTTGAAATGGAGTCTCATTCTGTCGCCCAGGCCAAGGTGCAGTGGTGTGATCACAGCTCACTGCAGCCTCGAACTCCTGGGCTCAAGCCCAGCCTCCCAAGTAGCTAGGACTACAAAGTGATGAGTTTACAGGTTTGAGTCACTGCACCCTGCCTGGGAAAGCTAAGGCATTTTTTTCCTGTTGTCATGCCAAATTACTCATTGGAATTATGATACAATTTTAAACTCCTTTTTTCAGTGTATATGATTACCCATTTCACGATAATCTTAGCAATGTTGGATCCTATATTCACAATATTTTAAATGTATAAATCTGATAAAGAGATAAAGATGATCTCATTTTCATTTGCATGTATTTGATTATTAATGAGTTTGAAAATCTTTTTATATATCATTTACGTTTCATATTTTATAACTAAGTGATTATGTCTTTCCCCCCCAGTTATTATATTTATCTCTCACTTAATTGGCTCACAAGGGCTCTTTACATATTAAAGGATTCTAACCTTGGTTCATTTTTGTACAATCATTTGTCCAGAATTGTTTAAGTAGATCTTGCTAAAGGTTGTACGTCTAGATTTTTTTTCCTTTGAGCCCTTGTAATTTTCTACATTTTAATGTTTGTAACCATATTCACTATTTTAAGATTTCACCATATAACACTGCTACCTAAAGTCTGCTTTTTTATTTCAGTAACTTTTTGGTTACCAAATAAGATATGTTTGTGGTCAAATCAAATACATTTTAAAAATATACCTATAATTTGACTAACATACAGTGCATCAGATAAAATTTGGTTGTTTTCCTTTCAGTAGTTTTTCTGTGTGTGCATATTAAGGTAACACTAGCTGAGGAAACCATTAAAGCACGAAATTATGAGGCTGGATGCAGTGGCTCACGCCTGTAATCCGAGCACTTTGGCAAGTCGAGGCTAGAGGATGGCTTGAGCCCAAGAGTTCAAGACCAGCCTGGGCAACATGGCAAAACCCCATCTCCATAAAAAATTAGCCAGGCATGGGTGTGTGCCTGTGGTCCCAGCTACCCAGGAGGCTGAGGTGGGAGGACCACCTGAGCCTGGGAGGTTGAGGCTTCAGGGAGCCATGATCATGCCACTGTACTCCAGCCTGTGTGACAGAGTTGGGACCCTGTCTCAAAAACAACAACAACAACAACACCCGCACCAAATTATGGCTTAACACAATAGAGTTTATTTCTCACTCAGTCCAACATAGGTGTTTCAGACTGGTGGTCACTCCACCGGTGGAGCCCTGCCCTGAGTGATTCAGCAGCCCAGGCCCCTTCCATTGGTTGCTCTTCCATTCCCTAGGGTCTTGGAGTCCCCTGTGTCTGTTTGGCAGATGGAGGAAGAGAGCACGGAGAAGGCACATCACTTTCCACCTCCCTCAGCCTAGAAGTGCTCAAATCACTTTCCATTCCATTGGTGGGAGTAGTTATATGGCACCACCTAGATACAAGGGGTGCTGGGGCATGTAGCCCCTGACTGAGCAGCTGCTTCTTGCTGAAAATCCCACACTCTGGAAAGAGAAGCATAAATATTTGTTGGACATTTAGCTGAATCTGCCAGAAGATACTGTATTTATAAAGCACATGATCTATATAATGCATATGCTATATATTTTTCTTCACAAAATAGAACCATCCTATTAATAGCTTTGAGTTTTAGCATAATTTTGTGAACATTTCCCTGTGTCTTTAAATCTTTTTCAAAAACATGAGTTTTAAAGCCGACATATTATTCCTTGTATTGATGTATCATTTCTTTATTTTTCTATTACAGTACCATTGGATTTTTCTAGATTTTTATTAGTATGAATATTGCTGCTATAAATGTCTCTGCACATAAATCTTGGAGTATTCCTCTGATTATTTCATCAGGGAATATTCTTGGGAGTGAACTCAGTATTAAGGCTAGTGATCCATATCACCAGATGGCCCTTCAGAAATGTGGACTAATTTACAGTCATCAGTAGCATCTGAGGATTTCTATTTCAGGGCATCCTTGACTATCGTGAACATTATAGTTGTTTCAGTTTTTGCCAATTTGATCGTTGAAAATAGTATCGTGTTGTTTCAGTTTGCAAGCTTTGCTTACTAATGCATTTGAACATTTTTCATGAGGCCATCAGTAATCTGTGTGTGTGTGTGTGTGTTTGTGTGTGTGAGAGAGAGGGAGAGAGTGAGAGAGAGAGAATTGCCTCTTTGGGTCTTTTCTCATTTTTATTTTGCAGTGCTCCATCTTTTGAAAAATCATGTACAAGGGATTTTTATGCGGTGTGTGTATTCACTTGTCATATGTTGCAAGTGTTCTTATCTAGCTTATTTTCATGTTTTTGCTTCATAACCTCATTTTCTTAGGTTAAACTCTGCAGTTGGAGCCCCGATGTGTGGTATTATACCCATTGAGTCTGCCCAGTTAACAGTACTCCTGAGATTAATAACATTTTAAAACGCAAACCAGACTCTTTTTCCTGACCTGTCATAGGGTTTGAATGTCCTTAATGTGAATTTTTGTTACCTGGGAGTGAGGGGGTTTAAACTCGTCATCAAGAAGATGGACTTGACAGGAAGGATTTGGGGCACTGGTCTAAGTTATCCATGGAGATAGTGAGATCAGCTTCTCCATGCCCCTTTCCTTCCCTAGGAACTTCAGAGAGGCAGAGAGGCAGGCTGAGAGGTGGCATCTGATGACTCCATGCTTTAACCAAGTGAGTAATAGCGGGGCCTCAGGGGCCATCTGGCCATTTTTCGTGTTAGAGCTTATAAAGAACACATGTGTTGGAGCATCAGGGACACAAACTGTGGCGCAGGGAAATTAAATGTAGTTTTAGCTCTGTCACTAACTAACTGACCATGTGACCCGAAGCAAATCACATGTTCACTCTGGGCCTCATTTACTCATCTGCAAAACGTGAGGGCTTGTTCTAGGTGGATGTGTTGGATGAGTGAATTCCAGAGCTGTGCAGTGGGCTTCTCAGTGAGGCCTCTTTTGCATTCACTGACTGCACTGACCTGCGTCGGGTGGGTGGTCAAGGAGCAGGGAGAAGTCTAGTCCCTTTGGTCTCCCAAATGATTTATGAAAGAAATCAATCTAGTATGTATCTGTTCCAGATAGAATGCAATCTAAATATGATAGTCCACTAATAAGATTAGGTGAATCTAATACGATTTTCCTCTAAAACACAAATACTGCACCACTTTTAATTGTAGTAGCCAAATTAAATTACTCATCCCAAATTAGATTTTCAGCAAACTTAATTTGAACATGAGCTCAGTACTGCAGGACCTGAGTAATTTTTTAAGATATAAAATAAATCAGTGGGATATTGGTATTGTTCCTCTGGGCTCTTCGGCGGTTACCATGAAAGAGAATAGGTAAACATCTGGAGAAAACAGGCAGAAGCAGAGCTGAGATAGACACTAATTCTTTGGCTTACCATTGAAGGGTTTTACCCCCTCCATCACTGTGACCCTCCCTGGTCTTAGAAGATAGGAAGCAAATAAAGGCAGACCCAGTAATCACTTTGGTTTTATTGCTTATGATTGTCTTTCTTCTTTTTGTTCCTTGAGTGATCTTTTTCATATCTTCACCTCCTTCAGGACACCAGGTAGGAAATGGTTCACTGGGTAGCTTATGGAGCCACAGGTTTCGTGAGGAGTTAGAAGGGTTTATAGCATTACTTTAACCATATTTTCATTCATTCCCTATCAGTTAGTTGATTACCTGAAAACCAACCCAGACTGGTTCAAGCAGAAGAAGAAAATGTATTGGCCTATGTGGTTGAACAATCTAGGGGTAGATTCCGGCCTCAGGTGAGGCTTTACCCAGGGCTCAGCTGAGATGCCCCAAAACCAGTTTTTCCAGTGGAAAAAAAAAAAGACAGCTTCCTTGATGGGCCACCCAAAGGTCTGGAATTGAGTTTAGTTGCCCCTGACTGGGTTCCCTTGGCCCCTGTGCTCCCCTGAAACAGTTACTGTCTGAGAGGATTGGACAAATTGAGAGATTCAGAAGACTCTTGGGAAAGTAGACAGGGTAGTTAGTGAAGCTGGGGAAGTAGGTACCTCCAAATCCTCACGGTGCATTATACAGAGCCTTCTGCAGTTCCAAGCACTTAGGCTTACACTACCTCATTTCAACTATAAATGACCCTGAGAGATAGATAGGACATGTTCATGGATGCGGAAGTAAAGGTGGGATCAACTTACTCAAGACTTTGCAGTGGTGGAGCTGGGACCAGACTCACTATCTCGTGAGTCTTCCACTTCTTTTCACTGTATCCTGCCTTCCTTCTAACTAATCTTTCCCACTGCTCCCTCCCTTCCATTCCTTTAGCACCATTGCAGTGTTCTTCATTAAATAGTCAGTCAATGGTTGTTAACTTGTTATTGAGTGACCAGTGTACCATTAGACCAAAGGTGGCCTTTCTGCTCATACTTAGTGAATATCATTATAGCAAAAACCAATGTGGTCGATTCCCAGTTATTAATACGTGGATCGTCCCCGGTAATTCAGTTTCTCTTTCTCTGAGTTATGGAGTGTTCTTCTAACAGAAGGATGAAATTTGTTTAGCTTGAGGGTAGACCTGTAAAGAGGAGCCAGGGAGGCCAGGCACGATGGCTCACGCCTGTAATCCCAGCACTTTGGGAGGTCAAGGCAGGTGGATCACCTGAGGTCAGGAGTTCGGGACCAGCCTGGCCAACATGGTGAAACTCCGTCTCGACTAAAAATAAAAAATTAGCTGGGCATGGTGGCGCATGGCTGTAATCCCAGCTACTTGGGAGGCTGAGGCAGAAGAATCGCTTGAACCCAGGAGACAAAGGTTGCAGTGAGCTGAGATTGTGCCACTGCACTCCAGCCTAGATGACAGAGTGAGACTCCATCTCAAAAAAGAAAGAAAAAGAAGAAAAAGAAAAAAGAAAAAAAGAGCCAGGGAAGTATGGGTGTGTGTGTGTATGTGTGTGTGTGTATGTTTATACAGACGTGCACACTGACTTGCATTACAGGGTTAAGTATGTTTCAATTCCCCACCTTCATAGTGTGGACAGCTGAAGTTAGATTTGATGCCCATCTTTCTATTCCAGTGTAACTCACATTTGTGAAGGTCACTATTGGCAAGGTTCCTATTTACTCAAGCCAAAGATGCGTGGATAGGTGTGCCATTTAGAAACACTTTCAGTAATAACTATACATTCACCTTTGATTTTTGAGAAAAATCACAGATACCTGTTATGTTCTTCCTGCCTGGAAAATGCTCCCCGTTCGGTATTACTTCTCAGGTTTTACCTCCGCTCCCTCTGGGAAGCTCTGCAGACTTTGTCCAGCTCTGTTGCTCCTTGTGCTGAAGTTCTGTGTCCCACAGTTAGCTCTTCACCATACCTGGTGGTTTGCGAATTGCTTTATTTGTGGGGGTTTTATCTCCTTGATCATTTGGTTCACTCTTTGAGGTCAGGGCTTGGTCTTACCGCTTTTCTTTTGTTTTTAGTCCTCCACAGCACATACTGCCATGCGAAGGAGAAGCGGTGATCAGTTGGTATTTGCCTCGGTGGCTGGGGCGGTTGCTGTCCTGAGGTCTCCGACATGACCAGCATTTATACATGGTTTTGCAGTTGTTCCATTACTTATCTACATTCTCTCAGTACAGTTCTTGGCACATATTAAGAGGAAAGTAAATATGTGTTGAATAATTGAATGATTCTCACCTCTACACCATCCTTGCCCACACCTCCACTCCCTCTCCCCATCAACTGAACCATAAATTCTTGGAAGGCATAGATTGTGTCTTATTGTGCTTTGTGTTCTGAATCTTGCCTAACAAACTTTCTGCCACATAGTAAATGCTCAGTAAATCCTCGTTGAATGAACAGATTATGTGGGTGGAGTACTCTCTTAGAGCCTGCCTTTGGGAGAGGTGGGTGGGAACTGAAGCTCTAAGAAGGAAGAGGGAGATGGAGAATGAATGGAGATGGCTTCAAGAGCTGAGTGTGCCAACCCCTCCAGCTTCTTCTGATTTCCAAGTTTGTTACAGATAAGGTGCTTATTTCTCCAAGAGGGATACATGGGGTCCTCTCCCAACTGGATGGCTGATAAGCTCGTGTCTGTGAAACAGTGGAATAAAGGATAGTGGCTGTGATTCTAGGTTTTATTTTAAGAACAGCAATAAAGCATTTTATTCTACCTGAGCCCCTTTGGAAACCTCCATGGTTGAGATGAGAGGATACAAGCCAGGAGGACAGCAGGAAGGACACAGTAGTCACCTCCCTGGGTTGACCACTTCTTCCTTTCCATTGGCCCCAGGGGTGCTAACGAGCAATGACAGTTCCACAAAGGATGGGAGAAAGAGTACCCAGTTATCAGGCAACTTCATAGCATCCCTGAGGATGGTATGGCTGGGTTGACCAACTCGTCCTGGTTTGCTTGGGACTGTCCTGGTTTTAGTATGAAAGTCCTGAGTTCTAGGATGGTTGGTCTCTTTAGATGCCACTTGCTCTCTTTTCTGCCCCCTGCAAAGCCATCTTTTGAAATTCCTTTTCCCTTTGCAATGTCCTTGACTTGGCCTCTTTCCTCCTCTTTCTGCCTTCTCCACTGCTTCTACCTGAGCCTTGCTTGCATTTCTAATAGAGGCCTTTCTAGAGCATTGCTCTGGATCGCTGTGGATTGACCAGAGTTCTTGGAGCTGGACATAGATGCACATGCTTCTCTTCCTCTCTGGCTCTGGTTGGCTCCTGAAATCAACTGAGATGTGAAAGCTTCTGTCACAGAGAGTTAGAATTCATCTGCCTTCAGGGGGAGTCGGCCCCCTGTGCAGGAGGCTGTTTGTGCACACGTGGTGCTCAGTAAGTGGGCAACCGATTAACTGGTCAAAGCAGCACCCCCTGCCTGGAAGGCAGGGGCAGGGGAATCGGTAGTGGCTGGGGTGGCTCTGCCCACAGTCCTGAGGTGACAGGTGCTGAGGTCCACCTCCTGTCTCCAACCTCAGCACCCTGGTCTGCTGCTGGCTCAGCCTGAGCATGAGCCCACCCTCTTCCTCGCAGCCTTCTTGCCCACACTTACCTCATTTTTCTTAGAACTCTCATTACACATATAGTAAGCACTGTGCCGTTAAGGGAGTGCAATTGTTTTCTTCCTTGTTTCTTGTGTGTTAGTCCTTCTCTGAAGGCTGACTTTATCTTTTGTTTCCTTTTTTTCCACCTCATAGCACCTGCCCATGCTGGGCCCAGAGTTGGCCCTCACTGGATGCATATTGTTGATTAATGGCACCTCGGTGATTTACAGGTGACAGGGGATGTGTAAGTCACTGGGTTGGTTTCCTATGGGCACCTGTATACAGAATATGCTGTCAGAATGGAGAAGGAGGGCAGGAATCAAGACGGTGCCCCAAGCCAGGCCTAGGATCTTGGGTGGAATTCAGTTATCCTGACTTCCAGTTTAATACTGGCATGGGAGAATGAGGCTTTTTATGCAAAGTGGATTTTTAGTTGCAAAAGACTGCACTTTATGTATTAGTTTAGCTTTACATTTTCTGGAACATTCTAATATAATTTAAAAACAAACACAGAGGATTAAATAATTCCAAGACTGCTCTGGAGAGGCAGTGAAATAGCTTTTGGTTTTTAGAATTTTCCTTTTTTGGAGGAGTTCTGAAGGAGGTGCTGCTGAGTCCTAGGCCTGTGTAAACCTCATTCTGTTATTTCTCTCAGCATTGCCGGTCTGTGAGTGAAGAAGCTGCACCAGCCTGCTGTTGGGAAGGTGGGTAAGCTGTCACTGGGCCTCACCTCTTGCTCGGGTCCTCTGTAACCAATGTATGCTTCTCCCGTGTGTGTGTATGTGTGTGTGTGCACATGCACAAATGTGTTTGCTTTCCAATGTAATTGCTTTACAAACTTACAGGAATAGTACATAGTGTTTGTAAAACATTTAGAAAGAAGTTAAAATTGTCTTTGCTCCTGCCTTTTGGAAAGAACCACAATGAACATTTTCATGTGTAGCTTTCTAGACATTTTTTTCTGTCCACTCACACATGCTCAGACACAGTAATGCATTTACAGAGATGAAATCATTATATATAGAATTTAGAGGCAGGCCTGCCTTCTTTTGCCTAACAATATATTATGGACATTTTCTCCATGATAATATAGGTTCACTTGCTCACTCATTCAGCAAATACCACATGCTTACCACGTGTCCAGCACTGTCCTGGGTGCTGAAGATATAGCAATGAACAAAACAGAGAAGATTCCCTGCCCTCATGGAACCTGTAATCTAGTTGGGCTAGACATGCAGTAACAAATAAGTACAATATGTAGAAGGTTAGAAGGTAATAAGTGCTGTGGGAAAAAAATAAGACAAAGAAGGTGGGTAGGGTGCATTTTGCAGTTTTCATCCAGGTGGTCAGGTGAAGTGGCAGCCTTTGAGCAAGCATCTGGTGGGGGGCTGTGACATTTAGCAAGCAGCATGTCCTGCCAAGGTGACTGCTTGGGTTGATCTGCAGTTGGGGCTGGAGGAGATATCCTAGCAGAGTCTTAGTAGCACTGGGCAGGAACCGCCCAGATGCCTTGTGGTAGAAAAGATGGCCCGGGCTTGAGCACTCAAGCATTTTCCTGTGTTAGTTGTTAACAGTAATGATCACCACCATTTATATACCATATTACAGTTTCCAAAGCAGCTTTTTACCTATCCTCCTGACCTCGTTGCTTACTAGCTACACGGTTTTGGGTAAATAACTCATCTTCTCTGGGCCTCAGTTTCCTCATTTACAAAATAATAGGATTTTTGTACAGCTGAAATGAGTTAATGGAAGTGATATGCATAGAGCAGTGCTGGTCAGAGCTCAGAAAGTTCAGCTGTTATTATGACTGCCTTTCCGTTACTACTGGCACCTGACCTGCGAAGAGGACATTCTGCTCAGTTTAGAGATGAGGAAGCTGAGGCTTGGGGAGTTTAACAGCACTAGTTAACAAGTTTGGAACAATAGTGGGGGCATGGAGCAGGGTCTCCAGTCTGGCCTTGAGACTCCAAGCAGTTCGGTCCTTGGGAGCACCTGCCTTTCTCCAGGTGAACGCAGCTCCTTCTCCTTCAGGTGGGATGCCCAGGAAGCGTTGGCCTCCAATTCCATGCAGTGCCTTCCTGCCTGCTCTGTCGGCCTGGGGCCAAGGGATGGTTGGGGCAGGAATAAGGAAGGATATGGCTGAAGCTTCCACAGGCAAGAACTGAGGCTCAGCAGCTCTGCTGGCCTCCCCACGCGGTCAGTTATGCGTCAGTCCGTCTTCCTCCCCCTACCCTCTTAGCACTGTAGGTGCCAGCTTATAAAGATCCTGCTTACAGGCTCAGAGAAGAACAAGACAATTTGTGACTTTTCTAGTTTTACATTTCTGACTTTGAGAAATACCCCTATCCTCATGTCTGTAGTAGATTGTTGAAAAACAGCACCACCACAAACACATACAACCAAACCCCATACCTGTTATCACTTGCCTCCTTCCAGAAGTTCTCTTGGCTGCAGCCTCACAGCTCACTCAGGCTTGTGCACATACGCTCTGTCCTTAGGATAACACACTTCAAAGGACCTGTGGCCTGAAGGGGGTTGGGAGGACCAGTGTCTAGAGTCAGTTCTCCTCCGAGGTCAGCAGGCTCCCCCTACAACCTCATAGAGCAGCGCGACACCAGGTATACCTTTTGTGTAGTTCTCTGAAATGGATCTCAGAGTGCATGTCACCGTGGAAACCATCTTATAAATGGTGGCTACATAGAGTTAAAATAACACTGTTAGTTTTATGCGGCAGGTACATTATGAGTTCAGAAGGCTTTTGTGGGCTGACCTGGGAGTCTAACCCTCATTTTAAATATGGTTTCTTGTGGCTACATGCTATCAGCATTTTAAAGAAATTACTTTTAAGCAAACCTTTAGAGCGAGTTGTTTGTAACTGGGAAATTGGCAGTCTATAATTTATATTATGTTTTCTTACCATCTTGTGGGTTTCTCATATCCCAGGACTCTCCAGATGGAGTGTAAGCTCCTGGGAGGCCCAGTGACAGATGGATGGAGTTGTGGCTCAACAGTAACAGGCTCAGAAATGGCATCAGGGTGTTGATATGAGTCAATGTGAGGTGGGGCAGCCAGATACTATAGCAGAGCATAGAATCCACCAGGAACAAGGTGACTGGTGTGGGAGCCATGTGTGAGTACCTGGCCCCAGAGAGGCCTTGGATGGGTCATTAGATTAGGATGGCATGCCAACTTTAAACCAAATCATGTGAGTAACAGTTGGAGAAATTGGGCCTAGAAAAGAGAAGACTTGGGAGCAATTTAATAACTGTGCTTCGTCACTTGAGGGGCCACCATGTGGTTTCCAAAAAAGAGACTGACGAGAGAGACATGTTAGTAACTTCAAGGAAAGAGTTTTACAGCCAAGACTGTTGAAGACAGGAAGAACTGCTTTATGAGACAGTGAGTCCCCATCATTAGAGGTATGCAAGGAGAGCTGGCTAGCCACTTGTGGATAACACTGTAGAAGGGATTTAAGCACTGTATGGATGATTAGGCTAGACTTTGACAGCATTTTCTTTTCTTTTCTTTTCTTTTTTTTTGAGCCTGGAGCTTCTGTGATTCTCAGGCATAGTTAGAAAATAGATTTAATTTCCCAGGCCTCCTGTTCAGGGTGATTAATAGTGGCTGCCTGGAACAGAGGTGAGAAGGATGTGGGACTCTTGGGTCTACTAGCAATGTCTGCCATGAGTAGGGGCTGGAGTTGCAGGATACCCACTATTTGCCATCTCCTTTACAGTGGAGATTGTCCAGTGGTGACCTTTGACCCCAGGTCAAGCCAAAGTATAGGGTGACCAACCACCCTAGTTTGCCTAGGGCTGAGGGAGTTCCTGGGACATGGTCTTTCAACTTTAAAACCAAGACAATCCCAGGAAAGCTAGGATGAACTGAATGCCCTAAGCGGAAGGGACAGTCATCAGCAACTGCGTGTTGGGCTTTCATTTCTGCTCAGGACAGTGGGAATCTTTACCTCCTCAGAGCACTGGCATGGGCCTCTGCCCTCAGGGGGAGCCCAGTAGACACATGCAGAATAAATGAGTTGGATGCAGTTCCTGGAAAATGGTTGCAGTATCCTTGCAATTAATTAATTTGTTTAATTAAGTAAAATGATTTCACTAATTATATGTACAGGAGATTGCACATTTCATTAAGCCGAGCAGATGGCTCTACTAATAATTACCAAAGCCTGGGATTGTGGGAGGGGAATGTCTATGTATGACTTGATATTGAACATTCATTATGCCATCCTTCTTACAAAGGAAGTTGAGACTCCTACCCCATCACATCCAACATGAACTGATGAAGAAATGTTTAGTGTTCTTGTAGTAGTGCCAGTGGATTATGGTAACTTGCCCTTTGGGACTGCTGGTCATTTTTTTTCGTGAAACAACTGGCAAGTAAAGGCTGTGGGCTCCATGGCTTTGGAAGAGGGAGCCATGCTAGGGGTAGACCTGGGGCCTTGGCATCATTCAGACCTTTGCTAACCCACTGAATTGTGATAGTAGGCCAAGTCTCCCAGAAAAAGAACAGGCACCCATCTCTGAGGTAAACATACCTTCCTGGGTTGCATTGTCCAAAACCTTGCTCTACGCCTGCTCCCTCCTGTTCCCGGGGCCTTAGACTCCGGGGCAGACCCATGAACAGATCCTCGGCAGAATGAAAATCCTTAGCAGACATACACACAGACCACCCAGTGCCTGTACTTTGGTGTGATTCAGCTGTCACAGAGTTGAATGTGATTCTTGAGTGTTTTCACTATGGTGATAAGAATGATGCTCATTGATATTTGGCCAGTACTGAGGATCTTGTTTGGGCCAGAAACTTCTTACAGTTATTTGTAATCCTTGAAACACCCTTGCAGGGCAGGTATTAATCTACAGATGAGATGGCCGAGGCTTGGAAGAGTTAAGTAATATGCTTAACATCACACAGAGCGGGGTTCAAACCTAGAGCTTTCTGTCTGTCAGTCCTCTTGTTTCTTCCACTCCTTGCTCCGCTGGTAAGTGATTTGAGGTCATGAAAACCCTGCACCCAAATCTGGAAGGATGTGGGGGGAATCCAGGCTGTGTTCTCCACTGTACACGGGGGACTGTTTTGGAACCCAGGAAGAAATGATGGGCCCTTGGCCCCTTAGAACTGGCAGGGTCCTTGGAGTAACTAGTTCTAAACAATTTCCCAGCACCCATAGGCATGAAGATCACCCCTTAAAATCCAATCAGCTAGGGGTGTTATGGAGGAAGGAGAAACTTCCTCCATCAGAGAAAGTTCTAGAAAGAAATTGATCATTTCAGAAGAATCCTCTGAGAATGTTAATTTACTGCGATCTGAGAAGAGTTTTCTTTTTTGCCGCTGGGTGCGGTGGCACACGTCTGTAGTCGCAGCTACTCAGGAGGCTGAGGTGGGAGGATCGCTTGAGCCTAGGAGTTCAAAGTTGCAGTGAGTTATGATTGCACCACTGCACTCCAGCCTGAGTGACAGAGCAAGACTCTGTCTCAAAATAAATAAATAAAATAAATTGAGGAGTTTTCTTTTTTGCCCATATTTATCACTCAGGAAAGGTGACCTTTCTGAAGCTTCTTATGTGGTGTGTGAAGAAGAAACAAAGCTAATACGGGGGGAAAATGCTACTTTTAAAAGAATAAATAGATTAATCTATGGGCTGATAAGTAGACGTTGAACATGGCAGCAATATTCATGTTTTGACAAATTGCACATTGCCACCAGAAAGAACCCTCAACCGTCTGTGAATGGGCCTGGTGAACCCTCATCCCTCTCTCTGCCTGCCCTCCCTCCAAGGTAGTCTTGGGGGTACTTAACACATCCCTTAAAGCTGTCACTCCACACTCCTTATGAGCTAGAGCAGTAATGGGGTGGTGTGTCTGAGTCACAAAAAAAATGTGAATCATTCTTGAAATGAGGGAGCCCTGAAAATATGAGTAATTTCTGTAGCAGGTACAGGTAAGAAATGGTTGTTTGGTTGTGACTGGCAACTGCTATGCAATTTCTGATTTTGACTTGATTGCTGTTGTTTTGAGGATAGGACAAGACTTAGCCCTGGGGTGGGTGCAGGGTGGAAAGACGTGGTGCCATTTGGACACAGTTCTTGCCTTTGAGCACTTCATACCCTAAAAGAGGTCAAGACATGTTGATGGTCGCAGAAAACATGTTGGTTTGAATATGTATTAAGTAGTAAACTGAAAGATAGAAATCTTATTCAGCATTAAAATAGACTTTTCTTAATCACGTATCTGATTAAATTCTGGTGGCTCCAGGGCTCAGCCACAGGTAGTGTCCAGATTCTCTCAGTCTACCTGGGAAAGAGCACTGGGCTAATTCATACATTGTGTTTCTGTTTACACATCTGTTCTCAGGAGAGCTACTTGTTCAGGGCCTGTTGTCTTTGTTGATCTGTCAGTCTGCATGGGTTTGGCTGAGGCTTGATACCTGCTATGAAATTCAAGGTTTGTTAAATAGAAACATAAACACACTTGTGAAATATCCTTATGTGCTTTTATTAGCTCAGAAAAGTAATCCAAGAAGTAAAGAAACAACATAATAGAATTTGCTTATTGTTTTTTGCAGCTTTGGGTACAATTCGTAGCTATTGAGTTTCCTGGGTTCAGAAGTAGTTGCTGCCTGAGGACTGATTGGACATTAAGACTTGATGTTTCAAAAGTGGGTTGGTTTTCCGACCCTGCTATTATATTGTGAGTTGGGGACGGAGGAGATGAATAGGAAAAGATGAAGGAAAAAAGGAGCAGAGGGTGGTACAAAAACTGATGGAAACAGTAAATAGGCAAGGAGGTGAAGCAGATGGAAGGAGAGACGTGGAGGACAGGAAAGACCATAGGCATGCTTTTGGCTGTAAGTAGCAGAAAAACAAAGGAATGGTGATGGAGAAACACATTTTCTCATAAACCAGAAGTTTGGATAGAGGCAGTGGTTATCTGGTATTGACCTGCAGTTCAGCAGTGACCTCAAGGATAGATAAGAGTTTTCAGTCTTTCCGCTTTGCCCTTCTTCGTGTTTTGGCTTTTCGGCCGAGTGCTGCTGCTTTCGTCAGTCCTGGCAGTAGCATGTGTTCACCCCTAGTTGCAAGAAAGGCTGGGAAAAAGATGATTTAGCTTTTCCAGCCTCTCTAGTGGAGGTGGGCAGGAGAGGTTAGGGATTACTGGTGGGTTAGTCAGCCAACTGTCTGGCACAGACCAATTGTGAAAAAAATATAAAGATAAACAAATATACATTGAGTCACCACCACAAAAAGCTCACGTTCCTGAGAAGTTCCTGAGTGTGGGCAGTGCAGAGAGTCCCATGTGGGAACCCTGGTATTATGGTGCGGAAGGACCTCTGGTAGGTCCCATTCTAGCCACATGGTTGATTACTACCAAGATCTGGATGCAGGATGGCAGGCTGGGTGCAGGGAGAGCCGTCATAAATCCTGAAGGACTCCTAGGAATGGTGTGTGAGGAAGGGAGGTGGCAGAGGGAGCACCACGTGAGTCTACCTTTGATCTGGTTTCCAGCTCATAATTCTCAGAAGTAACACTGCTGCTTTCCAGAGGTGAACAGGAGAGTGCTTGTTAATTTCTTTAAAAATTCCATTCTAATGAGCATATGCATTTAATTTAGTACTCACTTTCTGGCAGTAGTTCTTAGAGCCTGACACTTCTTTAGCACCATTTTGAATTTCATACCTCTGTGCACATGCGTGTGTGCGGGCGTGCATCCCCCTACCCACGTCCCGTGACCCAGGTCTCCTTTTCTTCTCTCTGCCTCAGAAGAATCCCAGTCTTGTTCAGAAGACCGGTTGCCCATTTCCCTACCCCCAAGTTTCTTCCTTCCCTCTCTCCTGTGCCTGAGCCATATGGTGACCCTCCTTTCCCCATGGTGCCCAGCAGAGGCCAGCTCTGACACGTGGCTAGTGCTGCTTTTGGTCGTTTGGTATTGTTTTGGGTCCTGCCACTTCCTCACAGCAGTGAGCCAGGTGCCTTTGATCAGAAAAATGTAAGCCAGCTGATTTCAATGTAACTCCTCTGGAGCAGGACTTCCTAGACCTTCACGTGCCCACAATCACCTGGGGGCTCTTGTTAAAATCCAGACTCTGTTTCAGGAGGTCCAGGGTAGGGCCTGAGACTCCGCATCCCTAACATGCACCTAGGTGCTGCTGCTGCTGTTGCTGGTCCAGGTAGCAAGGGTCTCAACCCTCAACCCTGGGGATCTTTTAATAAATATCAATGTTTGGACCTTATCCTAGATCAGTTGCCTCAGAATCTCTGGTTGATGGGGCCTGGGCATCAGCCTGTGAAAGCTCATCGGGAGGTTTTCATATGCCAAGGTTGAGAACCATTGATCTGCGGCTTTCCCACCTCCATGCCTTTGCTTATGCTATCCCTCCTGCTTAAGCTCCTCCCCTGCTTCCCCATTAGAAGGCTGTGTGTCCTTCAAGGCTCTGCTCAGAGGCCATGTCTCCTTGAAGCCATCTTGATGCCCACTGTTGATATCACTTCCCCTCCACTGAGCTCTCACATTACGCGTGCCTGTCTGTGGCTCATTTTGCCTCCGGATAGTGGTTTGAGCGTGGCTGCCTCTCCCAGTAGACTTGGTGGGCCTTGAGGATGGGGATCACACCTGCTCATCTGCAGGCGGGGACTCAATAAATAGGAGCAGAGCAGATTGTTCCTGAACCCAGAGAAAAACCGCAGGGGCCTCAGACCTGCTCCAGCTAACCTCCTTGAGGATCAGGAGCGGTATTAGAACTTGAGCCTGGCTTTTCCAAGAGTAAAAGACCAAGTGGAAAAAGATGCTTCAGCTGTTGAAGAAGATGAAGGGTATTACAGTTCCTGCTCCCTGGCCCTCGGGCTGCACACAGCTGGTCCAGCCCCACTCTGAGAGGGGTCTTCTGGCCCCTACCCATTGTCCTTCCCTGACCAGCTGCCTCCCTGCTGGGTCTTGGGCAGCGTCCAGGGTATGTCCAACTCCTTCATGCTCCCACTGCCACCAAGGAGCTCAGGGTGCCCATGGACATGCCTCAGTGACCAGAGTCTCTCTGCATCTTCCTGCCTCCTTTCTTCCCACCCCATTCCAAATGCCCACTCTTCTGCACGCACCCCCTGCCCCCCGCAGCTCCTATCATGAGCTGCTCTCTCTGGCGCTTGCTAGAGCCAAGGCTCCATAGAGCCGGAGCCACGATCATGCCATCCTCCGCCGCAGCCCCAGTGCCCTCACACAGCCTACACATGGCAGGAGCTTAATAAATACGAGCTGAACAAACACTAAGCAGCAGCCATGAGACAGGCCTGTGAGGCTTCACCAAGCTCCCTGATGTGTTAGTGGCAGAGCTAGAATTTGACCCAAGGCTGCTGACTCTCCAGTCCCGGGTGCTGTGAGTTTTCCCTGAGCCACCGTTTCCTTACTTAGTTCATGCTCCTCCGCCAAGTTGGGAGGTGAACGGTCTGATAGGATGAATCTACATTTGCTGGTTAAGTTCTGTGAAGGGCTTAGAGTGGGGAAAGAGGGATGATCCCTCTCTTGGGACAAATAATCTCTTAAGATTATTTAAGCAGGGGATGATAGCTTGTTTACTCCGGTGCATCTTCAGTAGGTGAAATAAGGCAGTCTGCAGAAGACATACCTCCTGACCAAGGTTGGGAGGTAGAAATGGGCATTTATGGCTCCTGACTCTATGATGATCTCAGAGGCTGTAAAGGTGGAGCAGCAAGGAGCTCCTCCAGGGAACCTCTCAAGACCCAGGGGATGAGGCATGATGGTCGGGGATGGTGGTGCATGGCAGGTTAGTGGGGCAGTGCAGAAAGGACAAGAAAGAAGAACAGGTGCTCCTGGATCCTGCTTCTTTCTTCATTCATCATCAACTTCCCTCTCATGTGTTCTTCCATTCATTCATCCATTCATTCCGCATTCACTCATTTCATAAATGTTTATTGCATTCTGACCCTGCTAGTCCCTGGGGATACTGCAGCACAAAACAGGCCTTCGTGGGGATTAGGCCTGCGCTGTCCCATGTGGTAGCCACATGTGGCTATTTAAATTTAAACTCACTACAGTGAAATACAACTTGAAATTCAGTTTCTCAGTCACACCAGCTAGACTGCAAGTGCTCAACAGCGGCTAGTGGCTACCAAGTTGAACAGCACAAATGTAAAATATCCCCATCGTTGTGGAAAGTTCTGCTGGTCAGCACTGGCTTAGAGTCTTGCCAGGGAGAGAAGTGTTTATTACATAAACAGGCAAGTAAATAATGTCAAGCCATGGGAAGCAACAGGAAGATGGAGTAGAGGAAACTATGTCAGCACGCAATGGAAGCTAGACTTTGTTTTGGGGAGTCAGAGAATGTGCCCCTGAGGAAGGGATGATTGAGCTAGAGTTGGACCAGGTGCTGACCAGGTTGGCAGGACAGTTGAAGAGGAGGGCAGAAGAGAGAGAATCCCAAAGTTAATGCACATGAATAAGTGCCTAGACTTGGTGCATCAGTGGCATTCAGTCAATGGCACGCCCCATCCGCACTCATGTTGACTAATCCAGAACCATGTGGAAGCACAGGCCCTGGCTAACCCTGCCAAGCACAGACACTAGATCCAATTGGCCTGGGTTCAAAACCAGCTTCTTAAATCTTTAGTGCCTCAGTTTCCTCCTCTGTAAAATGGGCATTGAAATATGTCCATGCCAGAATTGTCTTGTGGCGTTACTAAATGAGTTGATACATGTAAGGCACCTGGGAGTGCCTGGTGCACTGTGAGTACTAGTAAGTGTGGTTGGCTGCTGCTGTTACTGTTGCTGTGCCCCTGCCTTGTCAGCAGAGGGGATGCCCTACCTCGAGCTATTGGTAAAATTAAGGAATACCTCATGCTATCCCCCAGCATCTGGGAGCAAGGCTTTCAGGCTCTTGGCTCTCACTGCCAGGTGAGCCAAAAGTTCTGGCTTGCTGGTATCCCCTTCCCACTCTGCCCAGTTCCTTTTTCTCTGTTTTACTCTCCATAGCTGATCTCATAAATACTTAGTTTTGCTGTGTAGAAGGCACAGCACTTGAAGCCACTTCTGTGGCCTGTGTGCCACGTAGCCTGATAATGATCCAGCAAGATCATTTCTAGGGCTAATATGCCGATTCATGTTGTTATGGATGTTAGGACTCTAGAGATGGAAGGGACCATCTGGGCCAATTCCCATCACCTCACCAAAGATGAAGCTCAGTGAGCCAGGAGGGACCATCAGGCTGGAACCCCAGTGCTGATTCCTGTCCCCGATGCCTCACTCAAGCACACGTGGGGCTCCTTGGTGCTCTGCCGCTCACTCAGAGCTTTGAAACATCAGAGGGAGCATCTTCCCTTCCCTGTTTCACCTTTGTGGTTCCTGGGCCTGTGGCTGTGACCTCCCTTGCCTGGGTGGAGCCTTGGAGTTTAATTCTCTTACCCATGAGGGAGTTGGGGCCATAAGCAGAGCCATGCCATGTTCCACTCAGCCCCTCTCACAGGTCCACCCTGTTCCCTGCTCAGAACCAGCTATTTTCATCACAGAGTAACCAGTCTAAGGGACAGGCCTAGATAGAGGATTTGCTGTGTAGAATTAGTCCCAGAGACACTTTTTTTGCTAACCAAATCAAAATATCACCACGACTTGCCCTATACAAGCAATTCTTTCTTGTAATGAGATTTGATCAATGACATTGGCCTGTGTAATACTGTTAGGTAATACAATTGTTGAGACTATTAGAGTTGGGACTTCAGTTGCTTTACAACTTTGGAACAGGGTAGTAATGGTGGAAGTTGTTGCAGAGCCTGAGATGTCAGTTGTTCTGGAAGGAGGAGTGTCTCAGTGGCTGCTACAGGCAGATCTCCTGGGGTTCCTGTCTTAAGCTTTCCATAACCCTGACACAACTCAGCTACCTTCAGATCACTGGGTGCCAGGTCCCACTTGCCTTCCCAAAGTTTTCTTTGTTTTATTTTTAGATTTCTATATTTGTCCCATGAGGGTGGCTTATGTATAAGCTACACAAAAACACACACACACATATATATATTCATGTGTATGTGCATGTGTATATGTACATATACATATACATATATGTGTACATACGTGTGTGTGTGTGTGTGTGTGTGTGTGTAGTGTATGTGTGTGGTCTTTTTTTTCCTAGTGGCCTCAGCTGAAAGCTCACCTAGGACTACCAGTCTAAGAGAAAAAATATCTTTGCTGCATCCTTGAAATTTTCCATTTCTTGATGACCAGAAGGTGGTCGGATGTGGCCGTTGGGATTCGTCACTGCCCTGGGCCTCAGTGTCTTTGTATCCGTTGGTGGAGTCTGTGGGGCAATTTCCTCTTCAAGTTAAGTAAGCACTCGAGGGGCCCATGTGGCCCTCGGAGGCTCCTGTATTTTCCTCCCATGGAGGCTGAAGTTAGTCATGGGGCCCCTTTTGGATCTTACAGTTATTTTCCACCCCTGTGCCTGTTGGAATGGGGGGCAGTCCCTTTACCTACCAGTGGTGGGAACCTTGCATCCTTGTCCAGAGACCAGAGGTCAGTTCTCAGGCCAAGCCCAAGCCTTTCTCCAGCTGCGCAGGGTGCAGGGCAGCCTCTGACTGATGCGGCCACCGCAGATTTGTGTCAGGTGCAGTGAGCAGCCACAGGGAAGAGGTCCAGTGAGTCAGGTGCCTGATAGGACAACGTTCCGGGTCCTTTGGATAACAAAGGGAAACATCCCCTGGGATGTCCGACTCATGTCTCATGAAGAGGCTTGTAACTTACTCTTTCAAGTAAGCTCTTAAGCATTGAGAACAGTTGTGAGCGCCCTAAAACATCATTTGACCCAAGCTCTCCAATTTATTTGAAATCCCAGAAAAGCGAAAGTGATTCATATGAAATGAGCTTCTGAAAATTGAGATACATTTTCATTTGCTGATTATTTTAATCAGGAAGCATCTCAGTTAACACCAACCAGCAAACGATCCATCTCTATTAAGGAACAAGACCTTAACCGATGAATGTGTGCTTTTGCACTGAGCTATTGAATGCTGGCTCATTCTGCTGACTCACACACTCAACTTCCCTATTAACCTCCAACCCATCACTTAGTAGGCTCTTCTTACGGGTAAAGATTGGTTCTTTTACCTTCCAACAGTCCCTGGAATAGTATGGGAGCTCCCTATATAATTTTTTGGGAAAATGACCCATAAAAGTAGGCCAGTTTCCTCTCCTTTCCTCTCAGCTCAGAAGGGCATGGCATTTTTGTTCTGTAGAAGACCCTCCTCCGTAGAAGACCCTCCTCATACCCAGCTGGAAACATTGGCCCTTCGTCACCTTGATCTTAATGGCCAGAATGCAGACTGCTGGAATTCTTAGAAAAAGTAAGCACAATGACAGGAAAATACTGACTGTCCCAAAGAAACCAGTGGAAGAAGTCTTCTTTAAATAGGCCCTAAGTAACCGTGAGGGCCCTTTGAGCACATTTACAGAGGTGAAGGTTACAGTGGTGGGAAGAGAGGTCCTATTATAGAAAAGGAGCAAGGGCTATCTCCTTCCTTTAGAGGGGACCATCCCTTCCATCAAGGAATAGAGACTGCTGCCCAAGGAAGCTGCTCTCCAGCCCCAGCCATGGGAGGCTGCTCTCCCTTTCATTGTTGCTTGCACCCCAGGGAGGTGAGTTGGCATTGCCCCCAGCTTCACCTCCGAGAGAGCCTTGACTGTCCAAGGAAACCTTGTAATAGCTAGTCTGTTTTCTGAGTTGTTTTCTGTCTATAGGGATCTAAGGAAATGTTGGAGTGGGCACCGCGTTCTTGGGCTTGGCCCCGCCTGCTACACCTCACCTTGTCTCTCTCAGGGCCTCTTGTTTGCAAGGCTGTCATGGCTGGTTTAGAATGTTTCCCCGCTGGGCGCGGTGGCACACGCCTGTAATACCAGCACTTTGGGAGGCCGAGGTGGGCGGATCACCTGAGGTCAGCAGTTTGAGACCAGCCTGGCCAACATGGCGAAACCCTGTCTCTACTAAAAATACAAAAAGTACCCAGGTGTGGTGGCACATACCTGTAATCTCAGCTACTCAGGAGGCTGAGGCAGGGGAATCGTTTGAACCCAGAAGGCAGAGGTTGCAGTGAGCCAAGATCACACCACCGTACTGTAGCCTGGGCGACAGAGTAAGACTCCATCTCAAAAAGAAAAAAAGAATATTTCCTGATTTTTCAGGGCAAGAATGGCCAGTGACACATATTTTACAAACTCCTCATTCCTAACTCTTTGGGGCAGAGCTCAAGGGAAAGGGAGGCTGGGGGTGGAAGGGCCAGCCACATGGCCCGCGTGGGCCTGGGGTATGTGTGCCCCTGGCAGCGCTGCTAGGCCAGCTTCACCTGGAACTCAGTGGCATGGAATGTCAGAGCTAGAAGGAACAGCACCCAGCACCCAGCCCTGTGGCTCACAGGGTGCCCTCCCCTGGCTAATTAGTGTCTGATTCTGCCCCAGCTGCTGAATCCCAGCCTCTTCCCCGCTTAGGGATCTGCAGCACCCAGTGGCCCTTCATTCTGCGGGATCTATACCTCTGACCCCTCTGACTTAGTGGTTATCCGGTGGGCGATCCCCAGGGAACGGGCTGGTACTTGGGGTGACCTAGTTGCCAGTCAGTTAATCCCGAGCAGGAACCTCCACTCGCACATCTGCAAAGTGCAGGCAGGTGGAGGGAGGGAGAGTCTCTGCAGGTCTTAGTCTCCTGCCTTCTGACTTTCAGTTAGTCCCATCTCTAGCCTCATCTCAGTCCCCACCCTGCACTCCCCTGGCTTCCTTGCTGCTTCTCTCACTCTCTGGACTTCACCAAGCAGATCACATTCTTCTTATGCACATCCTTCTCTGTGAGTGTCCTGTCCTGCTGCCTCAGTTACCACTCCCATCCATTTGTGGTCTCCCTATAATTTGTTGCTAATTGCCTCTTTCCTGTAAACCGTCATTTTAGTGGAATCTGAGAAGGGAAAGGAGATAAAGACATGCTTTCAATCTACCGTCTTTGAATCAGAAGTCCTACAGCATATTTTGGAGGAGCTTTGTCGAATTCCATTCTATGCCTGTGCCTTCTATTTACCCAGTCTCGTGTTTTGCACACTTAGATTGTTCCTCCCTACAGCTTCCCCGTTAAAAAAAACATCTGGTCGGGTGCAGTGGCTCACACCTGTAATCCCAGCACTTTGGGAGGTCGAGGCGGGTGGATCTCTTGAGCCCAGGAGTTAGAGACCAGCCTGGCCAACATGGTGAAACCCCATTTCTACTAAAAATACAAAAATAAATAAATAAATTAGCTGGGCACCATGGCATGCACCTGCAGTCCCAGCTACTCAGGAGGCTGAGGTGGGAGGATCACTTGAGCCCAGGATGTTGAGACTGCAGTAAGCCAAGATTATGCCACTGCACTCCAGCCTAGGCAAAGAATGAGACTCTGTCTCAAAAAAATAAAAAATACAACAATGTTTGCATGAGTATCCTTGCAGCTAAATCTTTAGGCATATTCCTACAGGTGAATTTCTGTAAGAATTTCTGGGTCAAAGGATATGCAAAACTTTAAGATGTTTCTGGTGCATATTGCTAAAATTCTCTTTATAAATATGATAACTAATTTGCATTCCCATTAGCAATAAATGTGTCCACTTCTTTACACCTTTGTCAGTACTGAATATCTTTGAACCTATGTTTTTGTGTATATAACATGAATATTCTGTAGACTTGACTCCAGGGTCAGAGGGCATGCATGTTGAAATTTTGATAGATACTGGTGAGTTTACTAGCTTTTTCCCCCTAGCCAGTGTATTGGCATACATGTTTCCTCCACATTCTTGCCAACACTGCAGTATGATTTTAAATTCTTTTCCAATTTGACAGGCTATTTTAATCTGCATTTTACTGATGTCTCCTGAGGTTGACTATTTCTTGTGTGTTCATGCCATTTGTGTTTCTTCTCTTGTGGCTTGCCTATAACCCATTTTTTTGCTCGTGTGGTTATTTTCTTATTGATTTCAAAGCTGTCTTTATATATTAAGGATATTAATATGCAGAGGGAAATTAATTTTTTCGTTTTGTTGACATTGAATTTATTTACCCCTTTTTGTTTGTTCATACATAGAATCAATACTTTTTTTTTCCCCCAAGACAGAGTCTTGCTCTGTCGCCCAGGCTGGAGAGCAGTGGTACAATCTCGGCTCACTGCAAGGTCTGCCTCCCGGGTTCATGCCATTCTCCTGCCTCAGCCTCCGGAGTAGCTGGGATTACAGGCGCCCCCACCACGCCCGGCTAATTTTTTGCATTTTTAGTAGAGATGGGGTTTCACCATGTTGGCTAGGCTGGTCTCAAACTCCTGACCTCATGATCCGCCCACCTCAGCCTCCCAAAGTGCTGGGATTACAGCCGTGAGCCACCGTGCCCAGCCAAATCAGTACATTTTCAACGGTAAAATGTCTCGGTCTTTTTCCTGTGTAGTGTGCCTCCAGAATGACCTGTTCCCGAACTTCCTTTATATCTATATATTCGCTGGACCTGAGGGATGGGCTGGCTGCAAATGCATCTGTGACTGAGTTCCAGGTTGTGATCCTCAGTTCCTTCAGAAGACAGTGGACAATTCTTCTGGGGGTTGCTTAGGCACGGTGGCAGCTGGAGGGTGGGAGGTTGGTCCTGGGGAAGAGGCAGTCCCCACCTGAGCCTTCACATTATTGACCTGGGAGCTGCTGGCTGGAGCGTTCCAAGACCCACCTTGAACTGGAGCGATTCAGAGGCAGAGATTGAATGTCAGGAGGGGGCATGATGGGGATGAGCATGGCTGTCATCTCAGCAAGCCCCCACCCCACCCTGGCCACTGACATCTGGCCTCAGGGAGTAGTGTTGGCCACTAGGACCATGGGAACCAAGCTGGTGTCAAGAGGAGGGGCTGTTCCTGTCCAAGTCCGTTCTGACCAATTGAGCCTAAGTGGGAGTGAGGACAAGACGAGTTGGACCACCTGACCTGATTCAATGCTTTATCCAAACCAGCACTGAGTCAAGTCAGGTAGTCCAACTTGTCTTGTCCTCACTGTGATAACAGCACAGAATAGCCTCAAATGACACAGGACAGTGTTGTTTCAAGGCAGGGCCTTAGCTTCCAATGTGTGTTTCTCCCAGTGCTTGCTATATAGATTCGCCTCTTTCCTCCCCACTTATCATAGTGACTTCCCGGAGACCTGGTCAGGGAGGAGGCTGACTGGGGTGGATGCTGGTAAATTTCTCTCAGGTGAGCATGAGCTGGGGGCCTTCCAGGATCAGGGTGAATTGGAGCCTCATTTTCCCCAGCCGGTTGCCCATGGCCTAGAAAGTAAACTCAGTTTTAGAAATGTGTGAACAGTGCTGTAGGGATTTTTTTTAACTTTCAGCAGAGCAGATTCTTCAGCCCTATTTAAGATGCTCTGAACAAACCTTCAGAGTGGCCCTTAAGACTCTGCTTAGCATGGCATTGCTGTTCAGACAGACAACTCCACATTTCCTCCCAAAAATTAGGGCTAGGAACCAAATACCGCATGTTCTCACATGAAAGTGAGAGCTAAGTGATGAGAACTCATGGACACAAAGAGAGGAACAACAGACACTGGGGCCTGCTTGAGGGTGGAGGCTGGGAGGAGGGAGAGGAGCAGAAAAAATAACTATTGCCTCCTAGGCTTAGTGCCTGGATGATAAAATAATCTGCACAACAAACCTCCGTGACACCAGTTTACCCACATAACAAACCTGCAGAGGTACTCCTGAGCCTAAAATAAAAGTTGTTTTTTTGTTTGTTTGTTTGTTTTTTAATTAGGGATAGTTGGCTGGGCACAGTGGCTCATACCTGTAATCTTAGCACTCTGTGAGGCGGAGGCGGGCAGATCACCTGAGGCCAGGAGTTCAAGACCAGCCTGGCCAACACAGTGAAACCCCATCTTTACCAAAAAATACAAAAATTAGCTGGGCATGGTAGCGTGCACCTGTAGTCCCAGCTACTCAGGAGGCTGAGGCACATGAGAATCGCCTGAACCCGGGAGGCGGAGGTTGCAGTGAGCCAAGATTGTACCACTGCCCTCCAGCCTGAACAACAAAATGAGACCCTGTCTCAAAAAAAAAAAAAAAAAAAGAAAGAAAGAAAAAGAAAATTAGGGATAGTAATTGGGGCATGAAAACCATAATAAGGTGGATTGTGATAATTACAAAACTACCACTTCCTCTGGCCCTCAAACACACCGAGTTCACACCTGTCCATCTCCAAGCCCTCACCCCCACCATGCCTTCTGCCTGCCCTGCTGTTCCCCAGCTCCAGGAGGGCTGACTCCTTTCCTTCACTTAGATCTTGCTCCAATGGTGCATCCTCAGAAGAGTCTTCTAAAACAACTGTTCTCTCTCCTCTTATCTTACTTGGTTTTCTTAGCAGTTACAACCTCAGCAATAACAGTACCAACTATGTTCCAGACAGTGTTGTTAAAGCTTTTCGTGTGTGAATGCATTTGATCCTCACGTTAACCTTATAAAAGAAGAAGACTGTTACTCTGCAGACAAAGAAACCAAGTCCTAAGGGAGGTTAATGGGATAGCTCGGCACTCGGAGTTATCTATTCAGTAAACGTTTATGGGGTCCTCATTATGGACTAGGCTCTGTGCTAGGATCTGGGGATACAGAAGTCATCATCTTTGCATTCCAGTCATCAGCAAACCAACGTTCCAAGACCAGATTGGGTCAATGACTCCTCTCTGAGACCCCGGACAAATTGCCTACACAGATACCTGTGCTTTATTTTACCCATCTGTAAAAGGGAATTAAAGGGACAACCCCCAGCTCCTCCTCTGGGTTGGTTCTTGTGAGATATATGGGTGAAACCACTTTGGGACATGCACAGTGGGGCACAGATGCAGGATGTCACTGGGTATACTTATTCTGGGACCAGGGAACAACAAGCACATCCCCTTCTCCTACCTGGATGAAGGAATGGTGGAGAATCAGCCACTATTGACCTCTATCCTGGTGGTATTAAGTTTATCAGATTCCCCCCACCTCCCGCCCTTACTTGTGGGCATTGTATAACATCAGAGGATTCTTAGATGTCTCAAGGATTCTGACTAGAATCTCAAAATCATTTTTTGGCCTGCTGCTAGAAGAGATACTATGCTTCTACACCTGGCCAGTAGGATTATGGCATTTGAGGCAACAGTCCCGTATGATTGGAAGTGGTTGGTTATATTGTTTGGAAGAGGTGACCACCCAAAAGTCCCTTGTCTGTTGATGGCACCTTTTGAGGAAACTGTTCTGATTCATTATTAGGCTACCAGTCTGGCTGTTTAATTTTCAACAGTTCCAACAGCTGTTGTTATTCTGGAACCTAATACAAGAGCATTGTTTTGCTTTCTATCATTTTTGCCAAGATCATTAGTTAAAAACAAGCTTGTGGTAATAGATGATACATTGGTGCATGGTGGAGAAACAGCCCCATGGAAAGGGAGTCTTGCTCCTTGTCACTCTCCTGAGATGGGCTATAAAGAATGGAATGATCAAAGCTTAGAGCAAAGCAAGCCAGGGTGTCTGGCCCCATCCTCCTGGATTATATGTGAGGGGAGGCTTTGGTCTCCAGTTCTTGCCCTGGGCCCCACCCACCTTTCTGTCATTCATGTTTTGTTTCCTGTGTCTAATTTGTTGCATGATCTGTTAATAACCAAACATGCCCTCACAAGTTGGGAAATATTTGCAGAGTGATAAAGCAATTGTGTTATAATCTCCCACTTTCCAAGAGAGACGGGCGTCAGACCTGCACACTCTGAGAAGCATCCAGGCTTTGGAACCTACTGATTCTGTGTTTCATTTGATTCATTTGCATTGCTACCACCCTCATACAGGCCCCTGTCACCCCTTCCATCCAGCCAGCCAACTGGCAAGCCAGTCACCTGGCCAGTGTTGCACTGAATTTTTTTTTTATTTCAATTTTTCCTCTAGATTTGAGAGTACATGTGCAGGTTTGTTACAAGGGTATAGTGTGTGTTGCTGAGGTTTGGGTTTCAATTGAACTCATCACCCAGGTAGTGAACATAGTACCCAATAGGAAGCTTTTCAACCCTTGCCACCCTCCCGCATTTTGTAGTCCCCTGTGTCTGTTCTCATCCATGTGTACCCGTGTTTAGCTCCCACTCATAAGTGAGAACATGTGGTATTTGGTTTTCTACTTCTGTGTTCATTCACTTAAGATAATGGCCTCCAGCTACATCCATGTTGCTGTGAAGGACGTGATTTCATTGCTCTGTGGCCCCAGGCTGGAGTGCAGTGGTGCTATCACAGCTCACAGCAGCTTCGAACTCCTGGATTCAATCCATCCTCCCACCGCAGCCTTCTGAGTAGCTGGGACTACAGGTGCACACCACCACACCCAGCTAATATTTGTATTTTTTTGTAGAGGCAGGGTTTCACCGTGTTCTCCAGCCTAGTCTTGATTTCCTGGGTTCAAATGATCCTCCTGCCTCAGCCTCCCAAAGTGCTGGGATTACAGGTGTGAGTCACCACACCCAACCAATTTCATTCTTTTTTATGGCTGCATAGCATTCCATGGCATATATGTGCCACATTTTCTTTATGCAGTCCACTGTTAATGGGCATCTAGTTGATTCCATGTCTTTGCTATTATGAAGAATGCTGCAGTGAACATATGAGTTGCATATGTCTTTTGGTGGAATGATTTATTTTCTTTTGGGTATATATCCAGTAATAGGATTGCTGAGTTGAATGGTAGTTATATTTTTAGTTCTTTGAGAAGTCTCCAAACTGCTTTCCATGGTGGCTGAACTAATTTACACTCCCATCAACAGTATATAAGCATTCCCTTTTCCCCACAGCCGCGCTAACATCTGTTATTTTTTGACTTTTTAATAATAGCCATTTGGACTGGTGTCGGATGGTATCTCATTATAGCTTTGATTTGCATTTCTGTGATGATTAGCGATGTTGAGCATTTTTTTCATATGCTTTTTGGCCACTTGTATGTCTTCCTTTGAGAAGTGTCTGTTCATGGCCTTTGCCCACTTTTTAGTGGGGTTATTTGTTTTTTTTCTTGTTGATTTATTTAAGTTCCTTATAGATTCTGGATATTAGACCTTTGTCAGATGCAGAGTTTGCAAACATTTTCTCCCATTCTGTAGGTTGTCTGTTCACTCTGTTGATAGTTTCTTTTGTTGTGCAGAAGCTCCTTAGTTTAATTAGGCCCTACTTGTCAATTTTCATTTTTCTTGCAATTGCTCTTGAGGGCTTAGTCATAAATTCTTTTCCAAGGCTGACGTCCAGATGACTATTTCCTAGGTTTTCTTCTAGGATTTTTATAGTTTTAGGTCTTACATTTAAGTCTTTAATCCATCTTGAGTTAATTTTTGTATATAGTGATAAATAGGGGTCCAGTTTTAATCTTCTGCATATGGTTAGCTAGTTTTCTGAGCACTATTTATTGAATAGGGAGTTCTTTCCCCATTGTTATTTTTGTCGACTTTGTTGAAGATCAGTTGGTTGTAGGTGTGTGGCTTTATTTCTGGGTTTTCTCTTCTCTTCCATTGATCTATGTATCTGTTTTTGTACCAGTACCACATTGTTTTGGTTACTATAGCCTTGTAGTATAGTTTGAAGTAAGGTAATGTGATGCCTTCAGCTTTGTTCTTTTTGCTTAGGATTGCTTTGGCTATTTGGGCTTATTTTGGTTCCATATGAATTTTACAATAGTTTTTTCAAATTCTGTGAAAAATGATGTTGGCCATTTGATAAGAATAGCATTGAGTCTATAGATTGCTTTAGGCAGTATGGACATTTTAATGATATTGATTCTTCTGATTCAAGAGCATGGAATGTTTTTTCATTTGTTTGTGTCATCTATAATTTTGTTCAGCAATGTTTTGTAGTTCTTGTAGAGATATTTCACCTCCTTTGTTAGATGTATTCCTGGGTATTTGGGTGGGTGGACTGTTGTAAACGGGATTGCATTCTTGATTTGGCTCTTTCTGGGCACTAATTATGGAACAGACCCTGTGCTAGGCTGTGGGAATACCAAGATTAGCAAGTCTCCCACTTTATGTCTCTACCTTCTCTTTGATGTTGGTTCAACAAATGCCAAGCACATCCCATCCATGTAATGTCCCTGTTGCCTCAAACATGTCACTTGATCAGAAAACTTTGGCAACAATCTGTTCTGAAATAAAGTTCCAACTCCTGAGCCTGGCATTTAGATCTCCCCCATTGCACTACCCTGGCCTGGCAAACAGCCCATCTCTCACTCCTCCTGTGGCCAGGTAGACCTGCTCGCTGTCCCTAAACATGTCTCACTGGCTGCCTCCTCCTGTCTAATTCCACTCAACCTTCGGGGCCAACCAATGCTTACCTGCTTAGGAAAACCTGCTAAGACATGTTGCCTCCTGGTTTTGGGGCTTGGAGGCACCTATTATTGCACTTTTTCACTGGGTGCTTATCATGCTACCTTGTACCCTGGTCTTTCTCCATGGTTGTCTCACCTTCCCTATTGTCAAATTGCTGGGATTATTGCTTCATAGGTATCTTTCCTCTCTCCCATGATAGAATGCAGGGCTGACCTATGGAAGTTATCCATCAGTATCCCTAATGAAAACTGGGGGAGGCCAGGCGCGGTGGCTCACACCTGTAATCCCAGCACTTTGGGAGGCCGAGGCAGGTGGATCACGAGGTCAGGAGTTTGAGACCAGCCTGGCCAATATGGTTAAACCCCGTCTCTACTAAAAATACAAAAATTAGCCGGGCGTGGTGGTGCATGCCTGTAATCCCAGCTACTTGGGAGACTGAGGCAGAAGAATCGTTTGAACCCAGGAGGCAGAGGTTGCAGTGAGCCGAGATCACACCACTGCACTCCAGCCTGGGCGACAGAGCGAGACTCCATCTCAAAAGGAAAAAAAAAAAAAAAACTGGGGGAAAGTTGCACCTCCTTTATCAACTCTTCCTGACAGTTCCTTAGTTCTGCTGCTGAACTAGAGGAGGTCAGTATTTACCACTCTTAGACAAATACATGTTTTGTTGAATCCATTTTTTTTTTTCATTCAGATAGGCAATGGAGAGGGCAGGATAATGGAGAGTGTGAGAATAGGTGCTAGTTATCCTCTGCTTGCCCCCCACCCCCTCCCAGTGCCATTCTCTGCCCTGCTGTGGCCTGGGAGACCAACCTCAGTGGATTGTGTCAACTAGGCTCCTTTACTTTACCTTCCAGGTGTGGTTGGGTTTGGCCAGTAGGAGGCACCAGTAGGAGATCCAAGAATAGGCAGAAAGCAGGGAGCGTTAATCCCCCTGCTTCCTCTCAGCCTCATCAGTTTTCTGGCAACGGCTATCTTTTACAGCTACAGCTCCAGTCCTCCAGATGCATTGGGCTACAGTAACACTGTTCTGCCTTCTTGCCCTTCATACTTAGTCTCATACTTAGTCTCTGCATGCTGCACCATATATTGCTGGTTGCCTTAATCCTCCCCACACCTCTATAACTTGTTCATTTATTAAATTATTTTTATTTAAACTCTTTTGATCGTTCTCTATAGTATCTGAGAGTCAAGCTTAGCAGGCTTAGTTATCTGTCCCAATATACAACCCCACGAATTGATCTGTGTTATTTTCTTGAAAAGGGCATTTTGCTTTATTTGGGGCAGGGGGTTTGCATTCGGAGGAATTTATAATAAAAATTAGTCTCCTGGCCCCTTCCCTTCCTAACCCAGACCTACTGCTTGGAGGCACTTTTAACTCAATTTTATTTTATTTTAGTTTAGTTTATGGCATTTACCTCCATATTTTCAATAATGTGCTTTAATTTTACTCCTATTTTAGAAATTACTTGTTGACTTTCTGTTATGATAGATAACAACTTAACTCCCTTATACCATCCCTCTACCTCTCCTCCCCACATCCTCACAACAAAGTTGTATTATTATTTATAGTTCCTCTGCTTAGTTACCTTTATAAGTAAGATTCTTACTATCATATTTCTTGTTTCTTAACAACAGTACTTCCTGAGTCCCGGTGCAGTAAAATGGCAGTATTTGCGTTCTTACCTAATTTGCCTTCTACTTTCCAACTTCTGTCATCTCTGCTTTTACTTTTACATTGTTAAGATTGAAAACATTTACATTTTTATTTTGTAGCTGCCATTCAGTCTTTTATGCTTTATCTACAGGTTGATCTTAAAGGCTGAAAAACTAGCAGATAGGGCTTATGCTATTGTGATTGCATAAATGACAAGTTGCACATTGACAATCCACCATTGGACATACTTGTTTGATTTGCCTAGTGATTTTTTTTTAGGCTTACAGCCAACATTTAAAAATTGGTAGAGTTTTTTTTATAAAAGATTTAGAGTTTGGGGTTTTGTTTTAAAAATTGGAAGTTCTGGCACATATGGTCTGACTTCCCACATATAGTAACACTCTGCTGGAGTCTGTCCCCTTTAGAATAGGCATTCCTACTCTAGTTTGCCACAGTTCCTACCACTCGCAGTATATGCAAGTGTTCCAATACCTGACTTGCTCATTTATTTACTTACTTGCATGACGCTGAAGGCATTTAAGTGTGTGACCCTGATGCTTGATGTGTTATTCTCTTTGGAGCCAAGTAATATACTATGGATACTTTCTTTTACAGCTTTAATTTTTCCAAGACTTTCTCATTGCCTTTTTTTTAAAAACTTTGCTGTTATTATATCCTCATTTTTTTTCTCTCAAACTCTCTAGCCAGTTGGGTATTTTATATATCCCTTTCTCCCAGGGTCCTCTATTCTTCTCAAATTTGATTTCATTCTAGGTCTGCTACAGAGCTGTCACCTGAGATTTCCTCTACTACTTTACTAGATTGGTTCTACTGCTTCCTGGATCTCAAATGTTTTTTTCAGGGTGGGGTTTAGGGGGGTCTCAGGGTTGGGGCTGGTTAGTTCAGTTTCTCCAGAGAAGAAAATGCCTTTTTTTTTTTTTTTGGCTTGGAAGAATAGATAACCTGGCTGCCTCATGAGCCACCTATGAAGGGTGCAAATCTTCTGACTTCAGATTTTATAAAATTCCCCCCTTTTCAGCCTCCTATCTGATTCCTGCCCTCCGTTGTTCTGGCGTCTCTGAGTCATGAGCCTGTGGCCATTTTGCCAGGCTAATGGAATCTCATAATATTTGAGCGCTGGAGCTCAGGCTTCCTGTGCTTGCATCATCAGTTTCTAATCTTCCATATTCTGTCTGTTTTCCACAAAGTTGTCCCAATCTCTGTCCTGGGTAGCCCTCACCTGTTCCCTTTATTGTTGAAGTTATGCCTTTTAAAAAAAATTATTAGGCCAGGTGCGGTGGCTTACGCATGTAATTCCAGCACTTTGGGAGGCCGAGGCAGGTGGATCACCTGAGGTCAGGAGTTTAAGACAGCCTCGCCAACATGGCGAAATCCCATCTCTACTAAAAAATACAAAAATTAGCCGGACGTTGTGGCGGGCGCCTGTAATCCTTGCTACTCAGGAGGCTGAGGTAGGGAGAATTGCTTGAACCTGGGAGGAGGAGGAGGTAGCAGTGAGCCAAGATCATGCCACTGCACTCCAGCCTGGGCAAAAGAGCGAGACTCAGTCTCAAAAAAAAAAAAAAAAATTCTTTCACTTTTGTTTTGGTAGTGATGTGTTCAAATGGAGAGGGTATAAATGAATACAGTTAACGTATTCGTCTTTAATAGGTTGTGCTCAGAATTGATCTCAACCCTTCTTGAATCTGTTTAAATTGTTGTCCTATGTCAATGTAAGAGCCAATAGGCTAAACGCTCCACCACCTAAAGTAGGAACTTTTAATCCTAAATTTACCCCTTTAGGATTTAGGAAACCTGTCCTAAACCCTAAAGGAGTATATTTAGGATTAAAAGTTTGATTGAATAGACATATAATAATATAATATAATTTAGTTATGGCTGGGTGCGGTGGCTCATGCCTGTAATCCCAGTACTTTGGGAGGCCGCCAGGTGGATCATTTGAGGTCAGGAGTTCGAGGCCAGCCTGGCCAACATGGTGAAACCCCATCTCTACTAAAATACAAAAATTAGCTGGGCATAGTGATGGGTGTCTGTAATCCCAGCTATTCGGGAGGCTGAAGCAGAAGAATTGCTTGAACCCAGGAGGCAGAGGTTGCAGTGAGCTGAGATCACACCACTGCACTCCAGCCTGGGAGACAAAGTGAGACTCCATCTCAAAACAAAAACAAACAAAAAATAATAATGATATAATGTATTTAATATAATATATAGCATTATATTATTATATGTCTATTGAATGCACCATTTTTTTTTTTTTTTTTTGAAACACAGTCTCACTCTGTCACCCAGGCTGGAGTGCAGTGGCACAATCATGGCCTTGACCTCCCAGGCTCAAGCAATCCTTCCACCTCAGCCTCCCAGGTAGCTGGGACCACAGGCACACACCATCACACCCAGTTAATTTTTACATTTTTTTGTAGACATGGGGTTTCCCTATGTTGTTCAGCCTAGTTTCGAACTCCTGGGCTCAAGTGATCCTCCTGCCTCAGCCCCCCAAAATGCTGGGATCACAGGCATGAGCCAGTGTGCCAGGCTCATACTTTTTTTAACAATCAAATTAAAAGCTTGTATTGGTTAGGGCAACATTAGCTGCTGTAATCATCTCCCACATTTCAGGAGTTTAACATGAAGGAAGTTTATTTCTTGCCCTTGTAACAGTCAATGCAAGTGTTTCTGGTTGTAACTGGCTTTCCTCTACAAGGTAATTTAGGGATCTACATGCCTTGCCTCTGTCACTCTGCTATACTCTGGAGCATGCATCTTTAATGGGGGCAGTATCATGCCCAAGGGGGCAAAGATCTTGGAGGCTGAAAAATCTTACATTTTGATGCATAAATCACAAACATCTACATGGTACATAAACAGATATAGAGTATATCTGTGGTGTGAAAATGTCATGGAGGAAAGTAATTAGGGAAAAAAAATGTCTAAAAAGTCCCCTTAGGAGGGCAACAATGAAGAAAAGGTGGAGAAACACTGCCACAGGCCTATGAGGACTCTTCATTCAGGTGGAAGGGAAACAGAAGATGGAGAAGGCTCACCTGCTTCTTAACCACCTTGGCCCAAAAGCGATACAAGTTACTTGGCCCACATTTCATTGGAGAGAACTGGTCAGGGAGTTCCACCTTGCTGCAGGAGGAGATGGGAAATGTAGTCTCTGGCTGGCCACACTTCAGAGTACTTCTAAGTGAGGACTCTTAGCCAAAGAAGGGAGAGCATCTATTTTGGAGGATGGTTGGCCTCCCAATACAGGAATCAAACAATGTTGTCTTCAAGGACCAGGTACTACATATTTTGGGCTTGCAGCCATGGTCTCTATTGCAGCTACTGAACTCTGCTTGTTGCAGCTGAAAGCAGCCATAGATAATACTGAAATGAATGGGTGTGGCTATGTTCTAATAAAGCTTTATTTACATAAACAGGCAGCGGATTGGCCTTCAGGCTGTAGTTGTCCAGCCCCTGAGTATCCATTCTGGAGCCTTTCAGTTGTCCACATTACCTCTGCTTCTTGGGACCTAACCCACATTTCCTTTACTTCCAGTGCCTAACTAGAGCCTGGAGCTTCCTCTTAACTGAATGAAGGGTTCGTCTTGGCTGTTTCACTGAAAACAGTGGAATATGACCCTCCACCAAGTGAAGTGTAGAGATCCCAAGACTGTAGAAAAGAAAGAAATTTTGTCTATGTCAGTCCAATGTTAGCCCTCCCCACAGCCACCCTACATGGTAGGGGTAGAGTGCCTGGCACTCATTATTAAGTGCTCAGAAATTTCCTGTATTCAGTGTTGGGGGCTGGTTTAAAACTACTTGTATTCAGCGAAATAAGACCTTGGAGAATATGGACCTCTATTTCTTGTAGCGTTAGAGTGGATTATTATTCAATGGTTAAAACTAGTATTTACAAAGAGCTTTTTTTTTTTTTTGGAGACAGAGTCTCGCCCTGTTACTCAGACTAGAGTGTAGTGGGGTGATCTCGGCTTACTACAACCTCCACCTCCCAAGTTCAAGCGATTCTCCTGCCTCAGCCTCCCAAGTAGCTGGGATTACAGGCGCCTGCCACCACGCCCAGCTAATTTTTGTATTTTTAGTAGAGACGGGGTTTTGCCATGTTGGCCAGGCTGGTCTTGAACTCCTAACCTCAGGTGATCCGCCTGCCTCGGCCTCCTGAAGTGCTGGGATTACAGGTGTGAGCCACCGTGCCTAGCCTAGAACTTTTAACAACATGACAAAATGCTTATTTTATAAGCAGGATTCAAAATTATGTATACAATATAATCTCAACTATATCTTAAAAAGTTTAGCAAAAAAAAAAATAATTCTCAACAAGTGATGGAGTTTTTCTTCTTTTTATTTTGTATCTGTTTTCTAAAATTTTTACAGTGAACATGTTTTAGATGTGGAGAAGACTGTTATTTTAAAAATTATTGAGGTCTGGGAGCTCACGCTTGTAATCCCAGCACTTTAGGAGGCCAAGGCGGGAGGCTTGCTTGAGCCCAGGAGTTCAAGAGCAGCCTGGGCAACAAAATGAGACCCTGTCTCTATAAAAAATTTTTTAATTAGCCGGGGATAATGGTGCGCACCTGTAGTCCCAGCTTCTTGAGAGGTTGAGGTGGGAGGATTGCTTGAGCCTGGGAGGTTGAGGCTGCAGCAAGCCATGATCATGCCACTGCACTCCAGCCTGGGCAACAGAGCAAGACTCTGTCTCAAAACAAACAAACAAACAAACAAAAACTACTGAGGAGGAAATTAGTGCTGAGTGAGGGTATAATTACCCAACAGGTTCTTCCTTCCTCCTGCACAGACAAAACCAATTCACTGAGACCACAGTATTGTAGTAGACAAACAGTTTAAGGCAGAGCCAGCCAAGCAGAAAGACTGGAGTTATTACTCAAATTGGTCTCCCAGAGAACTCAGAGGCTAGGGTGTTCTACGGATAATTTTGTGGACAGGGGAATGGGAGCTGCTGATTGGTGAAGGTTGAAATCGTAGGGGTGTGGAAAATGGTCCTTGTGTGCTGAGTCAGCCTCTACATTAGGGGGCCACAGGACAGGTTGTCATGAGTCCCAGGTCCAGGTAGAGTCAGATGGTTGCCAGAATGCAAAAGTCTGAAAAGCATCTCAAAAGACCCATCTTAAGTTCTACAATAGTGATGTTATCTATAGGAGCAATTGGGGAAGTCACAAATCTTGTGACCTCTGGCCACATGACTCATGAGTAGCAAGGGATTATAAAAAGGCAAGCTGGGGGCGGTGGAGGGGAATGGCTGGTTATCCTTTAGCTACACCTACATGTTAGCAGAATTCAGGCCCCTCCCATAATCCTAATCTTGTGGCCTTTCATTACCAAGACAAAGGCGATTTTGGTCCCTGAGCAAGGAGGGGGTTCGTTTCAGGGAGGGACTGTTATCATCCTTGCTTCAAAGTTAAAACAATAAACTAAATTCCTCCCATGGTTAGCTTGGTCTACACCCAGGAATGAGGGAGGACAGCTGGCTTGTGAGGCTAGAGGCAAGATGGAGTCAGCCATGCTAGACTCCTGTCACTGTCATAATCTTTGCAAAGGTGGTTTCAAGAGTATTAATGAAGGTGTCTGCCTGCTTGTGCACACATAAGCAGGCACCTGAAAATGCCATCCAAAATTTTGTTAGAACAAAGTCACTATGAGGCAGTCCCCTTCATCTGTCCTCCCCAAGTTAGAAAAGCTTCTTTGGATAGTGACCAGGAAGGGTTCTGACCTGCCTCTACATTGAGGCATTTTTCTCATTTCTTAGTAATGAGACCCTCACCTAGATTTTCTTTCCACTGAGGCAGACCAGCCTCTCTGGATGAATCATCAAGATTAGCAATGCGGGGAGGAGGAGGTGCATGCTTGGGGTTAACTGCGTGCCAGAGTCATTGGTCATCACAGCCACTTCCCCAGACCCATGGACTTTCTTGACTTTGGCGGAGAAATTAAATAACTTGTGACTCGAAATGTCATTTGTGTAGACCCATTAGCCAGGCAGCCTGACGTCCAGGTGCCCCCACCCCCAGTGGAGCAGAGAACAACTCATTCTGCAGGAAGAACCAAATCTGAGATCATCCCAAAACAGCCTCTTATTTTTTAGGCCTCCCTTGGGTCCTCATGTGCATCTTCCAGGTACCGTGAGGGTAGGTGTGGGGGTCCTCTCCCCTGAAAGGAGAGCACCCCCACCCAAGTCCCTCCTCTTCAGCCTCTGCCTGTGTTTCTGCTGGTGATGTCCTTCTTGAGCCTTGAGCTGTCTGCACACTGGTCCCAACCTGTGCCTTCCACACTGCTCAGACTTGCAGCGTTCTCCAGCCCTCAGACACTTCACTATGACGTTAGGGGGTGGCAGTGGGTGGGGGGGGGGGTGGTGTTCCTCTCCCCAACCCTGACCCAGGGGCCCCACCTGGTCTCTTGAAGGATATCAGCTGCTAGAAGACAGCCCGATGGCCCCCCTTCATTTGACCTCCTTTGTCTCTACTCCAGGAGCTCCCTCTTAGCTCCAAGTTAGGTTAGGGTGACCTCGTCACAGCCTCTTTGCCTCTACCCCTGCTTCTGTGCTCTAAGCGCCGATCCTAGCGCCCTTCTCTTTCATCCCAATGTGCCATACTCTAGACCTGGATGTGCCACGTGTAAGGATCACACTCCAGCAGGCACGAGGCATTAGAAAGTCCTTGGCATGTGCTTCTGTGAGCACCCAGACTTCTTACTGTGACTTGTGAGGCCCTGCACCAGGGTTTGTCAACCTTAGTGCTATTGACATTTGGAGCTAGTGAATTCTGTCTTGAAAGGGACTGTCCTGCACATTGTAAGATGTTTAGCAGCATCTCTGCCCACCAGGTGCCAATAGCACTTCCCTAGTCGTGACACAGAAATGTTTCTAGACACTGCCAAATGTCCTCTGGAAGGCAAAATCACTCCAGGTGGAGACCACTACCCTACATAATGGAGACCCCGTCCTACCACGCTGCCTCATCCCACCCACTGCACACCTGCCACATGCACGCTCATCCCTGCCAGAGCCACTGCACTCGCTGTCACCACTGCTGTGAACGTTCTCTCCTCACATCTTCATGCTTTGCTCATTTAGGTCTCAGCTCAACTGACACCTCCTTACCTTGGCCTTTCCTAAGCACCCTATGCGACCAACCTATTCGCTCCATCAAGTTTATACTTCTGTTTTGTTTTAAAATCACGTTTAGAATCTCTGACCTTGTTCCTACTGCTTTCCTCCTGGTTTTCACTGTCCCAGCCACACCCTTCTAATTCCTCAGTCACATCCGGCATGTACCCACCACAGGGCTCTTGCTGTTCCTCCTCCTAGAATGCTCTTTCCCCAGATCTCATTGTTCTTATTCCTTCAGGCATTTGCTCAGATGTCACCTTCTCAGAGAGGGCTTCCCTGACTATTTCCTACTTTGTTTTTTCCCATAGCATCTACAGCCATCTAATACACTATACACTTTAATTATAATAATTTTTATTTTCTGTTTCTCCCTATTAAAATGAAATCTCCATGAGGGCAGGGAGTTTTGTCTTCTTTGTTCACTGTTGCGTGCCAGTCACGGAGAACAATGCCTAGCATTGAGGCACTCGGCCAGTATTTTTTTAGATGCATGAGCTTAATTTTGCAAGGCTTGCTGGGACCTCTGCCCTAGTTTAACTGTGCACATTTGAAAGCATCGGGTGAGCTTGGCTTCTTGTTGTAAAACCAGGGATTTATGTTGATGAAGAGTTCGATCAGGGTAGACTCATACTCTAAAGCATGTTTTCTTGTGAATAGAGATGTTTACAAAGCACAAAGCAGTGAATTTGCTAATAGTTCTTTTTACTGGCATCAGCTAGGGTTCTGAATTTAGCTGAAGCTTATACTTACCATGCCATGGTGGAGGTTTTCATTTCCTAATATGTACATGCATTTGTCTAAAAGTAATTAGTTTGTCTTCAGTTATGAGCCACAAGAGGTCAGGACCACCACTATGGCACCTCTCCAGAAAGGGGCGTGCCTGATAAGCACAAAAAAAAAACCCTTTAGGGCCGCACCTCCAGCTGTTCCCTGTTTCCCAGGATCTTGTTTATTTCTCATCTCTCCCGGCTTCCGGTCTCATTCCTTTGCTTTTTCTCTTAATAGGCTCTCATCCTTGTCTCAAAATCCCTGTCCTTACCTCCATGATCCATAAAGACCATGGCTCTCAGAAGGCAACGTAGAAGTGAGTCTGCAGCACCTCCCCGCTTGGAGCCCAGGAAGTCCTGAATATGACCAGGAGAGTTCCTGAGGCCCACATATCCTAACATGTTGAAATCCAAGGTCTTTCAAGGAAGCCCCACCACATATGCCTTCAGAGACCTGGCCAACCCTGCCAGCCTCCCCAATAGGTTCTCCCTCATATGGTCACATTGCCAGAAATCCCACTCCTGGGGCTCAGTGAAGGCCCTTGGGTCTTCAAGGGAATTCCTTGTTCTGGGGCCCACATCCCAGGAGAGTGCACAACTTGAGCACGTTTGCATCCCGGTAAGCGTTACTGGGAAGGCTCAGATTTACAGGTGACAGATGGAGAGGGACTCTTGGGAGAGTTAGGATGTTGCAGAGAAGACCCCTTTTCCAGCTTATGTAATCGCTCCAAGGAAAGAGAGAGAAACAGAGAGAGAGAGATGAGGCTTAGCAATTGAGTTCCTGGCTGCTTGTCATATGAAGAAAACTGATGTGAACGACACTTTCCTCCTCTGCTTCCTGCCCTGCTTTTTTGTTCTTTGTATCGTGAATAATATGAATACAGGAGCTTCATACTTAGAGTTATTTTTACAAGGTCTCCTCTCTGCTTCAGATGACTCAGAGCCGGAGCCTTCTCTTGAAGACGTTCCTTGGGAAGCACCAGAGAGATGCCGAACCCCAGGCGATCTCAGGGTCACAAGTGGGTGTCCTGGAAGTGTGGGCTGGAAGGAAAGCCTTATTGAAGGCAAAACTTCTGCTGGTTCCCCTCTCTACACAGCCAGCCCTGCCTTTCTCTCACCATCTTTTCCTGCTTCAGCAGAAACAATCAGGCCTGCTTCCCAGTCTGGAAATGAGCAGAGGGCACTGCCCCAGGGTCGAGGCTGCAAGCTATGGGTAGATGAGGGGAATCTGTAGGCCCCAAAAGGCTGGTGGCTCTAGTCTGAAGGCAAGAAAACTATTTGGGCAACCAGGCACTGAAGGAGAAGGAACATTGGTAGAACCTATTTCGTGTCTGTCTCCCACTCTGCCCTTGTGTTCCTGGAGAGTGGGGGCTGCCTCTGACTGTTCTTCCAAACACCACACCCGGCACTAAGACCCAGTGCATGTGTGTGGAGTCGATGAATTAATGAAAGGGAAGCCCCTTTCCATGGGTAAAGCCAAATTACCTGGATGTGAGTACAGCACAAATCCATATGCCCGTGGAGGATGGAGCATCTGTATCTGCTCCCGAAGGTGCAGATGCCCAGACCTCGGCACACCCAGCGCCAGCATTGTCTGCTTTGACCCATCATAACCACTCTGAGAGGCCAAGGAGGTTGTTTCCATTTTACAGAGGGGAATGCCGAGGATCAGAGAGATTGGCTGACATGCCTGTTGTGCGTTTTGTAAGCGGCACAGGGGGATTCTTCTGCCCCACTTCTACTGACTCCGTGATCCAGTGCTGCCTTGAATCTTCGGAAACTCTAAAGTAGGGGCTCCCCGCTTCTGAGAAAGACTCCGTAGCTCTCTTTTGGACACAGCTGCAGTGCCATCCTTCTGGGAGAGCCAGCCTGGAGCAGAACAGCTGGGGCTCATCTATCTGCTGCCCAACAAACCTTGGAAGGAGTATGATAGGAAGGTTCCATTCAGACTGCTCTTCTCTGGTGGCTCTGGGGAAAAGGGCATGATGAGGGGAGATGCCCTTTTTTCCTCCTGTTAATCTGCCCTCATCCCTGACTCCCTTTCCTGCTGTCTTCTATCCAACCACACAGTACCCAGCTTAAAACCAAGGTGGATGGAAAAGGTTTCAAGTTGATCATGGAACTCAGAATGCATTTTTCTGTAGAAGTAGCTGGAATGCGATGCCTGGTCTCCCCATGATATGTCTGAAATAAAAGAGTAATAGCATTGGCCCAATAGATAATTTGTATTAATGTTGATGGTTTAATTAATGAATTATTAATAAGCCAGCACCCTCTCTTACTTGGAAGACGACAACAGCTTTCTCCACTCTTGTCCTCTTGTAGTTTGTTCTCCACGTGAAAAGTGAATCAGACCCCATCTCTCCTCTGCTCACAACCCTCCATGATCTCTTTTTTTTTTTTTTTTTTTTTTTTTGAGACGGAGTCTTGCTCAGTTGCCCAGGCTGGAGTGCAGTGGCACGATCTTGGCTCACTGCAACCTCTGCCTCCCAGGTTCACGCCATTCTCCTGTCTCAGCCTCCCGAGTAGCTAGGACTACAGACGCCCGCCACAACGCCCGGCTAATTTTTTTTGTATTTTTAGTAGAGACGGGGTTTCATCATGTTAGCCAGGATGGTCTCGATCTCCTGACCTTGTGATCCACCCACCTCGGCCTCCCAAAGTGCTGGGATTACAGGAGTGAGCCACCGCGCCCGGCCCCTCCATGATCTCATGCCTACAGCCTGGCCTCCTGCCTTGCTGACCGCACCTGCCGGCTCCCTCCACCAAGTTCATTCCACCAAAGAGTGGAAGGACACAGCTGCTGTGTCCTCTGCCTGGGACTCTCTTCCTTCCCTGAGTCACCTGGTTCAGCCAGTTCATTTAGGCCTATGCCCAGATGTCACCTTTTCAGGTGACCATGAATAGGCGCCACCCATGTTCATCACTCCTCTGACCCTTACCCTGCTTTATTTCCCTTCATAACATTCATCATACCTGCCATGACATTGCACACATGCCTGCTTACTTGTATATTGTTATTCTCCTCCACTAGACTATCTGCTCCACAAAGGCAGGGACCTTTTATTTGTTTCCTGCTGTGTTTCCAACACTAGAAGAGTACCCAACATATAGTAGGTGCTCAATAAATATTTATAAATAAATAGATGAATGCACAACTGAATGAGTGATATATCTCTACACCTAACCAACAGCAGATTGTGGTTTACATGCAGAATTTATCACACATTCCAAACATCAACGCCAAAAAGGAATTTCTTCCTTGCCTTGCCCTTGGGATTGGAAATGCAGGCACTTCATTTTAGTAATGAGTTTATAGATTATTCTGGAAACCAGAACTTCTTGTTCTGCATTTTTGGCAAAAATAGACACCTGCTTTCTTGGAGAGTAGCTTCTCAGAGTTCTGAAGGCTTCTTGGGGCTTGACAAATGGTTGGGGGTGGGTACTCTTTGGCCTCCTTAGCCTCCTGCTACCAGTTCTGCTGAGACTGGCAGTGTTCTCTTGATTACACTAGAGCAGGGTTTCTCCTACTAACGTTTTAGACCAGATCGTCCTTTGCTGGGGGCTGTCCCATGCCTTCCAGGGTGTTTAGCAGCATCCGTGGCCTCTACCCATTAGATACTAGAAGAACTCCCCCAACTGTGACAACCAACAATGTCTCTGGACATTGCCAAGTATCCCTCGAGGAGTAAAATCACTCCCTGTTGAGAACTACTGCTCCACCATGTACAGAAAGCCCCACCAACAACAAAGAATTATCCAACCCACAGTGTCACAAATGCCAAGGTTGAGCTACGCTGCTCTGAGAGCCCTGTCCAATAGGACTCTGCATTGAGGGAAATGTTCTATTTGGTGCTGTCTAATATGGTAGCTACTAGCCACATGTGGCTATTGAGCATCTTAAAATGTGTAGGCCGGGGCGTGGTGGCTCATGCCTATACTCCTAGCACTTTGGGAGGCCGAGGCAGGAGGATTGCCTGAGCCCAGAAGTTAGAGGCTGCAGTGAGCTGTGAGCAAGCCACTGCACTCCAGCCTGGGTGACAGAGTGAGGCCCCGTTTCTTAAAAAAGAAAAGAAAAGTAGTTAGTGCAACTGAAAAGCTGAGTTAAGTTTAATTTTAGGCTGGGTGCGGGGGCTTATGCTTGTAATCCCAGCACTTTGGGAGGCAAGACAGGCAGATTGCTTCAGCCTAGGAGTTGGAGACTAGCCTGGGCAACATGGCAGAAACCTGTCTCTGCTAAAGGAGACCCCTGGTGGCGCATGTTTGTAGTCCCAGGTTGAGGCGGGAGGATCACTTGAGCCCAGGAGGTTGAGGCTGCAGTGAGCCCTGATCATGCCACTGCACTCCAGCCTGGGTGACAGAGTGAGACCCTGTCTCAATAAATAAAACAAAATAATAAAATAAAGTAAATTTTTAAGTTTATTTTATTTTAAATTAATATTCATTTAAATATCCACTTACGGCTAGTAGCTGCCATATTGGACAGCACAGCTCTACAAAGGCCAGTGCTGCTCACACTTCAATGTGCATATGAATTATCTGGGGATAGCAAAGTCCAATTCAGCAAACTTGAGGTGAGGACTGAGAGTCTGTAAATTCCCAGGGATGCTAAGGCTTCAGGTCTAAAGACCACACCTTGGAGTAAGATGATCTAAGCCTGGGACATAAAGAGCATTTTGCACATATAACACAGAGATGAGATTCCTGCTGCCTGAAAGAGCTTGTTGAAGAACCAGTGGCATAGAGTAGGGAGAGAGAAAAAATATGGTCTGTGGAGTCAGACAGATACTGATTTGAATCCATTGTTAGCTCTGTGCCCTTTACTTCGCCTCTCTGAGCCTCCATCTCCTTATCTATAAAATAAAAGAGATCATTTCTACCTTGCAGTGTGATTCTGAGATAGTGCATTTAAAAACACCAAACCCAGTGCCTGGCAGATACTTGGCACTCAGTAGGTAAATAGTATCAGTCATTATGGATTCATCCAAAGTAAAGGCATTGTTTACACAAATCGACCCTGCCTTTTAGGCTGTGTTTGGGGACCACCCCTCTCAGAGTCACCCAGGTTGTTCTTTTAAAAAATAGGTCCCTGGGCCCAGCGCAGACCTAATGAGTTAAAGTCTCTAATGGTAGGGCCCAGGAAGCTTCTTTTAAAAAAAGAAAAAATATATATTAGGTAAAATTCACCAACATAAAATTAACCATCGGTCATTTTTTTTTTCACGTAAAAAATGTTTAACTTTTATTTTACATTCGGGGATGCATGTGAAGGTTTGTTACAGAGGTAAACTTATGTCATGGGAGTTTGTTATACAGATTATTTCATCACCCAGGAATTAAGCCCAGTACCCAGTTGTAATCTTTTCTGCTCCTCTCCCTCCTCCTGCCCTCCCCCCTCAAGTAGACCTCAGTGTCTGTTGTTTCCTTCTTTGTGTTCATAAGTTCTCATCATTTAGCTCCCACTTATAAGTAAGAACATGGGATATTTGGTTTTCTGTTCCTGCGTTAGCTTGCTGAGGACAGTGGCCTCCAGCTCCACCCATGTTCCTGCAAAAGACACGATCTCGTTCTTCTTTATGGCTGCACGGCCATTTTAAAGTATACAAGTCATTGGCGTTTCCTGCATTTACAATGTTGTGCAACCTCACCTAGGTCTAGTTCCAAGGCATTTTTGTCATCCCAGAAGGAAACCCTGTACCCACTCACCATTCTGCCCTCCCCAGCCCCTTGCAACCACTAACCTGCTTTCTGCTTCCATGCCTTGGCCTATTCTGGATGTTCCAGATAAAAGGAACCGTACACTATGTGACCTTTTGTGTTTGACGTCTTTCACTTAACACCCTGTTTTCGAGGTTCATCCATGTTGTTGCATGTATTAGTGTTTATTTCCTTTTTATTGGTGAATAATATTCCATTGTATGAATATAACACATTTGTTTATCCACTCATCAGTTGATGGACATTTGGGTTCTTTCCACCTTTTCAGCTCTGTGAATAATGTTTCTAGGAACATTTGTGTGCAAGTTTCTGTTGGAGTACCCATTTTCGGTGATGTGGGGTATATACCTAGAAGCAGAATTCCTGGGTCACATGGTAATGCAATGTTTAAATGTGTTGAGAAACCAGCTGAACTGCCCTCCACAGTGGCTACACCATTTTCCATCCCTACTGGGAATGCATAGGGTGCCAGTGTCTCCACTTCCAGGTCAACACTTGTGATTTTGTGTTTTTGGTTGTGGCCAACCTGGTGGGTGTGAAGGGAAGCTTCATTCTTCACAAGTTCCCAGGATGGTTCGTGTAGACCTGAAAGTTGGAGAACCACCACTTTGATGAGAGCTCCTCTTTCAGTGAGTTCAGTCAGAGTCTACTGTTCCCAGGTTCTGGGACTCCCTGCAGCAGTGCCTTTGTTGGGCTGGGGAAGCCCATCAGGGAATTGGAATTGTTACTTCGTGTGCTGTTGTAATAGCGATCGGATCTTTTTTTTTTTTTTTTCATACATTTACCTCTCCCCTTTAGTAAGCACAACTGAGTAGAAAGGAACAGTTTGCCATTGACTTGTCCTGGGAAAGCCAGATCAGCACAGATGACCCACCCCCTGGTGTCCCCTGGGTGAGTTTCTGCAAAGCTCCTCTACTTGTCCATCTGAGGCTGGCCTGGAGGGCCCGTTCCAATATGAAATAGCCTTGAACTCTCCTGTTTTAATAAAATTTAATGTGGAATTTTGTATTCTACTGTGTAATATAGAGCTGGGCCTGTTTTAATTAAAAATTAAAGGATTTTACTCCAAATATTTAAGTGTATTTCAGAAACACATCAAGTTAATCCTGTGGCCCTTAGGATGAACGTGATAAACCTGAATAAAGGGACAGAGGAGTGTGAGGGGAGGAGGCCGTGTGGGGAGCACTTAATGAAAGGAATAGTATTCCTCTTTAACAATGAGGGTTTTGTTTTCTTCTTCTGGAATTTCCTCAAAATTAATCTCTAGGGTGGAACACAACATTTAGGTGATACATTGTATATGCAAGCAAAGGGAGCAAGGTCCTACTATTAATATAACTGCCTGCACTGCTTCAGAATTGTTCTAGGACATAAGCCAAGGTCCTCTTCTTCAAGTCGGCGGTCTCAGCCTTGGCCACATATCACAACCACCTGGCGAGCTTTACACGCTCTTGTTTAACAGGGTGTTCAACAAGAGCCCAGGTGAAACCCAGGCATCCCTGGTTTCTAAAGCTCCAGGTGATTCTGATGTGTAATCAGGATTGACTGCTGTGCCAGGCCATTAGACACAGCGGTGAAAAAAACGGACATAGCCCATGCCCTGATAGAGCTTACAGTCTGACTGGGGAGACCAACTCGTTAATCACATAATTGATTAATTACAACTGTGATAAATGCTGTTGCCCAGTTAAATTTCAGAGGGATGGAGACATCTTCCCAAAGCTATAGCCTGACAGATGAGTAGATGCTAATGAGAGGAGAGCTGGGAAAAGGGCATCCCAGGCAGAGGGACTGGCATGTGCAAAGGCCCTGGGGTAGAAAAGAGCTTGGTGTGTCTGAGGACTTGAAAGACAAGCTGGTTGGAGCTGTGAGCAAGGAGGGGTGGGCAGCCTGAGGCTGGGGAGCAGATGGTAGCCTGTCACCCATGTTAGCCTGTGGTGAGTCCACCTGACATGCTGTCAGTGTTTGAGCTGCTCTGATATTGGTGTGAAAGGCCCAAGCTTCTGTGCTCTGGAATGAGCAGATACACGAGGGCCTGATTAAGTGATCTGCCTATATCCCATCATGGTCTGGGCAGGATCCCCTTCCTCCAGTGCATGAAAATTATTCTTTACTCAGCCTCCATGGAGAGAGAGGAAGGGCATCAAAAGAAGGGGGAGATTGGCCGGGCGTGGTGGCTCACACCTGTAATCCCAGCACTTTGGGAGGCTGAGGCAAGTGGATCACTTGAGGTCAGGAGTTCCAGACCAGACTGGCCAATATGGCAAAACCTCCATTCTATTAAAAATACAAAAATTAGCTGGGCATGGTGGCGCATGCCTGTAATCCCAGCTACTCGAGAGGCTAGGGCAGGAGAATTGCTTGAACCTGGGAGACAGAGGTTGCAGTGAGCCGAGATCGCGCCACTGCACTCCAGCCTGGGAGACAGAGTAAGACTCTGTCTCAAAAAAAAAAAAAAAAAAAAAAAAGGAGAGATATTTGGAGAGAGAATGGGAGTTTTCCTCACGTCTGAAAAGTTTCTGGGCCTCACTTGAAAATTACATCTCCTTCTGGCATCTCCACATAGAACTCATTTGACAGAACTGTGGGTCCCTAGGTGACTGGAGCCTGGGATCTCATTGCAGTGATTCCTCTCTGCACTGTTTCTCAGATGCTCTGTAGAGCCTGTCTCACATTTAATTCCTCCCTCCTCTCCATTTTCCTGCATCCCCCTCCCCCTGTTCCTTTTTCTTCTTTTTAAAATCTGTGCCAATTTCTAATGAATTGTGGGTGGCATGGAGGGAATTCTTCACACTTCATTTGGTCCTGCTTCATAGTTTATATCCTGTGTCCCTCCCTTCCCCTGGCTGAACCCCCCGTCCTCGGTCTGGTAGATGTGAGCTGTTCTTTTCCTTTCAACGGCCTTGTGGCTGCAGAGAACCCCTCTTTGATTTGGGCTTTTAGATACTCATTTAAAGTGCTTGTTCCTGTGTATTAATTTCTTCCTTCCCTAAGACTCCTAATCTTCACTCTCCCTTAACTCAGACAGCAGTGTGGCCTGTGAGGCGGCATTTGTCACCCCCATTGTATAGAAGGGAAACTGAGGTTCTGATAGCAGCGTGGGGCTGTGGGAAGATTCTGGCCTTGCTTGGTGGCATGGTGGATGTGACAGGTCCTTGGAAAGTCACACAACCCTCCAGGGCTGCCTCTTTACTGGTCATATGGGAAGGAGATAAGATTTCTACCCCTGTAAGGAGGCAGGGTGATGGGATAAAGAGGATGGGATTTGGCCCTTAAAGCTCTGGCTCAACCACTCAGTTCTGTGGCCTTGGGCAAGGCATCAGACCTCGGCTTCCTCACTTGTAGAATGGTGATCCCTACAGCACCTCAGCAGGATGGTTGTAAGTACTAGAGGCACTGTCTGGGAAGTCCTAGCAACGTGCCTGGTCTGAATGGGATATAGTAGCTGTTCTTTGGCCTTTGGGATATAGTAGCTGTTCACCTCCCCTGCCATCTGGGATTCGGCTGTTTGTCCAAGAGGACCCTAATCATTATGGTGGAGCTGGAATTAGAACTAGAATCCAGGTCTACTGGCTTCAGGCCCTCAGCTCCTGGGAGGAGCTATCTGTAAGCACCCTGGTTTTGTGAGCTGGATAATTCTTGCTGTGGGTAGGCCTTTCTGTACACGGTAGAATGGTAGTTCTCAACTGGGAGTGATTTTGCAAGAGACAGTTGGCAATGTCTGGAGAGTTTTTTCATTGTCTCGGCTTGGGAGGGTCTACTGACTTCTAAGGGGTAGGGGCCAGGTATCTGGATTGTTCTGGGATCTCTCAGCACAGTGGTTGGGGACCTTTGAAGGCACAGACCAAGAAATAGCAAGTCATCAGAACCCCTGGTCAGCAATAGCTGACTCTGAGCCTTGCAAAGCTGCCCTGCAGCGTCAGCACCGGCTGGGAAATCCTTGTGGATTCTTGTGGATATTCACATAGAGGGAGGGGCATGATTATCCCCACTCACTGGGTATAGTGCTAGCAACAGCTGCCACTTATCCAGGGCCTATTAGGAGCAGGGGCAGCGTGCTCAGTGAGGGACCTACGCTCTCACTGATCTGCCTGTTCAGCAAGGAAGACACTGCTAAGTAACCTCATTTCACAGAAGTGGGACAAGGCCATACGGCTAGTGAGGGGCAGAGCCTAGGTCTCCTTAGCTCCAGAGCTCACATGCTATGCATGAAATTGCATGACCTTTCTTAGAAAGTAACACCCCCGTGAGGCTTCTCCAGCAATCATTTTAATAGAATGCTTATCCACATCCCTGTGTCAGCACTGGCCACCTAATTTTGCCACTGGCCAAACTGAATTTACCACTGTTGCAGAAAACAAGTAGGTAAGAATCTTAAAACTTATCATACATTGGGAGGGAGGGCAAGGGTGCCCCTATTTTGGATGTCTCATGCCAGTTTGGGAAGAGGGAGAATTTAGCAGTTAGGCACAATATGTTCCTAATTTGCCCTAGAAAACTTCTTGGGTGCTTTTGGAAAAACCTGTACATCTTCTTTTTTTTTTTTTTTTTTTTTTTTTATGAGACAGTGTCTCCCTCTGTCACCCAGGCTGGAGTGCAGTGGTGCGATCTCTGCTCACTGCAGCCTTCACCTCCCAGATTCAAGTGATCCTCTCAAGTAGCTGGGACTACAAACACAAACCACCACACCTGGCTAATTTTTGTATTTTTTTGTAGAGATGGGGTTTCACCATGTTGCCCAGGTTTTGTCTCAAACTCCTGGGCTCAAGCGATCCACCCACCTCTGCCTCCCAAAATGCTGGGATTACAGGTGGGACCCACTGTGCGCAGCCAAACCTGTACATCTTTAATGCCTGTCTTGAATACCACAGTGATTGGAGCACAGTGTGAGGTTAAGAAACAGTGCAGTCCTGATTAAGAGCCTTCTCTCCTAATTAGAGTATGCCATGCTCCATCCTGTCACAGGACCTTTGCACAGGCTACTCGGTGTACCAGCAGCACCCTTGCTCTCTATCTTTCCCCTGCTGCCCTCCCTACTTTGCTTCAGTAATTTATTCTTAGGGCTCATATTAAAGACTAATTCCTTAGGAAAGCATTTCTGCCCCATGTCCATGCTAGTCCATCTTCTGGCATATGCTATTATGCATTAGCTATGTTTCTTTAGGGGACCACTATTATAGTTATCTCTAATTTGTTAATGTTGGTTTCCTTCTTGCACTTGATTGTAAGCTCCATGAAGGTAGGGAACACACTGGTCTCACTCAGCTGTTGTATGCCAAGTGCCTTGCATTTGCCTAGTACATACTAGGCACCAGCCAACATTGGATGGGTGAATGGATGGTTAGATGAATGGATTGAACTAGTTAATTTCATTTCCTTTCCCTTAACTCCAGCCAATAATCTCTTCTTAGGGAATTGTAATTATCTGTTTATATGGTTCTCTTGAGCCTCTTTGAAGAAGAACCTGTCTTTAGAAGCCCTGAGTCTAGCTCCATGCCTGACTTACAATAGATGGCTAATAAAAGTTGGCCATATGTTGTCTAAGACAAACTCTTGCCCATAAGACAAGCAGTTCCAAGAGCTCACGCCTCTGCAGAGAGGACCCTAGAAAGTTGTTTTCATACATAGAGGGTTAGGATGGTGAATTTATTCACAGAAACGGAATGAAGTGCATTCCTGCTTCCCACCCGTGCCATGCTTAGCTCCTTGGTAAGGTCTGCTATTCAGGTTGCCAGTTACTGTACTGACTTATTTGTACATAAACAGTTATTCCCCATAACCTTCCCTTTGCCAACATTCAGAGATAATGATACACAATCTTTGTAACATTACAGATGTTGCTTCAAAAACACTCTGTTGCTATAGGAATGTTTGTGATGTGCTTATCGCTAGAATTTCATGAGCAACAAACTCCAAAATTGCAGATGATTTAACATTTGAAGCAGGGAGTTGAGAGTGTATGTGTGTTTGCATTTAAAAAAACAAAACAAACAAGGCTTTGAAAAAGGAAGTTTTCTTCTGCAGAGTTATCTTCTTCTAAAGCTTAAAATAAGAACTACTTAAAAGCAGCGAATTTAGAAGAATGAGCACTTTCTCTTAAACATTCAAATGGGTGAAAATGACTTGTAATGCCTCCCTCAAGTATTAAGGAAATAGGCAGTTAAAGGTTTTTTTTGGAGCTAGCTGTCACAGACAAAGGATTTCTCATTTAAAAAAAAATCATTTTATAGCATTAAATAGTAGGAATGCATACCAGCAGCCCTTTTGGCATCTTGAAAATGATTTATTTTCTGAAATGTCCCAGTGCATTTTAATAGATGACTCTTTGTTCTTCTCATTCAGGGAGGGAGCTTCAGGCGGGGTTGCCATAGTTAGGGTTGGGAAGTTCAGGGTGGAGGCAGACAGGGCTCCAGGAACAGCTTTCCATGAGCCTCACACTTTGTTACCTGAACACAGCAGGTGGGTGCCACCACCTATCTCCAAACAGCATGGAGCCACACTTTCCCAAAGCTCCTGCTGTGGTTCTCCTTCCCAAAGAGAGACTCTCTGAACTAACTTTTTATAGTCCAGAGAGTGAATTTGAAATCATTTTTCTTTCTAGCCTCCCTCTCTGAACATATCAGCTAGACATCTTAGGAAAGGTGTGCAATGTGGAAGTCTCTACTATAGCAATGCTGCTACTCAGCTGTGGCTCAGGAGTGGTGCTCTCTGCAAACTCTTTAGCGGTCCATGAGATAAGTTCAGAAATTGAGTCGGTGCTTAGTAACTTTCATGCCGATTTGACAGAATAATCTGTTGAATCAAAGAACTTAAAAGTGAGCTTGCACTTTGTATCAGTATCTTTTCATTTCCTTTTTCTAGCAGTTCATTTTTACTATATTTTATTAAAGTAGTCATCTCTAATGGTGTGGAAAATTTTTTAAAAACTGGTCCTTCGGCTGGGCACGGTGGCCCACGCCTGTAGTCCCAGCACTTTGGGAGGCCGAGGCGGGCAGATCATGAGGTCAGGAGTGCAAGACCAGCCTGGCCAACATGGTGAAACCCCGTCTCTACTAAAAATACAAAAATTAGCCAGGTGTGGTGGTGGGCACCTATAATCCCAGCTACTTGGGAGGCTGAGGCAGGAGAATTGCTTGAACCTGGGAGGCAGAAGTTGCAGTGAGCCAAGATCACACCATTGCACTCCAGCCTGGGCAACAGAGTGAGACTCTGTCTCAGAAAAAAACAAAACAAAACAAAACAAAACAAAACAACTGGTTCTTCATGACAAATAACTTGAGAAGCTGTATGCCAAGGCACCTGTAAGCTGCTGTAGCTCCCCCATGAGGAAAGTCAGCTGTTGAATGGATTTGGGGAATCACAGCACTTAGCAAATGATATTATAATGAAACTCAGATCTCTCTCTGTCTCTCTATATCTCTCTGTGTCTGTCTGTCTGTCTGTCTGTCTCTCTCTCTCTCTCTGTTTCCTAAGTGTAGAGACTGCATCCAGTTCATCTCCATGGCCTCATTCCTCAGTGCCCTGCCTGGCACATTGCAGGCCTTTGGAAATGTTTGTTGAATGCATGCCTGTCTGCTTCCTCATTACCTAAGAGTAGGTGAGGACAGCCTCGGGAATTTCCCTGGGATTTCTGGTAGTGTCTTCTGCAGGATGGTGATGAAGAGCTAGGAGCAAATGATGAGGAAATGACCTTTCCTTTTTCTTTTCCCCACAGGACCAGGCCTCCTCTTCCCACCTGTCCAGCAGCATGAAAGCAGCATGATTGGCCGACCGCAGGAGAAGCCCCCAGAACCAGGCCCCCAACTCAGCCATCTGCGGAGGTCAAGGTGAGCTTGCTTTCCTTCTTCTGGAAGGCTGAGGAATTTTCATTTTCATTTTAACACTTTCTGTATGCATTTGTAATCCCTTGCTATGTGCTAGAAGAATGAGGTTTCCTGGGATGAGGGTAGACTTAGAAAGTGCATGTCACTTTACAGATTAAAGTGTGCTCATTTTGGTTAAAGGAGAGGCTGATATGGAGCAGAAAGGACTGAGTTGAGTGTCTAGAATGGAGCTCTTATTATTCTTCCACCACCTCCTGAATCTGGGACCTTGGACAGGTCTTACAGGATGGGGTATCCAGGGAATTTTGAATGAAAAAATCTCTGAGACAGGATAGAATGGGAAAGATTACTCAGTCCACGACCTGAGAGTCCCAGTACCTGCTAGACAGACTTCTGTCCCACACAGAGTCATAAGGGGCCTTAGATGATCAGTCAGGCCAGTTTCCAGCCAGTGTTGGACAGTTAGTTGTTAGTTCTGTCTGCTGGTCTCTGCTCTGCCATTAGGAACCACAAAGACTTGGCTTTCAAAGACTCTTCCACATGCCTCTCTCACTGGGTTTGAAGATTTGAAGATTTGGCTGTCATGACTCCGTCTTTCTTTTTTTGGTATAAATTCTCCCTAGAGACTGGTGCCAGTCACCTTGTCCTCTCGTCCCCTCTGTGTTGGAAAGGGCTTTAGTTACCTCCAGCGTCTGCCTTGCTGGTTGCTCATGCAACCTGCACCATCTTCAGTAGAGAATCATTCATTCACCATTCGTTCTTCAGTGGCTATTTACAGCCTCCTTTGTGACAGGCACTGTGCTAGACTCTGGAGATATATCAATGAAGAAGAAAGACAGGGTCTCTGTCTTTTAAGACAAAATAGGTTTAGATCCTTAGAGTTTGAAATATGCATTGAACTACTTCCGTGGGCTCCTTTTTTACATTTTTATCTCTGCAACTTTTTTTCTTAAATGTCCCATAAGTGCTTCAAAAAACATCTTTAAATATTGGATATAGTTTTCTATATATCATCATTGAAAGATAAGTTAGCTTATTGTGCAGCTCAAATCATCTATAATATGTTCTTTTCTGATTTTGTCTGATTATCTATCAATTATTGAGAGAGGTGTGTTAAAGCCTCCCACTGGATTTGTCAGTTGCTCCTTGCAATGCTGAAATTGTTGCTTTATATGTTTTGAGGCAATACTGTTTGGTGCATAGATGTTTAGAACTGGTGTATTTTATTGATGAATTGGGATTTATTTCTACCATCTTTACATGCATTTAATTTTTTCTGCTCTTTCTTTTAGGTTGAGGTATTTTCCCCCCTCATTTCATTTTCCATCTTCTTATTTGTAACTTGCATACTCTATGTCTGTTATTTCTGGGGTTACCCAGCTAGCTACCTGGATAGATGATAGATAGATAGATAGATAGATAGATAGATAGATAGATAGAAAAAAACAGACTCTATGTGTGTTTTTTCAGGGGTTATCCAGCTAGCTAGATATATATATATATGTAGATAGATAGATAGATAGAGACAGACAGACAGACAGACAGATAGATAGATAGATATTTTTAGAGACAGGGTCTTGCTCTCTTGCCCAGGCTAGCTTCAAACTCCTGGGCTCAAATGATACTCTCACCTCCTCCTCCCGAGGAGCTACCTTAGCTTTTTTTGTTTGTTTGTTTTTTGTTTTGTTTCGTTTTGTTTTTGAGACGGAATCTCTCTCTGTTTCCCAGTCTGAAGTACAGTGACACAATCTTGGCTCCCTGCAACCTGCACCTCCTGGGCTCAAGCAGTTCTCCTGCCTGAGTCTCCTGAGTAGCTGGGACTACAGGCGTCTGCTACCACGCCTGGCTAATTTTTGTATTTTTAGTAGAGATGGGATTTCACCATGTTGGCCAGGCTGGTCTCAAATTCCTGACCTCAGGTGATCCACCCGTCTCGGCCTCCCAAAGTGCTGGGATTACAGGCATGAGCCACCGTGCCCCACCAATTTTTGTATTTTAAGTAGAAACAGGGTTTTACCCTGTTGGCCAGGCTGGTCTCGAACTCCTGACCTCCAGTGATCCACCCACTTCAGCCTCCCAAAGTGCTGGCATTACAGGCGTGAGCCACCACCCTCAACCTATTTTACGTTTTCATCTCTTTGTCTCTCTGTGCTGAACTCTGAATAATTTATTCAAATCTATCTTCTGGCCGGGGGAATAGCTCATACCTGTAATCCCAGCACTTTGGGAGGCCTTGGTGGGTGGATCACCTGAAGTCAGAAGTTCAAGACCAGCCTGGCCAACATGGTGAAACCCCATCTCTACTAAAAATAAAAAAATTGGCCAGGTGTGGTGGCGCGCACCTATAATCCCAGCTACTCTGGAGGCTGAGGCACAAGAATCACTTGAACCCTGGAGGTGGAGGTTGCTGTGAGTTGAGACCATACCACTGCACTCCAGCCTGGGTGACAGAGCCAGACTTTGTCTCAAAAAAAACAAAAACAAAAACAAAAACAAAAAAAAACAACAACTATCTTCTATTTAACTAATTTATTATGTGTCTAAAATGCTCTTTAACCCATTCATTGGATTTTTTCTTTTTGCTTTATTTATTTGTCATTTCTAGAAGTTCTGCTTGGTGATTTTTCTGGTCTCTCATTTCTTGCTCATATTTGAAGATGTTTATTTCTTTAAAATATTAAATTTGCTATTTAGAAATTTTATAATTTTGTGTCTTGTAATTCCCAAATCTGAAGTTCTTGCAGGTCTGGTTCTGCCACTTGTTGTTTCTGCTGGCTGGTATTCATAATGCCTTGTTTCCTGTGAATTGCTCATTTTTTCTTGGCACTTTATCTTAGGGAATTATCTGAGGTGTGGGTTGAGTTGTCTTTTCCAGAGAGGATTTGGTTAACTTCTGCTGGTTGTCTGGTGGGCATTACCAACAAAAATCACTTTAAATTAATTTTCTAGTTAAGGCTTTTCTGGCTACCCAAGTAATATAATTCAGGCTACAAACCTGTGTGAAGTCCAGCTATGGTTACACATTTTCAGCAGAGAGATTTTCCCCCCATTCTGCTCAGCCCTTGCAAGGTCCAGTTTTCTTGCAGTCTCTGTGTTGTGCATTTACTTCTCATTCACCAAGTCGAATGAATTTTGTGGAGTGGAGCCATTTGAAGTCCCAACTTTGTGGAGGGGTCTCCCTAGGCTCTTAACCCTGTGCTGCTGTCATTGGGAAACTTAGAATCTCCAGGTTTCAGCAGAAACCCTCAGGGCAAAAGCCAGCTTTGATGCCAGCTCACCTTCCAAGGTTCCTGCTTTGGGTTTGTTTTGGTCTTTTCATTTGTACTATCTCAGCAATGTGTATTCAGTCTTTATATCTAAAATTGTATCCAGCATATTAGTTCTTTCCATTAGGAGGGGCAAGTAAGGTATCCGGTCTGCCATATTGCCAAAAGTATATCTTTTTCTTCTCCACAATAGTCAGGAGGGCAGGAATTTCTATTTCTTCACAGAAGAGTGACCTGAAGCTCAGAGAGGGTGTAGCCATAGGCCTAGCAGGTGAAAGGCTGGGAGAGAATATGTCCCTCTCCTCTCCTCTCTCCCCACGATAACTGTTGACCATTGGCAAGGACAAACTTTAGTCCCACAAAGAATATGAGTTGCTACCAAAATGTTTTAACTAGCTGAACAGCTTTGTACAATTTGTTTATGAATCTATTGTTTATCTTCCTTGAGGGAGGAAATGGCTTCTCCATATTTTGTGGCTTGTTTGTCTGGCAGTCACCAGCAGCCCTCCTGCTTCATTCCCATTCTGCAAAAAGTCTCCTGAACCTGAAGCCAGATCCCGTGGGCTTCTCATCCAGACCTTGGCTTCCTTTCCTCCTTATGCTACTCTCTCCTTCTCACCTTCTTCCCTTCCCTCTGCCTCTTTTTCCTTTTCCCCTCTCCCCATCCTTCCTGCGATTGGTTTTTCTTTTTCATGGTGGCGTGCCTTTCATTGGAGGGGAGTCTACAGAGCACAGTGGTTTGGCTTTTGGGCTTTGAGGGGCAGGGAGAAAGAGCTGAGTTTGAACCTACCTCTGCCACTTAACAGCTGAATCTCTCTGAGCTTCCGTTTCTTCATTGGTCACATGGGGACAGTGGATAGAGCTATTCAAGGACTTAATGAAATGATGCCTGTAGAGCTTGTAACACAGAGCTTGGATATCATCAGTGCTTGGTCAGTGGTGGTTCATATAACTATGACTGAGAACAGACCACTTCAAGGCCAGTGTTCTTGTTGGTGATGCTTTTAAATTGACAAAGCCAGTTTATAAAATGAGATTAAAATGGAGGCAGAAATCTAATGTAAATGTGGGAATCCCAGCCTCTTTATGATGTTCTTTGAACTGGGGTGTTTTTAAAAATAATCTGAGGGAAGATAGAACGCACTGGTCTGGCCAGTGTTTGTGGAAGATGTAAACCAGGGGTTCTGAAAATGGGGCCTAGACCTCCACACTCCATATCTTGGCCCTCCCGCTGAGCTGTGCCCTGTGTCCTGGTGCCGTGGTGGGGCTGGGGCTGCGTGGACTCACTGTGGAGGTTTCCCTTGCAGGGCCCCCAGATCAAGGGATGGCATTACTGCTCTGAGGACACATTTTCAGCAGTGATGGGGCTGGGGGAGAAGGGTCGTGAATGTCCTTTAGCTCTATTCTTATAGCTGGCATGAGACTTCACTTTTCACGCCCTCTTGTAATAAATGGCTTTATATTACACCTAGACATGTGTCGTTTCCTGATTTGATATCTATCAGGCAACAAGTCTTTTTTTCAAAGCCTGCTATTTATAGTGACTCTGGGCTTTGTATAGTGGGCAAGTACTATAAAAGAATGCATAAAGTTGCTGTGAATCTAAAACTACTCTAAAATTAAAGTCTATTCATCACAAGAGGACTTTGTAACCAAAAAAAATGCATAAAGTCTAAAACATCTTCATAAGATTGTTAGGTACTCAGAGTGGATATCCAAGAGGGAAAAACACGATGCCCTTCAATGGTCAGGGAGGGCTTCCTGGATGAGGCTGGATGATGATTTGAGCTGGTCTTATGGGGCAGCCAAGGTGAGGCTGCTGGAGAAGGAGCCTCATGCATCCTGGGTGTAGAAGTGGTAGGAACTGGGGTTTAGAAAGCCCCACAGATGGCCTTTGTGGTCCCTCTTGGAGCACCATCTCCCATTATCAAAAGCCCTCAGAAGTCCTGCGGCTAACATTTGACACCAGATTTCCCAAGTGTGTTTGACCACTCATAGCTGATGAACATGGAGGTCTTGAATGGGTTTCCACATGGCTTCTGTCTCTCTGACTAATGCTTCAGCTCATCTGGGCTACCACCTCACTTCTGTAAAACAGGGATTGGCAACTTTAAAAGTTCAGCCTCTTGGGAGCACCAAAAAATTATTTGAAGTTCACCTCTTATCTTTTTCCAGGCATTGCTCAAATATTTAGAAGGGTGAAGGTTTCTAGGGGGACTAAGCAGGGACATTGTTAGAGTTAGGGAGGGGGCTTCTTTGTTATCCCAGTCTCCCAAGATGATTGGACATTTCCAGCCCAGCCGAGTGGCCAAGCCTGTTTGCATGGAGTTAAATGCCCAGCCCCACCCCACCCCTTGTTCCCACCAGCAAACCTCAAAGTCTATTAACAGCCTCTGTCCTGATCATGATTCATCCTTCCTGCCCCTTCTGTATTCTGGTTACTCAGAGCCGTGAGCCAAGGTTGATTACTAATGCCATCCAACTGACCTTGCCCATGGAGAGCTTACCTGGTAGATTAAACATTCTTCATCAGATGACACCTCAGGTTGGGTTCTGTTTGTCAGCTAGCTCTGTACATTGCAACAATGGATTGTCCTAGATGCAGACGGAGACCCTTTTCAGGACCAGGAAGTCAGGGGACACATTATCTGAGGAGTTTGGGGTGCCAGGGTTATTGCGGGTATAGAGACAGGAGGTGCCCCAGGCCAAGAGCTCCTGTGCTTAAAGAGCCACATAAAAGTGGTGGAAATATGCTCTACATCAAATCTTCACGTGCTGCCCTGGAGATTGGCCGTTGGCTCCTTCTCACCATTGGTGGAACCTTTCTAAAAACATTTCATTATATTATTATACCAGTCATAGCCATTATTCTATTTTTTTTAATTGCAACATTAAGGCCGGGCGCGGTGGCTCATGCCTGTAATCCTAGCACTTTGGGAGGCTGAGGCGAGCGGATCATGAGACCGGGAGTTCGAGACCAGCCTGGCCAATATGGTGAAACCCTGTCTCTACTAAAATACAAAAAAAAATTAGCCGGGCGTGGTGGCGCACGCCTGTAATCCCAGCTACTCAGGAAGCTGAGGCAGAATTGCTTGAACCCAGGAAGCGGAGGTTGCAGTGAGCTGAGATTGCACCACTGCACTCCAGCCCAGGAGACAGAGCGAGACTCCGTCTCAAAAAAAAAAAAAAAAAAATTACATTATAGCTAGAGCTACCCCTACTTCTTACCCCTAATTCCTACCCCTACTCACTCTCTTCTCTTTTCCAAAAGATGGCAGAACTGAGACTGCAATCCAGACATCCTGACTTCTAGCATTGTTTCCCCAAAGGGCTCAGATCCTTAGGGATCAGGTGTCATTGGTGGGAAACCCTAGTATCTCAATATCCTGATATCCTGGCCCAAGATTGTTCAGTGTCCTGGGACAGGCCAGGCAGGGTCTCAGGGGATTCGTCCAACAGAGGCTTGGAGCTCCTCAGGTCCAACTTTATTCTGCAGAAGGTGAGTCTGAGGTGCAAGGAGGGGAAGTCATTTGCCCAACCAGGTCACAGGGCACATCTCTCTTTCTGTTTGGTCCGGGTTATCTTTATATTGGGTTTGCATTTCCTGAATACACAGCAACAGGGTGGGGGGTGGGTGGAGGACAGGGGAAGTGGGCTTAAAAGAACCCCATCTGAAAATGTTTAGATTTCCTGTGACTGTCCCGTGAAGAGGGAGATAATCTGTGTTCACGGAACTAAGAGGAGAGGGAGAGACTTGGTTCAGGTCCAGGAGGCCAAGAGTGGAGAGAAAAAGGAGGACAACATGAGAGCTATTCAGAGAAAGCTGTGACATTTTTATGGATGAAATAGAAACAAATAGGAGTTTGTTTCTTTGCACTTCAGTGATGTCTTCTTGTTTGTATTTTTGGACAACACTCAAGCCATGTGGAGGCTCTGGCCTCGTTCTAGTAGCAGTGGTTTGTGGTCTTTGGAGGCTCTTTGGCCTGGGACCGGGCGCCTTTGGTTCTCATCTCCCTTGAGTTGGCTTCTACCAGGATGTGTGATCCTTTGGAACTCTCTCTTCCTCCCTCGGAGCTTCCATAGCTTATCTCAAGGTGGAAATAAAACCTCCTGCTGGGCCTGCCTCACAGAGAAATAATGGGTATGAGAGTGTCCCCCACAAACTGTCAGGGTTAGATTGGCCTCGTTTTTTCTTTTTCCACGTCTGTGAGGCTGGCATGAGCTCTGAGGGAGTCAGGAGCTTCCACCAGGGAAGGCCCATGTGCCCATCAGATCAGGTGGCACATGTGGCCACAGAGGCCACTCCAGACCCGATTTCCTGGGACAGCCCTTCCAGGCAGTGTGTCCCCAGTTCCTTAAAGGGGGATGTCATTTAAGCAGGAAAGGCTGTAACTAAAAGTAAGGAAATGGTATATACGGACAGAGTTACTACCAATTTTCTGGAATTGGAGAGCTGGGTACCCTCTTGAAACAGAAAACGAAGTAGAATATCACTTTATCTGGTATCATAGAGGAACTGAAATGACTCCAGCTAACAGGGCCCACCCCTTCTAACTTTTTTAGGTGGTGATACCAGGTAAAGTGATATTCTACTGGATACAATTAAGCTTTAGATTGCCACTAAATAATTGCGTCTCATTTCCTCTTCGGGGGTCTTGAACTGCTTGAGAGCCATATCCCAGAAAGTAGAAAACCACCTTCGTTACCAGTAACACCAAATTAGAGAACTCAGCCTGACCCGTGGCCACACCAATTCCCTCTTTTGCACCCCTTGAATTGCACTGACCAGTGTAGACTTGTAGGCCTCTCTCTCTCGGACTTCCTGCAAGGATGAGCCAGTCATGTGCATGTTTGCATTCTGTTTCCTGCTGTCAGTGAACAATTCTACTGAACGAACTATGGCCTTTCCTTGATGTCTCTGGATCATCATTGTGGATAAAATGAATGTGCCCTGGACACAGGTGCTTTCAGGGGATGTTAGAGTAAGCAAGGTCATTGGTCCCTATCCCAAAGGGCCCAGGCTGCCCTTCTCTCTTCCCTCCTGCGTCCACTCCTGGCAATTTCTGCCCCTGAGCAACATTCTGCTGATTGAAACAAAAGGAGGGCTGAAGGTTGTCCAGGAAACAAATAACCAAACCAACTCAATCATGCCTGAGTCATTGAGCCTGGTCTAAACTGTAACCCACGTCAAAACAAAACAACAGAAACCCCACCCCAGGCAATGAGACTGCTCGAGTCCTCCCTGGGAGCACATGTGTCCTGTACCTTCTCTTGTTTAATCTTCTCAGAAACCCAGAACAGTAGGTATTATTATTACTGTTTTACAGATGTCAAAATTGAGGCTCAAAAGCGAAGTTAGATAGGCCTGCTGGAGGGACTCACTATGCCAGTGGAACGTTGAGATTTGAACCCCAATCTTTGACTCCAGAAGCAGTGCTCTTGGTGTTTCCATGAGGAAAATATTTGTCATCTAATCCATTTGTTTCTCTCCAATGAGATATTCCTGATGAGTAAAAACTTGTCCAGACAGGGCCGGGCGCAGTGTCTTATGCCTGTAATCCCAGCACTTTGGGAGGCCGAGGCGGGTGGATCATGAGGTCAGGAGATCGAGACCATCCTGGCTAACATGGTGAAACCCCGTCTCTACTAAAAAATACACACACAAAAAAAAAAAACAGCCGGGCGTGGTGGCAGGCGCCTGTAGTCCCAGCTACTTGGGAGGCTGAGGCAGGAGAATGGCGTGAACCCAGGAGGCAGAGCTTGCAGTGAGCCGAGATTGTGCCACTGCACTCCAGCCTGGGTGACAGAGCGAAACTCCATCTCAAAAACAAACAAACAAACAACAAAAACGAAACAAAACAAAACAAAAAACTTGTCCAGATAACTGGAGCTTTTAAGCCTAGAACCTTTTTTTTTTTTTTTTAGTGTAAAGTGCATCAGCTTCTTTTTCACACTTCCAAGTTCATGGCTAAACACTAGAGCGTTGAAGTTTGCTAGGAGCTGACAGCCAGATTCATGGGACGTGCCTGTACTACGGCATAGACTTTCTCTCCTTGGCCCTTCAAAAACCAGTGATAAAAGCTGGAAGGATCCTGCAAGGAGGAAGTAGCTTCATGCTGAACAGATCTGCAATGGGAGGACAAGAGGCACCGCAGAGTATCAGAGGGTTGGGGGCTTAGCCCTTCATCACCAATCATGCAACCTTGGGAAGTTCATCCCCTGCATGTTAATTTCCTCCTTTCAAACAGAGAAGACAGTTCTGACCTCATAGGTTTGTTGTGACCTCACAGAACAAAATAGTATATGTCCATTCTTTTTGCAATATTTTCAAGAATGTTATTATGAAATATTTTCTAGAATGTTATTATTGGCCATGAGGACATGCACACCCTTTCACGAATTCTTTGGTGTCCTTCTCAGCGACTTTACACCGGGCCAGAGGGTTCGTGACTGTGGCCCAGGGAGACTGGTCTCCAAGCCGGGAGCTCCACTGATGTCAAGCAAACACACCATGTGGTCACTGGAGCAGGCCACCCCACATCCCAGCACTGATTTCCCCATCCCAGGGCTGTTAAAGAGATGCAATTATGAGCTTTTTACTCTTCTGTTCAAAAAAAAAAAAAAAAAAAAAAAGGAAAGAAATGGAAAAAAGGATAAATTAATTTTCTCTAACCTGTGGCTTTTTTTTTCCTTCTTCTCTCCTTGCTGTGAGATTGCCACTTAACTTTTTTTTAATTAAAAAAAATGATGTTCTGGGTGATGGGACATAATATTTAGACATGTTGAGCTGACAGTTGATGAGTGTGTTGTCAATACACCATCACCACAAATCATGTTCCCAGGGTTGATCAGAAGGAGATTTGTGTGCAAATGCATGTGTGTGCTCACACACTTGGATGATTTAGAGTGATTTAGAGCAACTTCTCAAAAGCAGTTGCTGGGGAGGGCTGGCCACAGGCGAGGGGCAGCTGACTAGGGCAAGAGGAAGAAATCGGCTTCTGTTGTGAATTGAGGTGATTGGCTCTGAGTTTACTGTGGAAGCAAAAGTCGCGACGTCCTCCCTCCCTCCCTGCCTTCCTCTGTCATGTTCTTAGCACCCAGTGGGTGCCAGGTATTCTGCTGACCATGAGGCACTCCTTAGAAGCAGTCCTAGTTTGATGGAGGAGACAAAAGAAACAGTTTGAAGCGGTGTGCTGACTGGTGTGAGGAAGACATGACCCCTGAGCGCTGGGCCCATGTTCACCGGCGTGCTGGCCGCCCTTCTTCATGTTCTTGCCTTCAGTGACTGCCTGTTCTCAGGGGCCTCACAAACCTCTCTGGGCCTTGGAACCTCGGTCCAGCTGCCACGGTGACAGCTCCTGTTGAGGTCTCCATGTGAAACAGCTCTCCCAGTGCTCCACGCTTCATAGATGTGAACCTGACATCTAGGTCACATCTGACTCCTCCTCCTGTACCCCCATAAGTCCCTTCTATCATTAATCCTGTCAGGTTCACCCCAAAACACCCCTCCGTCACCCTCATCCAAGCTATCTGGCCTGGACCATGGCAAACCTAAGTTGCCCCATGTCCTCATTCACCTTCCTCCAGTCCATTGTCTGCACTGGGGGTCAGCAAACTACAGTCCAGGGGCCAAATCTAGCCACTGCCTGTCGATTTCACACAGTCCTTGAGCTGCTTTTACAGATGAGCATTTGATGATATGGGAACACTGACTTTCCTTCTCTTTGAAGGGGAAGTGTTCTCTCTCCAAAAAACAATCCTATTCTTCTCATTAGATGATCAGTATTACAAAAATTTACACTCACTCAATTATCATTATATTTTCAGTGTTCTCAAAAATGTGTAGAATTTTCTTTCTTATTATGTAAGTCCTACATAATAGCCTGTATTTGCCTCTTGGCAGCAAAGCCCGGAATATGTATCATCTGGCCTTGAACAGAAGAACTTAGCTCACCCTTGATCTACACTGTGGCCAGAGCAAGGTTTTTTTGTTGTTGCTGGGTTGTGTTTTTTTTTGTTTTTTTTTTGTTTGTTTGTTTTTTTTGAGACAGAGTCTCACTCTGTCACCCAGGCTGGGCTGGAGCGCAGTGGCATGATAACGGCTCACTGCAGTCTCCGCCTCCTGGGTTCAAGCAATTCTTGTGCCTCAGCCTCCTGAGTAGCTGGAATTACAGGTATGTGCCACCACACCCAGCTCATTTTTTTGTATTTTTAGTAGAGATGGGGTTTCACCATGTTGGCCAGGTTGATCTTGAACTCTCGACCTCAAATGATCCACCTGCCTTGGCCTCCCAAAGTGCTGGGATTACAGGCATGAGCCACCACACCCGGCCCAGAGCAAACTTTCAAAATAGAAATATGATCAGTTACATGTGCTTTGACACACACACACACACACACACACACACACACACACACACAGAGTTCAAGATACTTTAATGGTTTCCCCTGCTCTTCAGGGGAGCCATTAAGATGAGGATCCTTAGCCTCAAGAGGCTTGGATGGTCTTGCCCTTGCCCCCTGTCCAGTTTCATCACTGTGTTCCTTTTTCCTCCATTTCAGCCACACTGGCCTTCTTTTAGTTCTTTACATCCACCTTGTTCCCACCTGCCACAGAGCCTTTGCCCATCTGTCCTTGACGCTATCTGGAATACAGTTTTCTGCACCCTATTTCCCCTCCCTATGTCCTTCTCATCTTTAGATCACAGCATCACTGTGACTTTCTCAGAGGATCCTTCCCTGACTTTTCTGCCAAGGTCACAACCCCGTCTCTCTCTCTTTTTTTTTTTTTTTTTTTTTTGGTTTTGAGATGGAGTTTCGCTCTTGTTGCCCAGGCTGGAGTGCAATGGAGCCATCTTGGCTCACGGCAACCTCCACCTCCTGGATTCAAGCGATTCTCCTGCCTCAGCCTCCCGAGTAGCTGAGATTACAGGCAAGTGCCAGCACGCCCGGCTAATGATGTATTTTTAGTAGAGATGGGGTTTCACCATGTTGGCCAGGCTGGTCTCAAACTCCTGACCTCAGGTGACCTGCCCACCTCGGCCTCCCAAAGTGCTGGGATTACAGGAGTAAGCCACGGTGCCCGGCCCTCGGCCCTATCTTATAGCTCCTCATGACAGGTGTAAAATTATACTTGTCTCTGGCTGACATGCACACACCCAGACTGCAAGCCCTATATAACTGACACTGTCTCTGTTCCCACCTCCATTACATCTACTGTACCTGGTATAGAGTGAGCATGCAATAAATGTTTTGTTATGATGAGTGGCTGAGGATCAGGGAAGGGAAGACTTCGTGAAAGACATTAGGTTTGAACAGGAACTTGTAGGCTGAGAAGGTGGAGAATGGGAAAAAGAGCTGTCAAGCAGAAGGACCAGCATTATGGAAACTTTGTGTGGCTTCATAGGACAGGTGCTCAGGGTGTATCTGAGTGGGTGGGGAAATCACTGGAAGGGTGAATGAGACCAGATTGTGAGGGCTTTCTGTGCCCAGCTGAGCTGTTTGGACACTTACCTGTTGGCAGAGGGAGCATTGGAGGTTTTAAGGAGAGGGTGGTGTGTCAGGGCTGGAGGGGGTGAGACCCGACCAGAGGAGCATGGATTAGGCAATGAGAGAAGATGGCCAGGGAAAGGCTGTGCAGGAGAAGTGGGCAGGAATTGATCATCTCTTGGAAGTGAGTGGGAATGGGGAGGTGGTGGGCCCCTGGGGTCCCAGTTTCTGATTCAGGATCCTGGGTAAAGGGTCTCCAGTTGTTTCAGTTAAGTGAAGAGAAAGGAGTTAGGGCAGGGGGGACGTGTGAAAGTTTGTTTGGCGGGAGGAGGTGGAGAGAGCAAAGGCCGGTAGCCCCCATTCTCTGTGAAGCAGGGGTCAGGGTCGTCTGCTGAGACAGAGGCCTTTCGGCTTCAGATCATGGACTTGGGCCTCTTCCTCCTTTAGGAGCAGAGGGTTTCCACATCGTCTCTAAACAGTCGAGGGATTCGCCTCAGCCTGGGGCACTGGGAGCCAACTGAGGATTTAATCCCAGACACTTTAGGAGATCTTACAGACCTGCCCTTCCCCATCCTTTTCTTTTTTTTTTTTTTATTATACTTTAAGTTTTAGGGTACATGTGCACATTGTGCAGGTTAGTTACATATGTGTACATGTGCCATGCTGGTGCGCTGCACCCACTAACTCGTCATCTAGCATTAGGTATATCTCCCGATGCTATCCCTCCCCCCTCCCCCCACCCCACAACAGTCCCCAGAGTGTGATATTCCCCTTCCTGTGTCCATGTGATCTCATTGTTCAATTCCCACCTATGAGTGAGAATATGCGGCGTTTGTTTTTTTGTTCTTGCGATAGTTTACTGAGAATGATGATTTCCAATTTCATCCATGTCCCTACAAAGGACATGAACTCATCATTTTTTATGGCTGCATAGTATTCCATGGTGTATATGTGCCACATTTTCTTAATCCAGTCTATCATTGTTGGACATTTGGGTTGGTTCCAAGTCTTTGCTATTGTGAATAATGCCGCAATAAACATACGTGTGCATGTGTCTTTATAGCAGCATGATTTATAGTCCTTTGGGTATATACCCAGTAATGGGATTGCTGGGTCAAATGGTATTTCCAGTTCTAGATCCCTGAGGAATCGCCACACTGACTTCCACAATGGTTGAACTAGTTTACAGTCCCACCAACAGTGTAAAAGTGTTCCTATTTCTCCACATCCTCTCCAGCACCTGTTGTTTCCTGACTTTTTAATGATTGCCATTCTAACTGGTGTGAGATGGTATCTCATTGTGGTTTTGATTTGCATTTCTCTGATGGCCAGTGATGATGAGCGTTTTTTCATGTGTTTTTTGGCTGCATAAATGTCTTCTTTTGAGAAGTGTCTGTTCATGTCCTTCGCCCACTTTTTGATGGGGTTGTTTGTTTTTTTCTTGTAAATTTGTTTGAGTTCATTGTAGATTCTGGATATTAGCCCTTTGTCAGATGAGTAGGTTGCAAGAATTTTCTCCCATTTTGTGTGTTGCCTGTTCACTCTGATGGTAGTTTCTTTTGCTGTGCAGAAGCTCTTTAGTTTAATTAGATCCCATTTGTCAATTTTGGCTTTGGTTGTCATTGCTTTTGGTGTTTTAGACATGAAGTCCTTGCCCATGCCTATGTCCTCAATGGTAATGCCTAGGTTTTCTTCTAGGGTTTTTATGGTTTTAGGTCTAACGTTTAAGTCTTTAATCCATCTTGAATTGATTTTTGTATAAGGTGTAAGGAAGGGATCCAGTTTCAGCTTTCTACATATGGCTAGCCAGTTTTCCCAGCACCATTTATTAAATAGGGAATCCTTTTAATTGCTTGTTTTTCTCAGGTTTGTCAAAGATCAGATAGTTGTAGATATGCGGCGTTATTTCTGAGGGCTCTGTTCTGTTCCATTGATCTATATCTCTGTTTTGGTACCAGTACCATGCTGTTTTGGTTACTGTAGCCTTGTAGTATAGTTTGAAGTCAGGTAATGTGATGCCTCCAGCTTTGTTCTTTTGGCTTAGGATTGACTTGGCGATGCGGGCTCTTTTTTGGTTCCATATGAACTTTAAAGTAGTTTTTTCCAATTCTGTGAAGAAAGTCATTGGTAGCTTGATGGGGATGATTTATCTCAATAGATGCAGAAAAAGCCTTTGACAAAATTCAACAACCCTTCATGCTAAAAACTCTCAATAAATTAGGTATTGATGGGACGTATTTCAAAATAATAAGAGCTATCTATGACAAACCCACAGCCAATATCATACTGAATGGGCAAAAACTGGAAGCATTCCCTTTGAAAACTGGCACAAGACAGGGATGCCCTCTCTCACCACTCCTATTCAACATAGTGTTGGAAGTTCTGACCAGGGCAATTAGGCAGGAGAAGGAAATAAAGAGTATTCAATTAGGAAAAGAGGAAGTCAAATTGTCCCTGTTTGCAGACGACATGATTGTATATCTAGAAAACCCCATTGTCTCAGCCCAAAAACTCCTTAAGCTGATAAGCAACTTCAGCAAAGTCTCAGGATACAAAATCAATGTACAAAAATCACAAGCATTCTTATACACCAACAACAGACAAACAGAGAGCCAAATCATGAGTGAACTCCCATTCAGAATTGCTTCAAAGAGAATAAAATACCTAGGAATCCAACTTACAAGGGATGTGAAGGACCTCTTCAAGGAGAACTACAAACCACTGCTCAAGGAAATAAAAGAGGATACAAACAAATGGAAGAACATTTCATGCTCATGGGTAGGAAGAACTCAATATCGTGAAAATGGCCATACTGCTCAAGGTAATTTACAGATTCAACCCCATCCCTTTCTTAAACCGTGAAGTCTAAATGTCAGCTTTGTCAGAAATCTTACCTTGAGGACCTTTGAAAAAAAAAAGGTCTGCTTACTTCAGAAAATGTTTTCAGAGTGCCTGCCCCATGACAGCTTGGCTCTGAGCACCACAGGGACCCCAGCGCTCTGCCTGAGGAGCATGTGCCTGACCTGTACACACTTACCTGACATTTGAATGCATGAAACACAATGTCAGACGGCATAGTTCAGAGACATCTAGCATGCTCCTCATGTTAAAGTTAGCAAGTCACACTCACACGCAGGTGGAACTGTCTTTAACCAGCCTCTACATAACTGAGTGGCAGCTGGCCTTCTCCACAACTTGCCCTAAACAGAGCACCCACTCCCACAAATGTAGTCACGGGCTGTGTTGGTCCTCAAACCTGCTTATGCCAGTTGTCCTTGTTATTGTAATTATGTAAATTAGTTAAATGTGATCTAAGCCAATGAACTATGAATGCAAAAAAGAAAGAGAAGTGCTATTTCAGTGAAAAGTAAGAGTCACCTTGTTCTACCTCAGCTGAGAATGTGTGACAGGCGACACATTTTTCACTGTTGAATGCTTTGGAAAGAAGTGATAAAAGCAAGCCACCAAAAGAGAATTGCTGCCAAATTAGGTGTGAGCAAGACAACTATTAAAGACTGGCACTGTGGTGCCGTGGCTCACGCCTGTGATCCCAACACTTTGGGAGGCCAAGGCATGAGGATTGCTTGAGGCCAGGAGTTCAAGACCAGCCTGGGAAACAGCGACACCCTGTCTCTACAAAAAAAAAAAAAAAAATTAAAAATTATAAAGATTGACACTAGAGGGAGAAGAAAATAAAAGCGTGTCAGAGGATGCTGCACTACAATTCCTTTACCAGGATTCTCTACTTCTGGCTCCTTTTTAAAGAAACCAAACTGAAAAAGTATAGATTATGCATCATCAGTGGTTTATGCACAAATGATAAATACAGAGCTCTATTCCACAGATCTATGAGCAAAGAAAAGTTCTGGACCCTGCCTCAAAAGACCAGTAAGATATTTGTGTTTTAAGTTAAAATAAATTCATAAGGCATTAATGTACTGCAATTAAGTGCACATAAAGGTTTTTTTTGGCCAGGGTGCAGTGGCTCACACCTGTAATCCCAGCACTTTGGGAGGTCGAGGCGGGCAGATTGCCTGAGGTTGGGAGTTCGAGACCAGCCTGACCAACATGGAGAAACCCCGTCTCTACTAAAAATACAAAATTAGCCAGGCACGGTGGCGCATGCCTGTAATCCCAGCTACTCGGGAGGCTGAGGCAGGAGACTCACTTGAACCCGGGAGGTGGAGGTTGTGGTGAGCCGAGATCGTGCCATGGCACTCCAGCCTAGGCAACAAGAGCAAAACTCCATCTCAAAAAAAAAAAAAAAAAAAAAAGTTTTTTTCATATGTTATTCTATCTGGGTTTTTTTTGTAAGTAATGTATTCACATGGTTCAAAAACACAGAAAAATATAAAAAGTTATAAAATGAAAAATCTCCCTCCTGCTCTTTTCCCCAATTAGCCCAGTTTCTACCACCTCCCTGCAGACAACTATTATTAGTTTCTTGGATCCTTCCAGATTTTCTTTATGAATATATATCAATTATAAATACATAGTTGACCCTTATTATTCACAGATTCCATATTTGCAAATTCCCTACTCTCTAAACTTATTTGTAACCACAAAACCGATGCTCAGTGCTTTCTTGGTCATTTGAGGACAGGCACAGAGCAGTGAAAATTTTGAGTCGCCCGATGCATGTTCCCAAGCTGAGGTTAAACAAGGCAACTCCACCTTCTTATTTCAGCTCTCCTGCTGGACACAAGTGTGCTTTTTTGGTGTATTTAGTATGGCATTTTTCATATTTTTGTTGTTTTTGTTGTTGATTTCACTGTTTGAAATGGCCTCCAAGTGTAATGCTAAAGTGTTGCCTACTGTTCTCAGCACGAGAAGGCTGTGATGTATGTGCCTTACAGAGAAAATGGGTGAATTAGATAAGCTCCTTTCAGGCATTAGTTGTAGTACTGTTGGCTGTGAGGTCAATGTTAATGAATGAAAAAAATAGATGTTAAATAAGATATCCTTTAAGCAGACACATATAAAACAAGGTTATATACTGATCAGTTGACAAAAATGTTGCAACCAGGGGCTTGCAGGAACCTAACCCTGTATTTCTCTTAGGAGCAGTGGCTCAGTATTCACTAATTCAGTGATCATAGAGACTTTATAGGATGTAACTACCACAACTAACAAAAATCAACTATCTATATACCTACATATGTATATATTCTATTTTAACCATTTTTTACACAAAAGAGAGCATACTGAACATACTGTTCTGCATCTTTCTTTTTCACTTAACCTTGGACGTCTTTCCATTTCATTTCATAGAGAGTTTCATTGTTGTTCTTTTGGATTTTTTGTTTTGTTTTGGTTCGGTTTGTTTGTTTGTTTGTTTGGGACAGGGTCTCACTCTGTCACCCAGGCTGGAATGCAATGGCGCCATCATGGCTCACTGCAGCCTTAACCTTCTGGGCTCAATTGATGCTCCCACCTCAGCTTCCCAAGTAGCTGGGACTACAAGTGTGCACCACCACACCTGGCTGATTTTTGTATTTTTTGTAGAGACAGGGTTTCCCCATGTTGCCCAGACTGGTCTCTAACTCCTTGGCTGAAACAATCCTCCTGCCTCATCCTCCCAAAGTGCTGGGATTACAGGCATGAGCCACTGTGCCCAGTCTCCTTGTTAGTTTTAACAACTGCATAGTATCCCATCCTGCGGTTATTCCATGATTTCCTTCAATCAATCCCTTATGGTTAGGCATTTGGGTTGTTTTCAGTCTTTGGCTTTTCTAGCAATACTGCAGCATACACACTTGTCTACATGTCATTTTCTATGAGTCTCTGCTTTAACCAACTCCCTAGAAAGGGAATTCTGAGGGCAGTAGTTCAGCCTGGCCAAACTGACACATAAAAAGCATCACACCTTCCTCTACTCCTGGGTATGTATCCTAAAGAAATTCTCACAGATGTTCCTAAGGGGATGCATCTGAGAATGTTCATTGCAAGGTGTCATTGGGAGGTTGGTAAGGTAGTTAAAGGTGATGGATGCACTTACCACCATGTGGGGTTATTGGGAGGGGCTTCTGAGGGACTTGGCACTGTGCCTAGCCTGGGGTTAGCGCCCAATGCACGTTAGCCATCGTTGCTGTTCTTCCTTCCTGTTTGCGTAGCAGCATCTTAATCCAGCTCATCGATGCCACGCTGGGTGTCCCTCCTACAGCCACCCCTCTGTGACCCGCCTCCACACAGGGCTGGAGGATCCTGGCAGAGTCTGGGCACTCTTAAGCAGGCATCCTGGATGTAATTCTGGACCACCTCAGCTGGTCTGGAGAAGGGGATTGGCTCCTTCACTTTCTAATAGTTTACCATGCACACAGGGTTGATATTTGACAAACTTGTTTGCTGTGTTCCATAAACATTGAGTGAATCTGCTTTGGCCAAACACTGCTCGTGGCACAGTGGAGAGAGAGGGAGAGATTTTAAAAAACAGAGCTATTAAACACAATTCTGTTTCTATGGAACTGGATATCTAGTATTGTTTGAAAAATGAAATACCTGAGGTGACTGAGCTTGGTGGGGTAATGTTTCCAACAAACAGAAGTATGCGTGTCTGGGCCTGTAAAACCTTTAGCTAGGATTTGGTCCTCACACTCTCCCTGCAGCCCAGGCTCCGGGGCCGCATTTCTGTCTTCTTGGTTCAGCTGCAGGGGTCCCCTAGCAGCAAAGGGAAGTTGTTTTGGCAAGAAATTGGGACTGTGAGATAATGGGGGCCAGTGACCAACAGGATATCTGCCTTGAGCAAGTCCAGACAGGTTTGGGGGCTTCCCAGGGGAGCATGAAGATTGCCAGAGGAGGAGCAAACCCAGAAAGGGCAGGACCCCTCTTTATCCCCTGAGGCCTCTCAGTAACCAGAAGCCAACCTTCATCATCCCTCCCACCGTCCACATACAAAGCACCAGACAGTGGGAATCTCAGGTGAGGGGGAATTTCACTTCCAACTTTATTCCATAACACTGAATTCTTAGAAGCATTTATGAATTAAAACATACTGTTTTTCTTCATCGTGGCATGCTGTGATTTGGAACAAGTTTGGAACCAGGTCCTCCTGACAGACTTTCTCTGCAGCTCCCATGGACTTGCCTCTCAAGGACATCTTCCTAATTGGCTTCCAGGCCTCCTCCCTCACTCCTTCCTTTCCCCGCCCTCAGCAGCCTCCTAAGGGCCCCGAGAGCCTACACAGGGTGCCATGAGGGTGAGGCTCCCCCTGGACCCTTGAATGAGGAGCCTCACTCATCTGCCTGGGAAGGCTGGCCTCCCATAGCACCATGAAGAACAGGGGAGATGTCGTCAGGCACGGCCAAGTGGCTGGGCTGAACCCCGAGGGCTGCAGGGCATAGAGGCTTCTTCCTGGCTGCCCTGGGTCAGTGCCTCCTGAGCACTCACTCACACTGTCAGGGGAGGCATGAGCTGAGTCCCGGAGACGAGCAAGTGAGCAAGCGAGCCAGGGCTCCCCCTGCCCTCCCTCAGAGCACGAACTTGCTGGGAGATGGGTACCTGAGTGAGGCTCACCATCCCCCAGGGCTTCTAGAAGGAGGCCAGAACCGGATCCTCGGAGGCCTGGAGGAGGGAGCGACTCAGGAAGTCCTGCTGGAAGGCCTCCAGCCCTAGTTGCCAGAGGTCCCCTCGGGTTTGTTTGTTGACTCCCAGAATTCCCCAAAAGACCTTAGAAGTCTGAGCAAAAGGGACTGTGGCTTGTCCGAGCCCCCTTATCTTAAAAGCGAAAAGCTTGGGACCGTGGCATTGCCCAGTATGTAGCTCGGTGTCGCCGCCGGTATTTACAGAATGCTCCCCGTGGCACCGACGTCATAACCTGGGATACCCTGGGCTTCTACACAGGCTTTTTGTCTGAAACGCAGGCAGGAGACCCAGAGGGGACCCACGACAACCCAAACACAAGAACACTATTGCACGGTTATTTTACATACTGACTTTGTACATCACTGACTTTGTTACTGTGTGAGCTGTTTTCCAGAAAAAAAGGGGAGTGGTTGTCCCTTAAGATGATCGCTTCTTCTCTGGGGCCCTGGGTGACCCTTTGGTTTTTTATACAGCTTGATGTCTTGGAAGGCCACACACCAAAGTCACACAGCTGATCTGCTCGGGAGTATAGCTCACACACACACAGGCCTGGAGAGTCTGTGGGTCTGGTGCCATCTCAATGTGCATGGCCAGGATGTGGTGACAGCGCCAGCCACCACCCTCCCTGTCGTCCCTTGCAGAGGAAGTTGGTCTGTGCTGCCCACCTGCCGGAGGCTGTTCTGGCCGCTTGGCCCCATGACGCTAGGTGTGGAGCTTGAGTGATAGCAACAGAGCCTGCAGGTGCTTGACTTGTGCTTTCTTCTATTAATAATTCACTCTGAGGCTGTAGGTGGGGCCAAGGGGGTCAGATCTCCCTGCCAGCCCACTTCCCCTCTATCTTTATTCCCACTTTCGCTGGGGCCTCATCAGAGCAGCCGGAGGGAAATCTCCTCCCATTCTCCCAGCCCTGCCCTGCCCTGCCCAGGACAGCTGCAGGGCCAGGGATCCTTTGTTTGGCTGAAGTCCCAGGTGCTGATTCAGAAGGCCCCACGCCCCAAGTTCTTGGGGGCAGGAGTGGAGGATCCTTCCTGTGGGCCCTGGGCCCAGACCCCCTCCAGCCAGGTGCCCTGCAGAGACCTTCCCGGAGTCCCCCACAGCAAGGGTCTGCCTACTGCACCTCCTGGGCCCTGGCTGGAGTGACCTCATCCTTCTGTGAGGCCCAAGCCCTATATTGTGGCTCCCACCCTGTGAGGCCTGGGGTCACCAGTTGTTCTTCTCTGCCTTCCCCTTGTGACATTCCTTGGGGTCCTTTGGAAGCCTCCTCCTCCCCAGATTGCAATCTTAAAGACACAGTTTTGTCCCCTAGCAGCCCTGGCATAGAAGGTCCTCAGTGCGAGTTGGTATAAAAGACTGTAAAGGATGACAGGACACAGATGCTGGTCTGAGCTATGAGGCCTCAGTTAATGTGACTGTAAACCTCATGAGGCCAGGGGCCCTCATGACCTCTCATCTCTCCTGGCACAAAGCAGGTCTTCAATCTGATTGATGATTGATTCTGAAATTCTCTTAGCAGCTCCTCCTTAGGGGACACATGTGATCATGAAAGCATTTGGGTCACTCAGGGAATCACGTGTGGATTGTTTTGATGCTCCTGTGTCCCATCTTCTTTCTGCAGACCTTTCAGCTGGATCATCTGTCAACCTCACCGCCACCAGGTGATGGGGGATGGTATCAACTGTGGGTTGGGAGGAAGCTTCCTGGGGAGCCAGGCAAGCTGGAGTGGTCCTCATCCCTGGCATGCCCCACTCAGAGCCTGTTGCACCTTTCCCTTTAGGCTGAAAGGTGCGGTAAGTGTGGTTGTAAGTTTCCCACAGGATCTCTGTATTTGCATCTGCTACTTTCTCCTTGGAACCATAGGCTGTAGCTGACTTTATCAGTACCGATGTGAAGTTTGTTAATCCCAGGTAACTATGTTGGAGTTTGTTCCATTCTAGTCTCCCAGAGCAGTTTGTCATACAGGAAGTGCTCAGCCACATCAGTTACATCAATTTAACATCGCCTCCCCTCCCTAGCTTCTGTGTGTCATAAAAGGAGAGGTGGAGACCACATTGGTCTCTACACTGCGTGCATTTGCCCCCTAAACAGTCGTCAGATCTATGCAGTCAATACCAACTGGATCCAGAACCCTGAATTTTGTCTCTACAAGTCAGGTTAAGATGAGGCAGAGATTGTATGGATTTTATTCAGCCTCTCTCTCTAGAAAAACTTCGCTTCAATTATCTGGATGTAGAGAAAGCCATGACTGAAGTCCAGAGAGGGCAAATGACTTGCCCAGGGTCACATGGAGTCAGTAGAACCAAAGCCCAGGGCTCCTGTCTTCTATTGCAGTCTTCTTCTTCTTCTTCTTCTTCTTCTTCTTCTTCTTCTTCTTCTTCTTCTTCTTCTTCTTCTTCTTCTTCCTTCTTCCTTCTTCCTTCTTCCTTCTTCCTTCTTCTTCCTTCTTCCTTCTTTCTTCTTCTTATTTATTTATTTATTTATTTTGAGATAGGGCTAGCATGCAGTGGTATAATCACCACTCACTGCAGCCTCAACTTCCTAGGCTCAGGTGATTCTCCCATCTCAGCCTCCCAAGTAGCTGGGACTACAGGCGCACGCCACTACACCCAGCTAATTGTTTGTAGAAATGGGGTCTCACTATGTTGCCTAGAGTTATCTTAAATTCTTGGGTTCAAGTGATCTGTGGGCCTTGGCCTCCCAAAGTGCTGGGATTAGAGGCATGAGCCACCACTCTCAGCTTTTTCCAATGCTCTTCTAACTACCCCATATTCACAGAGCCAAAGCCCATGTTCCTAATCTCCCTACAATCCTAGCCATGTCAGGACTGCTGCGGGACAAACCTGTATCTTTAAGCTCACAATCTGAGGGAGGATGAGGCTTCAAAAAGACCCCAAAGAATGTCACAAGGAGAAGCAGAAAAGGGCAACTGGCAACCCCAGGCCTCACAGGGTGGGAGCCACAATATGAGACTCAAGCCACACAGGAAGGAGAGGTCATCCCAGCCAGGGCCCTGGAGGTGGAGCAGGCAGAACCCTGCTGTTGGATACTTAGGGAAGGTAGTATGAAACAAATGTGTCCAGGAATATATCAGCAAGGCCCACTCAGACCATGGCTGCCTCCTCCAGGAATTTACCCTAGACTCCTGCAGCTCCCACTTCTCTCCCCATGTCCTTAGTTTCCATACTGCTCCATGACAGCTAGGAAGAGAGAGAAGTGGCATATGGTAGTCACAGGGGGGAGACGATGTTAAAGTCCCTGGTAAAGAACTACAGCCAGCCCAGAGGAAAGATGGCAGTGACAGTGACAACCAAAAAGTGAAATCGGTCCAATCTCTATTTCCTAATGAGGAGCCACCTGCAGGAAGCAAAATCCAAACCCTCCATTTTGCAGGTTCCTGAGCTATGCGTCGGGCTTCCTACTGATCCCCAGGGCTTGGAGGGAGCAACTGATGCTACAGGGTGAGACCTGAGGGTAGAGAAATGAATGTTTCTTGCTGCCCAAAGGGAGCCTTGAAAATCCTCCCACAGCCCAGAGTCAGCAGGAAAGCCAGGGCTGTGAAGGAGTAAGAGCAAACCACTCACTGCAGGGAGGAAGATTTAGATGCTAACCACTGTCATTGGCAGCACATGTCCACAATAATCGGGTTACTGGATTATAAAATACCCACTGGAATTATTTAGAAGACTAATCAGAAAGCATTTAGAACAACAACGGTGCTAAAAAGAAGACGGCGAACTGCGGCCCACATCCTGGAGAGCCGCCCTTGGCTCCTGCCTGCTTAGGGGAGCTGGGAGTGAGCTGGACTAAGAGGAGCCCCAGGGGAGTCGAGTGAAGCTTCCTTGACAGAGCCGAGAGGAAGGCTGGACTAAAACACAAGCCAAGGCATTTGGAGAATTGTGTATACAGTCTCTAACTGACTGCCCGGGGTCAGAAAAAGGAAAATCTTTTTGGTTTTTCTTCCTCAAACAAGCAATGGTGGTCTGGCCGGAGCAGGGTGTTACCCCTTCTGAATTGTAAGCAAACAAGTCCTGCGGAGACCTCCGCCAAAGTCAACTTCCTCTCCTGGTGTATCTCTCTGTCTGTGTCTCTGGTTCAAAGGGTGGCCCTTAGGACAGATATCCTTCTTGCAGACTGCGGCCTTGTCTCCTGGTGCCCCAGGCCAGGGGGTGGGGTGTGGAGAGACTTTGATGCTCTAGAACAGGGGTCAAGCAAACCATGGGTCAGGCCAGATCCAGCCCACACCTATTCTTGTACTGCCTGTGAGTGAAGAAGGATTTTTACATTTTTAATTGGTTGAAGAAAAATCAAAAGAAGAACAGAATTTGGCATGTGAAAATTATGTAAAATTCAAGTTTCAGCGTCCATAAATAAAGTTGTATTGGAACACAGCCACGCCCATTCATTTATATATGGTCTGTGGCCGCTTTCACGCTACCGTGGCAGCGTTGTGACAGAAACCATATGTATGGGCCCCAAAGCTGAAAATATTTACTAGCTGGCCCTGTATAGAAAAAGTGTGCTGGGAGGTCTCTGTAGAGCCTTGTTATTATCTACAGCACTCCATAAATTTGGTGCTTTAGGGCACTATGCCCTCAACAGAAACTAGTAAATTCTGTCCCTTAGTCCATGTCAGAGGCATGGGACCTGCAGAGGGGAACAAGCCACTCTAGGTCTCCTTTGCCTAGCGCAGTGTTGCAGTTCAGTGAGCGTTTGTTGAGCATCTGCTATGTCCCAGTCCCTGAGGACACCACATGGGCAGGCTGCTGTCCCTACATCACAGTGACTGGGCAGCCAGTGTGCAGACAGGCACGGAAGTGGGTCGCCTGACTGTGACATGGTCAGTGCAGAGGAAAAGCGGTCACAGGCTCTGTGGGAGCGTGGAGTGGCACCTTAGGTTCTGAGTGGGCATTTATTTGTTGAGCCCACCCTGGAATCCTGGAGTCCTGCTCTAAGGAAGAAATTGACCGAAGAAATGGGAAGGTAGCAGTTCTGTTAATTAGTTCATGAATGAAAAAGCTCCTGGTACAAATTACCCAGTAGAAATTGTTACACATAATGAGCAAAACAGTTACCTTGTTAGAAAAATAATAAAGACTTGAATCCTGAGTTGGTATTATAAGAATTCTGTGAGATTGACTAATCCACTAAGAAGAACAGTTTTCAGGTTTTAAATGATATGTTTAAAATAGCCTTTTGGCAAGATGCTAAACCACGGCGTAGCACGCTACCATCTGTATAAGACGGGCTGTGCATTAGTGTTCTTGTATGAGCATAAAGTGTCTCTAGGAGGATATATAAGAACCTGATTGACTGTCCCAGAAGGGGTACTGGGTGGCTGGGGATGGGGGTGGAAGGTGGAGGGAGACTTTTCACGCCCGTATTTTTACAATTTGCATGCTTTTCACTTTATTTACAGGCATTTATTTAGGATAATTTTTGCTGTTTTGCATGTCCATTTTAACCTTTTGAATTTTGAACCATGTGAATATAGTACCTATTCAAAAAATATTACATTTAATGTAAAATAAATAGCACATGTTTTGCCATTATCTCCCTATGGTGTTTTAGGAAAAATCATTTTCTCTTTCTCTCTCTCTTTTTTTAAAATTTATTTTTATTTTTATTTTTTGAGACAGGGTCTCACTCTCTTGCCCAGGCTGGAGTGAAATGGCTTGATCTCGGCTCACTGCAACCTTGACCTCCCAAGTTCAAGGGATTCTTGTGCCTTAGCCTCCCAAGTAGCTGGGACTACAGGGGTGCACCACCACGCCTGGCTAATTTTTGTATTTTTTTTTAGTAGAGACAGGGTTTTGCCATGTTGGCCAGACTGGTCTTGAACTCCTGGCCTCAAGTAATCCCCCTGCCTTGGCCTCCCAAAGTGCTAGGATTACAGGCTTGAGCCATTTTCCTCTTCTTTCATTGAACAAATGAGGCTTGATTTTCTACCATTAGCGAGGCACTGTTCTAGGCCCAGAAATTACCTCTCTGGGCCTCTGTTTCTCTGTTTCCTCATCTGTAATGTGGAGAGACTGGATCATCTCTGGGGCAGAGATCTTCAACTTAAGCGTGCATCGGACTCACCAAGAGGGCTCATTAAAACACAGACTGCTGAGCCACAGCCTGAGTTTCTGATTTAGTGGGTCTGGATGGGGCCTAAGAATTAGTATTTGTTATTTCCCAGGTGATCCTGGGGCTGCTAGCCCAAGAACCACACTTTGGGAACCCACCTAGGGTTCCATCTAGGGTTCTGTGCTTGTAAATAAACTATATTCCAGTTCTGGAAATGTCAACAAATAAAGAATAGCCTCCTGCAACTCAGAATGCAAAGTAATCCCTTTCCCTAGCAGTTTGGGAAGACTTAACAAAGCAAACATGTCAACAGAAGTTCAATTATCTAGCTTCCATTCTACCCACAGGGCCATAGGAGAGAGACATGAAATCAATAGTGCTCAAAGTCGGGTGAGTTTCAACAAGTAATTCTTCCTGAGTGTGGTGACTTTGTATAAGCCTTTTAAGGAAGGCTAAGTGAAGAGGTTTAAGCCTGGTAGAGCATTCTGAAATAGCCAGGCCTAATGCCCAAAGGATAATACTGTTGGATGTCACTTTAAGGCCCACTACAACTTATCCTTTTCTTACAAATGTAGCCTGATCATTGGTGAGTTCTGGACAAGGACATGATGTCCCAGCATGAACTCCTGCACCTGACTTTATGCCTTTGTTTATGCTGTTCCCTGTCTGGAATACCCTTCCTGGTCCTCTCCACCTCTGTAAGCCCTATTTGTCTATCAGGACCGAGGTGCAATCTGACTATGCTTCATGAGAACGTAAGAACTTCTTGATCTATACTGAGTGTCTTTTTCTGCCTGTCTAAACTCACTGGGATATTTGATCATTGTTTTCTAATTTTTTCTCATTTGTTGATTTATTCATTCAATAAATACTGCCCTTCCTTCAACAAATCCTTATTGGAGTCCTACAGTGTGCTGGGCATTATGGTTGGTTTGAGGAAGAGACTCCTAGGTAAAAATAGACCTGATTCCTGCTCTAATAGAGAAAGATCCATTAATCAAATAATTGCACTGGTGGAAGTGCAATTACAAGCGGAAGAGAGTAGTCTAAAGGAAAGGAATATGGTTTTATGAGAACATATAAGAAAGGAATCTGATGTAGACTTGGGGATTGGGGTCAGAGTGAACTTTCTGAGAATGTGTAGTTTGAGCTGAGATCTGAAGGATACCCAGTGGCGGGGAGGAGGGGAAGAGCTCTCCAAATGGTGAGGGGGCATCATGTACAAAGGCCCTGCAGTGGAAGGGAGCATGGCAGGTTCAAGGAAAGAGCTCTCTGAAAACAGCATCCAGTTTGGGAGAGATGATGTTGAATTGCCTTTGAATATGGACGTGGTGACGTAGAGTAGGCAGCTGATCAGGATCTCAGACCATCTGAGCTGGGGGCAATCTTTGGGGGTCAGAAAGGATGGGTGGTGGATGAGGCTATCAAAGGAGAGAATATGTGTGAGGAAAGGAGTGGGTGTCTGAGACTGGGTCATAAGCCCCAGTGGGCCAGAGCATTTCAAGGAAGGAGAGTTGCTTCCCACTGGCAAGACAGGGAATGTTTCTCTTATTTCTCCCTCTCTCCCTGCTCACTGTCTTCTGAGTTCTGGTCTTAATTATGCCTCACCTGGATGCAGCAAGAGTCTGCTAATTCAGTGCTTCTCAAATTTTCATCTGGACATGACTCACTTGGGGGTGGGCATCATCTCAATAAAATACAGATTCTGATTCAATAGATCTCAACTGGAGCCTGAGATTCTGCATTTCTAACCAGCTCCCAGGGGACCTGGACCACCCTTTGAGCAGCGAGGTTCATTAGTCTCCTTGCTTCTGAAGCTCAGCACTCTCACGCCCAGCATCCTTTCACTGCTGCAGCCATCCTTGGCCACCCTCCCCTTCCACCCACGGCTCGCCTTCCTCCACCCTTCACTCCACCAAATGCAACCCCTCATCTGAAGTTTTCCATCTCTTTCTCTCATAGTTCAGAAAGGGACAGACCAACTCAGCTCACTCCCAGGTAGAAGGGTACGACTGCAGTGGTCTTCAAACTTTTCTGTTTAAAATCCTCCCTAAAAGAATCTTTTAAAACTCTTTGCCCCTTCATACAGTTTTAAGTTTACACACACATTTTTTTATGATACATTTGCTGAAGATACCATTTCCAGTAGGTTGTAAACATTGATATTTTTAAGCAAAACTATTACATCACTGTTTTAAATTTATCCAGTGGAATCTAAACACCATAGCAATTTAATACCTCCCGTCATCCATTTTAAAAACGCATGAACACCCTCTTTAATAGTCAGTGTTCCTTTTTCTTCTGGAAATTGTATTTTCATTTCACTTGCCCTATGGAATTTTATCCTAATGTGATATGTGTAATATATTTTTATGCTTGGAACTTTTTCACTTGTTTCCCTACCATATTTTTCTGTAACAATTTTATATAAAGTTGAAACTTTTTTAATTTCCTAAAATCAAAAGATCTAAGTATTAAAATGTTCTTCTGGTTTGAGTTATCACAATTATTAATAGTACACAGTTGATCAAAACATTTAATGTATTACTAATTTGGATAAATTATAAACATAAATAGTTAAATTATATTGAAAATGCATCTCTAAATGAAATGGTGGTACTGGGTAACTTTTTTTGGGGGGGGTGACTTTTTAAAATAAACTTTTTTTAATTGACATACGACATATACACCTTTATGTATATGACCAGGTCATAGTGCATAGCTTGAATTACAGCAGAGTGAGAATGACCATGCAGTTACCATCCAGGTCTAGAAATAAAATATTGTTGGTGCTGAGCTATATTTTCAATTTCATTATCCATGGAAGAATATTATTTATTACTAGCATGAGACAAGGATCAGCATTTATTGTGTTTCCATTTTTCGTTCTCCCTGGTGTAGTACATGAGAAGTTTGCCCTTCTTTTCGTAAAGGAGGGTGATTAGGAAAGAGAAGTCCTAAAAGGACAGCTTGCACCTCTGCCATCCATGAGTTCTAGAAAGAATTTCAAGTTGAGGATGTAGAAATTGAACCTCTTTTTTTTTTTTTTTTTTTAGATGGAGTTTTGCTCTTGTCACAGAGCCTGGAGTGCAGTGGCACAATCTCGGCTCACTGCAACCTCTGCCTCCCGGGTTCAAGTGAATCTCCTGCCTCAGCCTCCCAAGTAGCTGGGATTACAAGCGCCTGCCACCACGCCCAGCTAATTTTTGTATTTTTGATAGAGACAGGCGGATCATGAGGTCAGGAGATCGAGACCATCCTGGCTAACACGGTGAAACCCTGTCTCTACTAAAAATACAAAATTTGGGCTTGGCGGCGGGCACCTGTAGTCCCAGCTACTCAGGAGGCTGAGGTAGGAGAATCGCTTGAACCTAGGAGGTGGAGGTTGCAGTGAGCCAAGATCGCATCATTGCTCTCCAGCCTGGGCAACAGAGCGAGACTCCATCTCAAAAAAAAAAAAAAAAAAAAAAGAGATGAGGTCTTGCTGTGTTGCCCAGGCTAGTCTTGAACTCCTTAGCTCAAGTAATCCTCGCCTCAGTCTCCTGATAGGTGGGGGTACAGGTGCGTGCCATCACACCCTGCTTCTCTTATTTTTACCTTTTGATTACATGCATCGTTTTCCCCTTTGTAATTATTTATGCGACTCATCACCTTTTCTAACTACATGCTTGAGAGCAGGCCTATGTCTTAGTCATTTCTCCGCATTGTGCCTTACAGTTAATAGGTGTCTAATAAATATGTGTTGAACAGATAAATTGATTAATGCATATCTTAAACTTCTTTATATTTCCCACAGGTCCTAGAATAGTGTTGGGCTTTCAATAGCAGGGTCTCAGAAGAATGGATGAATTAATCAATGAACAAAACAATGAATTAACAAATCAATGAACTACTGAGCCATTGAACAATGGCTTGAAAGTAAGAGAGTTTGCATCTCATGTGAGAGTTAAGATCTGCAGACTCAGTGAAAAGGGTGTGGAGTGCATGACACTGGCTATTTCTAATCGAGTCTCCTGTTTCATATATATATATACACACACACAGAGAGAGAGAGAGGTGCGGTTTTATGCTGTCACCTAGGCTGCAGTGCAGTGGTGCAGTCATAACTCAGTGCAGCCTTAAACTTCTGGTCCCAAGTGATCCTCCTTCCTCAGCCTCCTGAGCAGCTGGGACTACAGGCGCATGCCACCACACCCAGCTAATTTAAAAACATTTTTGAGACGGGATCTCCCTATGTTGCCCAGGCTGGTCTCAAATGAACTTCATGTCTCAGCCTCCCAGGTAGCTGGGATTATATGTTTATTTTTATCACTGGTCATGGTGGATATCAATTGCTCATCACAAAACATCCAAATAAATCCTTTCCTGTCTTTTGCATCTTGCCTTGCAGGTGTGAGCGACGTCTCCTCACCACAGTGCTGTGTGGTCTATACCTCAGCCAGGGAGAGGATGTGAAACCCCCCGCCCTGCACATGAGTGGTACAGGCCAACAGGAACACCTGGCTCCAGCCACGTTCACAGACATGTCAGCCGTGGAGTAGTGCTGACACTTTTCTCTCAGCTTCTCAGGGTTTCAGTCCTTTTGGGTTTGTTTTATTTACCTTTTTTATGGTTTTGTGGCTGGACGTTCACAACCAAGGCAGACAGCATGGGTGACCAGCAACTGTACAAGACCAACCATGTGGCCCATGGTAGTGAGAACCTTTTCTACCAACAGCCACCACTTGGCGTCCACAGCGGGCTGAACCACAACTATGGGAATGCAGTTACAGGGGGCGGAATGGATGCCCCTCAGGCCTCGCCAATCTCCCCCCACTTCCCTCAAGATACACGGGATGGTCTGGGCTTGCCTGTTGGCTCCAAAAACCTTGGCCAAATGGATACCTCGAGGCAGGGAGGGTGGGGAAGTCATGCAGGGCCTGGAAACCATGTCCAGCTACGTGGAAACCTGGCCAACTCAAACATGATGTGGGGGGCACCAGCCCAGGCTGAGCCCACTGATGGCTACCAATACACCTACTCCCAGGCCAGCGAGATCCGGACCCAGAAGCTTACCAGCGGTGTCTTACACAAGCTGGACTCTTTCACCCAGGTGTTTGCCAACCAAAACCTGCGAATTCAGGTCAACAATATGGCCCAGGTGCTGCACACTCAGTCAGCAGTGATGGATGGAGCCCCTGACAGTGCTCTCCGCCAGCTGCTGTCTCAGAAGCCCATGGAGCCCCCAGCACCGGCTATCCCTTCCCGCTACCAGCAGGTGCCCCAGCAGCCTCACCCTGGTTTCACTGGTGGGCTGTCCAAACCAGCTCTTCAGGTCGGGCAGCACCCTACCCAAGGGCACCTGTATTATGACTACCAGCAGCCTCTGGCTCAGGTGCCAGTGCAGGGAGGACAGCCACTGCAGGCCCCACAGATGCTGTCACAGCACATGCAACAGATGCAGCAGCACCAGTATTACCCACCGCAGCAACAGCAGCAAGCCGGGCAACAGCGTATCTCCATGCAAGAAATACAGACGCAGCCGCAACAAATTCGCCCATCACAGCCACAGCCGCCGCCACAGCAGCAGCAGCCGCAGCAGCTACAGCTGCAGCAGCGGCAGGGTTCAATGCAGATACCTCAGTATTATCAGCCCCAACCCATGATGCAGCACTTGCAAGAGCAGCAGCAGCAACAGATGCACCTGCAGCCTCCTTCTTATCACAGGGACCCTCACCAGTATACCCCAGAGCAGGCACACACTGTCCAGCTGATTCCCCTGGGCTCCATGTCCCAGTACTACTACCAGGAGCCCCAGCAGCCCTACAGCCACCCCCTCTACCAGCAGAGCCACCTGTCCCAGCACCAGCAGCGTGAGGACAGTCAGCTGAAGACCTACTCTAGTGACAGACAGGCCCAGGCCATGCTGAGCTCCCATGGGGACCTGGGGCCTCCTGACACAGGAATGGGAGACCCAGCGAGCTCAGATCTGACCCGGGTCAGCAGCACCCTCCCCCATCGCCCCCTCCTATCCCCCAGTGGGATCCACCTCAACAACATGGGGCCTCAGCATCAGCAGCTGTCTCCCAGTGCCATGTGGCCCCAGGTATTCTCCCATTGGAAGTTTCTCTCAATACCCAGTGTGCTACAGGGTCAGGGCTGAGTCTGCAGTGCTCAATCCTCTCTCCAAGCCCCCTCAACCCTTTTGTTCTTTACTAATTCCACAAACATTAACCTACATGTGTCACGCACTGTCTGTGCCAAGCACTTGGAATACAAAATCAATCTCTATTAAGTCCTTTGGCCATGGAGCTTATAATCTACTAAGGAGATGGCCAGAGTACCACATCATGCCCTAAATGATTCACGTAATGGTCAAGACCTTGAGTCACATGCCAGGGGACCACACAGTGTTGGTGTCTCAGTTCCCTTGGATCTGTGTGCTCTGGATATGCTCTGTGACATTGGTCCCCCTTTGGGAGGGAGACCACGTTATGACAGCATTTCTCAAAGTATATTGCTCAGAACAGCCATTCCACAGTGTTTAATGGATATTGCTGGGGAAACAGTGGGTTCTCAGGATAAATACACCAGGGTTTTTGTTTTTATTTTTGTTTTTGTTTTTTTTGAGATGGAGTCTCACCCTGTAGCCCAGGCTGGAGTGCAATGGCGCCATCTCGGCTCACTGCAACCTCCCCCACCTCCTGGGTTCAAGTGATTCTCCTGCCTCAGCCTCCTAAGTAGCTGGAATTACAGGCACACACCACCACACCCAGCTAAGTTTTTGTATTTTTAGTAGAGACAAGGTTTCACCATGTTGGTCAGGCTGGTCTCAAACTCCGACCTCATGATGCGCCTGCCTTACCTTCCCAAAGTGCTGGGATTACAGGTGTGAGCCACTGTGCCTGGCCCCTTTTTTCTTTTTTTAGACAGGGTCTTGCTCTGTCACCCAGGCTGGAATGCAGTGATGCAGTCATAGCTCACTGCATCCTTGAACTCCTGGGCTCAAACGATCCTCCCACTTCACCCTCCCACATAGCTAGAACTACAGGTGCATGCCACCTGGGCCTGAGCACTTTCTTTGGTTTGGTTTTGTTTTGTAGAGACAGGTCTCCCTATGTTGCCCAGGCTGCTCTTGAACTCCTGGCCTCAGGCGATCCTCCTGCTTTAGCCTCCCAAAGTGAAACAGGGTGCTGTACTGCAGGACTTTTTGTGACCTTTAATATGGTAGTATGCATTGTGAGTCTCGCAGATACCATGTGTGATTGTGGAGATGAAAACCTTAGCTGCCCACATGATCCAGGCTGGGAAAGTAAATAAGCAAAACTGTCTGGTATGAGACATTAGGCAGTGGTGGTGACTGTGAACTAGAGAGCAGATGCCCCATCCCATAGCATTCTCATTAAGGGTTTTTAAAAAACAGTCTAGCCAAACAAACATGTCTGCAGGCCGGTTCATCTTGTGCACCATGATTAACCCTTGATTTGTTCCCAAAAATATTTGACCAGAAAACAGCCTACTATGTGCTGGGCACTTTTCATGCCTTGGCTTATTCCAAGGCATACAGTCACATGACAGCAGTGTCTGAGGAGGAGGTGACCCCAAATGGGAACTGGTTGGATAGAAAGAAAGTTCTGATGGAGGTTGAAGGCCAGAGATGAACTTCCCCTTGAGTTTGTTTTGTCTGGGGTTCAGAACCAGTGGTAACTGAGAGCCTTTGTAAATATAAGAATGAGATGATTTGGCTAAGGCTTTTTAAGAAGAATTCCAGGGCCAGATATGGTGGTTCACACCTATAATCCAAGCACTTTGGAAGGCCAAGACAGGAGGATCACTTGAGCCCAGGAGTTCGAGACCAGCCTAAGCAACATAGCGAGACCTTGCCTCTACAAAAAATCAAAAATTTAGCTGGGTGTTGTGGCGCACACCTGTAGTCCCAGCTACTTGGGAGGCTGAGGCAGGAGGATTGCTTAAGTCCAGGTGGTGGAGGCTGCAGTGAGCCATGATCATGCTACTGCACTACAGCCTGGGTGACAGAGCAAGACCCTGTCTCAAAAAAAAAAAAAAAAAAGAATTCCATCAGGGGGTCTCCTGGCATAATGCTGCGTCTCCCACCTCTTTCTTCTGTGTCCCTTATGGGAATGGAGTCTGTCTGTGCACAGAGTGGGTGCCCTGGGAGAACAGGAAAAAACACGGTGGGGGAGTTGCATCCTGGTGGGCTTGTTGTGGCTGGCAGCAGCTCCAGGAGTGGGGCGGTGGTCCCAAGTCAAGGAGCAATTCAGGGACAGAAGTCAATTGCAGAAGAGTGAGGGAGTGAGTGGACATGAATGGGGTCAGCACGAAGCAGACAGCAGAAAGAGTCCTGGAAGAGTACCTGGTGTTCCCACTGCTCGAGGACTTCTCCCTTCAGAACACGTTTTTTTCTCTTCTTTTTTTCGGTGTCCTGTTTGGCTCAAAATTAGATGCACCTACCTGATGGGAGAGCCCAGCCAGGGTCCCCTGAGTCAAGGTAGGATGAGTGGAACCTTGTTGGTATTTTGGGAGACGGGGAGGATTTTCTGGGGTGTCTCTCATGATTCATTTTTAAATTCCAAGTCATTCCTCAAAGAAGTGTGTAGAAATAATAATAGCAGCTGTTGTGTTTGAGTGCATACTATGGGCTAAGCACTAGGCATTATGTATAGTAAAGTAACCTATGAGGGTGGGTGTGATTACGATGTGCCTATACTCAGTAAGCACTCAATAATTGTTAGCTATTATGATTGTTACTTTACAGATGAGAAAACTGAGGCTCAAAGAGCTTAAGGTTACATATCAAGTAACAATGCTGGGATTGACTGCAAAGCCCATGTTCTGTCCACTGTGCATTCATTCAGTATTTATTGAGTGCCTACTGTGTGCCAAGCATAGAGCTAGGTTTTGAGAATGCAGCAGTGAACAGTACAGACTTGCTTCCTCATCCCATGGGCATGGTCAATAAAGATTTAGCCAAACCTGATAAACTGCTGAAGCGTGCAGTACGGCGGCTGCCCCAGGAACTTGCACAAATGTCTCTAAGTGGGGAGGCTTTTGGAGGAGCTGGGCTCAGGCTGACCCTGGAAGGGTAATAAGCTATCGTTCCCAAGTCAAAATCCATTGCCTGAAGCCTTGGTATGAAGAAGGACATTTTGTTCAATTCTTGCATGACTTTGAGAAGGCCTTTTCCCACTCTGGAGCCTCAGTTTTTCATCTATAAATTGAACTTTGTTCTCTAAAGGGCACTGGGGTGATACAAGTGGTGCCATGGACAATGGGATCATTGGATGAATGAAATGGGTTTGTGGTGGGTATGAGGTCTTGTGGCAAGTCACTGTTTCCCCTTCCTCAACGTATGTGTCCTCTCCATTTGACTCTTCCCTTGAGCAGTGGCCAACCCAAAGGAGCGTTTGGGGAGCAGTTTGATGCCAAGAACAAGCTGACATGCTCCATCTGCCTGAAGGAGTTCAAGAACCTGCCTGCCCTGAATGGCCACATGCGGTCCCACGGGGGAATGAGGGCCTCCCCCAACCTCAAACAGGTTAGCAGGAGCCAGTTCCCGGTCCTTTCTAGGTCGTGTGCTGCTTGCTTTGCTTTGCTGCCGTCAGACAGAGAGTGATGTGAGCCCCATGCGGGACCTGGCGAGGCACAGTCCTCCCTTGACAGGAATGCTTAGGCTTTGGCGCTGGGAGCCAGCCAGGTCAAGCAGCCCCACTTCCCCAGCTTTATGATGAGCAAGGGTCAAAATCAGAGGCGCTAGAAAGCCTTTTAGGGCATCCCAGCTTCTCTCTCTGCCTCCTGGAGAAGACAGCAAAGGAAAACATGTAAATGCAATATTATTTTTAAACTTCTGCTGCTTGACACACCCAAGACCAGGCCCACTGGGGCCTTCCAGATTAGTGGTCAATTGCCAGAGAAAGCTAATATAATCATCAGGCTCTCAGCCAGAATTTTCTATTTACTGATGCAGTGGTGTTCAGCTCAACATCCAAAGATCCTTAAATACCCTCTGGATTATCCAGGTAGGATATCCAGATAGTAAACTATCCACAAATTTTAGAGTTAGATTAAAATCAAAAAATTTTCTCAGAATTATTTTAATATTGTTACTCTTAATTTAAATCTATGGGATTAAATCTCTGTTGAACAGAATTTTTGATTACCCAGATCACTCCATCTCCTGGCCATGCCAGATTATGTTTTTTAAAAAAGCTTTTGTCTTTACTTGTTAAAAGTACATGTTTTGTATCTCCAGTGTGGTTTCCTGACCTGAATAAAATTTAGGATGGAATGCCTATTTCCATTTGACAAATGAGTGAACTAAGGCCCATAGAATTAAAAACTCCTACACAAGATCGTACCTTCTTTTGGACTGATTACAAGTCCGTGTCCCTTTCTTTAAAAGCATGACAACCACACAATTTTTTTAAAATAGTTTAATACACAAGTAATGCATGGTCAAGAATTTTTAACTGTAAAAAATGGAGTCCAGCCTCTTCCACCATCAGCTGGCATCACTCCAGCCAAGGGACTCAGGATTGCAGGAAGGAAATCGCCCTGCAGCGGTTCTCTATCACCCATACCTGATGTCCTGGAACCTTTCGGGAAAAGCAAAGTGCATCCCCCTTGTGAGAGCTGCTCTCAGCCCAGGATCAAAGCCTTTATTGTCTGTGTAGGAGGAAGGAGAGAAGGTCCTGCCGCCTCAGCCCCAGCCACCACTGCCGCCTCCGCCTCCGCCTCCGCCGCCACCACAGCTCCCTCCCGAGGCAGAAAGCCTCACGCCTATGGTCATGCCCGTGTCTGTCCCTGTCAAGCTTCTCCCGCCCAAGCCCAGCTCTCAGGGGTTCACCAACAGCACCGTTGCCGCCCCCTCCGCCAGAGACAAGCCAGCCAGCTCGATGTCGGACGACGAGATGCCTGTGCTCGTGAGGATGACCCTCTCTCCCCCACACTCACCCCAAGGGGCTGCCCCCCGCACGCCTGCTGTGAGTTGCTGCTCTGCCCCACCTGCCTGGGTGGGGACATCCCTTTGCTTTCTTGGAGATGGGGCGGCCCTTCCAGAGTCACTGACCTGAGCTTGGATACGGCTTGGTCTCTCAGGGCTGAACCCGTGGCCACATTGGGAACCCTACCCTTGTTCACACTGCCTGCTCCCCATTAAATGCCAAACTAATGGCCTAGGTTAGATTCTGAGAGACCCGAAAGTGTTCCCAGGTTTAAACAGAGACGATCATTCAGCTGGGAGTCACTGAGACAATCATAGCCATTATTGAAATATGGAAGTCCTGTATCCCAGAAAGTAAGCAGCTGTTGCCCCAGGCCCTGGCCCCTTCCCCAGGATCTCCAGACCTCCCAAATCCACAACCAAAGAGGTAACCACTGGCGCAGCAGGCTTCCAGGCAATAGCCCTGGCATCCATTCTGACAAGCAGCCTTACCAGTTGCTTAATATTTTTGTCTGCTTAAATACCCTGGAGAACCTAATTCGTTAAAGTTCCCAAAGTAGTTCCACTGAGAGCCACCCACCCCTAATCTCAGGAAAGCAAAGAGATTTGTTTTTCTCACTCACTGTTCTCCTTTCTCCAATTTTAAGTGCTTCACTCAAACAGCTTAATTTGCCTCTGGGAAGGGTTTCCGTCTGTCTGTCTCTCTCTCTCTCTCTCTCTCTCTCTCTCTCTCTCTCTCTCTCTCTCTCTCTCTCTCTCTCTCTCTCTCTCTCTCTCTCTCTCTCTCTCTCTCTCTCTCTCTCTCTCTCTCTCTCTCTCTCTCTCTCTCTCTCCTCTCTCTCTCTCTCTCTCTCTCTCTCTCTCTGCCCCTAGGGAATTTGTGACCTGTGTGGTTGGCAATATCAAACCTACCCCCTCCCCACAAAGTGGCATGTTGGGTCATATTTGTCCTTAGGAATAGGTAGCTGCTGGGAATCCAGGAGGCATAAGGGTAGGCTGGGCCAGGGTAGAGGGAGAGAAGATAATGAATACAACTAGAAAAGTACAGAAAAAAACCTTTATGGTGTAATATCAAGTCCTCAAAAGAAGAGAAACTGATGGAGAACTGGGGGGAAGATTCTCATAAGCCGTCAGGACTTGGGGGTCAGCAACAGGCAGAGAGATGAAATGACACATCCAAGCTCCCTCTTTGCCCAGGGAAGTTCGTGCTTTGGCAGGAGAAACAGTGTTTCCTTGGGGAAATAGTTCCCTTGGGGAACTCTCAATTAAGAGTTCATAGTCACATGGGGGTCAGAGTCCCAGGCACACCCCCCCCACCCCTTCAAGATGGTAAGAGAAAGACAGGGGCAGACAAGAAATTGATGCTTTAAGTGTGACTGGATGAGAATACACCTGGGTAGCCAAAGTCATTATGGACTGGGGAGGGGCAAGGGAGTTTGCTCAGGAGATCACCATTAGAGTTCTGAGCAGGATTTTGAAGGAAGGGATGAACTTGGCTTAATGGAAGGGTGAGAGAGACCTCGTTGGTGGGGGCGGTAGGCTGAAGTGGAAGCATGTAGGTGGGACTGAATACATGGGAACAAGGCCCTGGCACTTAATGTAAAGAAATTAAAACATCCAGGAAGGAGCCCCGAGTGCCCATCTCAGTTTGGCTCCTAGCCAGCTGGGATGAAGACAGCTGAGACCTGCCCCCCACTCACAGCCTCAGTTTCCTCCCCTGACCTTGATAGGGTTGGACTCATCAGTGGTTCTCATCCTTCTCTGTGGGCAGCTTTTTAAAGTTTTCAGTGCTTGGCCTCACCCCCAAAGTGTCCAAATAGCTTGGTGGGGTGGAACACTGTAAGTGTTTCCTCTCAAGTGACAACCATATATGACATCCTGGGTGGCTTCTCTTGCCCAGTGGCTCAGAGCCTTGCCTGGAGGATCGGAAAATCCAGGTTTAGAGCTGGAGTAACAGGACAAGAAGCTGGAGGAGAGGGAGCCCAAAAGGGACCTCTGGCCCTGTGATCAGAGGTCTGGATTGCAGTGCTGCGTTGAGATCATATAAGGTCTGCATGTTCTTGGATGATCTTATCTGTTACCCGGGAACAGAGTGTATCTTCAGGGCTGCTCCCCTTGGGGGGGGCACAGGCCTCCTTCCCCCATTCTCCTCAGCCCCTCTCTCGCCTCAGCCTCAGGCGCTGAGGAGCCCTCTGGTGGAGAAAAGAGGCGGTTGAGCGCGCTGGCCTAAGGAGGGTCCCCTGGGGGTGAGGCGCGGGGATAGGGGAGGGGTGGGGGCGGGGGTAGTTAGGAACCTCACTCTGGAGCCGGGAGCCTGGGACCCTCTGCCCCCTCCTCCTTTCCCCACTCTCTGCCTCCCTAGACTCCTCTCCTAGAGGCCAGGATGGCACCATGGAAGGCAGAGAAGCTGAGGGAGAAACAGAAGGGGGCAGAGCCTGAAGCTCTGGAGGGAGAGGAGCCCAGAGCAGAGGAGCCCATGGGGCAGGTCACATGGCCTGGAGGCAGATGGTCACATGACCGTAGCCAGCCCTTCCCATCACCCCCTGCTGCTTCCTACCCAGGCGCCACCCTGGGCTCAGGAGTCTCCAGGACCTGCAGCTGTGACTGGCCCCTGGCCTGCAGGGCCTGAGAGGGCACCCCAGACTGCCCAGAACCTTCCCTCAGGTATCCCCGTGGCCCCTCCCAACCACACTGCCTCTGCAGCCACACCCAGCTCTCGACTTTTCTGGGCTGATGCTACCACACAACCCGAGTCTGTTTCTGTTTGGCTTTGGCATGCCCTGCTCATCTGTTTACGTGCCTATGTTTACTTATTAGTATATATGTATCCATGTGGCAGATCCTCCTTCCAGACTATGCTTGGTTCCGCTGCCATTAAAATAAACTAACTCTCCTGACAGGAAGCCAACCTCAGAGAAGAGTTTGCTACAAATAAGCTACGAGTTCTGGGAGCAATAGTGAGGGGTGGTGACGGGGGAGGTTAACCAGATCCGTTTTTAGGTGAGCACATGGAAGGGCCCTTAGAGGTCATCGAAGGCTCTCCCCCCCTGCTGAAAGTGACCCAGGAGAGCCCGGTGTGGGTCGCTGGCCTTAGGAACCTTGGCTAGGCTTGAACCCCCACTTCCTGCCTCACAGGTCTCGGTCCCAGCTTCCCTGAAGAGATTATTCTGTCCCCTTCTCAGAACATGTGGTATCTGTTCCTGATGTCCGTCCCTGGGGAGCAATGGGGGAATTAAAGAGCCCACTCAGCTGGATTCCACTCAAACAGATGGGAATGTAGTGATAAGCAATAAAGAATTTGAATTTATTACTTCTTGCCCACCCACTATTCCTACCACCCCCAGCTCTTTCAGAAATTAGGGATTTCTTCCAAAACCTTAGTTTTCTCCCTAGTCTAGCAACCAGAACTCGCTTTGCCTAAAATGGATGTGGTCAGAATGTGGGGGCGTTGGGGGTGGGGGGGTCAAGCAGAAGGGCTCTCTGCTTAGACAGTAGAAGGCCCCCTTCCCTGAACCTGTGGAAATGGCCTGCGGGGGAAGCTGAAGTATTCGAATCAGATCGTTGTTCCGGTTTTAGGAAATCCCCAGGAAGCATCAGCCGAGTGTGCCCAAAGCCGAGGAGCCCCTCAAGACCGTGCAGGAGAAGAAAAAGTTCCGGCACCGGCCGGAACCTCTCTTCATCCCGCCGCCGCCCTCCTACAACCCGAACCCCGCTGCCTCCTACTCGGGCGCCACCCTGTACCAGAGCCAGCTGCGCTCCCCGCGCGTCCTCGGGGACCACCTGCTCCTGGACCCCACCCACGAGCTGCCCCCTTACACGCCCCCACCCATGCTGAGCCCGGTGCGCCAGGGCTCGGGGCTCTTCAGCAATGTCCTCATCTCCGGCCACGGCCCTGGCGCCCACCCGCAGCTGCCCCTGACGCCCCTGACGCCCACACCACGGGTGCTGCTGTGTCGCTCCAGTGAGTCACCCCTTTAGCGTCCTCCTGGGCTCTGGGTGCTGGGTAAAGTCCTGGGACATCTCGTTTTCTTTAGCTTTCTCATTTATCCCACAGACTTTTGCGGAGTATTGGCTGTATGTAGCACGCGCTGCTGGGTGTTAAGAAAGACTTGGAATACATAGCCCTTATCCTCAAGGGAATCGCAGTCTAATTGGGAGACAGATGCATAAAGTGATCACTACAGTCTCTGGGATAAGGAAACAGTTGAAATGTTCACCCACTTTTTAAGGCTGCCAGCAATGATCGTGCAAGAGAGAAAAAATGAGACCGGGCGCGGTGGCTCACACCTGTAATCCCAGCGTTTTCGGAGGTCGAGGCGGGTGGATCACTTGAGGCCGGGAGTTGGACACCAGCCTGGCCAACATGGTGAAACCCCGTCTCTACTAAAAATACAAAAATTAGCCGGGCATGGTGGCACGCACCTGTAATCCCAGCTACTTGGGAAGCTGAGGCAGGAGAATCGCTTAAACCTGGGAGGCAGAGGTTGCAGTGAGCCAAGATCATGCCACTGCACTCTAGCCTGGGGGATGAGAGTGAAACTCCGTCTCAAAAAAAAAAATAACGGGATGTGGTAGCAGGCACCTGTAGTTCCAGCTACTCAGGAGACTGAGGCAGGAGAATCTCTTGAACCCGGGAAGCGGAGGCTGCAGTGAGCCGACATCGCGCCACAGCACTCCCGCCTGGGCGAAGGAGCGAGACTCCGTCTCAAAAAAAAGAAAATGTACTCAGTAGATGTACAAATAAGATTAGGTATTACATGCAAGATCAAGCCTTGACATTTTAGCATGCTTTATAAAAATCAAGCATAGAGAGGCTAGGATCTCTTTCTGGAGCAAGAATAATTGCATAGAAATCATACCGCTTAGCAGACCATTGTGGGACAGCTGGCTTCTCCTCACCCTGTGTGAGAAATGGGTAACCCTAAGTTATTTTGCACCATACTCCACCCAGCTCCCTGGAAACTGTCAAGGATAACTCTGGCAGGAGCTGGGTAGGAGAGAAGCTCTATTATGGCTGGTTAGGTAACTGCTCATTTGCTTTAGTCTTTTTCAACATTCCTTCCCTGTTGACTAGTGACCTCTGATTTTTGTGTTTTAGACAGCATCGATGGCAGCAACGTGACGGTCACCCCAGGGCCTGGAGAGCAGACTGTAGATGTTGAACCGTAAGGAAAAGTCAATTACTCTTTAGAACAGAAGCCTCAGCTTCTTGAGAAGTATAGTTAATACTTTTGTAGTCAGAGGATTACACTGAGAGAGCAGTTGTAGAAATTGTAGGATCGTGGTTATTTCTTGAGTACTGTTGTTTCCCTGCACAATGGTTGCCAGTATTTCAAGGCCTTTGCCAAAGACTAAATACATGGTCAAAGCATGAAGCCCTGTATTCAGAGAGCCTAGCGTCCCTGCGTCTGGCTCCACAGGCAGTGCTTTCTCATCCCCAGTGACACAGGCATCTCCCTCCGGGTGGCTCATTCTTTAAGAGGCTCCTTCTGAATGTCTTCACTTCCCTCCTCCCCAATTCTTGGCCAGTCCTCCAAATGGGCTTGTTAAGTACTTTAATTTTGCATAGGCAGTGGGTGGTATTAGGAGAGGCAAAGGTGGTTATTTTCATGGATAGGCACAGAAAAGAGGCCAGGTGGTAGAGTGGTGAGTAGATTGAGTCAGGAATCAAAAAACCTAAGTTCCAACACCATTTTGTAATTTGATCTTGATCCAGTTAACCTTTGTAGGGTTTAGTTGACTCGTCAAATGGGAGTAATTATTCCAGCCTTGCTTACATCACAGATCTCTGTGAGGTTCGGATGGGATAATATCTGTGAAAGTGATCTGAAAGAGATAAAAAAATGAATGCTTTGTATTTGTCCCCTTTTTTGTGTTGTTAAATGGCACCATTGGCCATGCTCTGGGAAACTGTTATGTTGGAAATAATCACCCTCCCTCTCCCAGTTACAGGGAGCTGTAAAAGCCCCAGGCCGACTGCCCCCTTGCTCCTAAAATATTTCTCCCTAATCTTAAAGCTGTTCCTTATCCCAGTGAAAAGGCCACGTGTGGAATCTTAGGGTCACACTGTGAGGAAATGCCCCTGCATTCTTGCAGAAAGAACTAGTTTCCTTCTTTTTCAAGTTCCTGACAGTTGCCCTTGGCCTGAGCCATCAAATTGAAGACCACATTGTTGTTTTTCTTCTTGTCATTTAAAGACGCATCAACATTGGCTTGAGATTCCAAGCAGAAATCCCTGAACTCCAAGATATCTCTGCCCTGGCCCAGGACACACACAAGGCCACACTGGTATGGAAGCCCTGGCCAGAACTAGAAAACCATGACCTCCAGCAAAGAGGTATTGGCATATGGGAAGAGCTGGGTGGGAGAGGTTTGATTCTCTCACTGAGATCACTGGCTCTGGGATTGGTGTGTTTTCCATTACACTCAGCTCTCTCTGATGCATTGGCTTCTCCTTATTCCCAACAGTGGAGAATCTTCTGAATTTGTGCTGTTCCAGTGCATTGCCAGGTGGAGGGACCAATTCTGAATTTGCTTTGCACTCTCTGTTTGAGGCCAAAGGTGATGTGATGGTAAGGAACCATGAAAAAGAGGCTTTACAAATTCCTGAAGAGTATTTTCCCAAGTTTCAATATTGTCTCATGTACCATACAACCAATTTGTAATGACCAATCGGCGCATGATGACCAATCAGCACGCCTCCCTATTCCTTCTCTCGGTGGGTAGGTCAGGATGTTAAAGTCTGTAGAAAAAAATCTCCAATTGGATTTCTGTTTCCACATCTGTTCCTAAAGTTAGAACTGTGGGTACATCTGTCCTAGGACATTAGAATTTCTTTTCCACATCTTGCACTTCACATCAGAAAACTGAGTCTCCAGTGATGGAGGTAGAAGGCTTTACTGAAGCAGAAGTTGGTCTAAAATAGCCTATCATACTCTGCTGATTCTTCTTCCCTACTATGGAAATCAGCCAAAGTTTGATGTTTATAGAACTCTTTTCTCCTCTAACCAAAATAAAGTGTTTACTGTTCACCAACTGGTTCCATTCTTCCACTTTTAACACAGTTCTGCAGATGTTCCCAAACCCATGCCTTGGTGCTGTCTTCCCAAAATCAGAGCTAACAGTTGACCTGCTCAACCTGGACTTCCTTTTTTTTTTTTTTTTTTTTTAAGATGGAGTCTCACTCTATCGCCCAGGCTGGAGTGCAATGGCATGATCTCGGCTCACCGCAACCTCTGCCTCCTGGGTTCAAGCGATTCTCCCTCCTCAGCCTTCCTAGTAGCTGGAATTACTGGTGCATGCCACCATGCCTGGCTAGTTTTTGTATTTTCAGTAGAGATGGGGTTTCATCATGTTGGCCAGGCTGGTCTCGAACTCCTGACCTCAGGTGATCCTCCCACCTCGGCCTCCCAAAGTGCTGGGATTACAGGCATGGACCACCGCACCCAGCCTCATCCTGGACTTCTGACCAGATCACTCAATCACTAACCTCTGTTTCCCCTTTATATAAATACATGGTAGTATATCTAGCTTCCTGCATTTTGATTTTATGAAAATGTGAAAATAAATGTCCCAATACTATGATACCCTTCAAGTATTTCCTAGAATGCTGGAGAACTGTCCTTAACCCTTTGAGATCAGTGTGGCAGTGTAGCACTTCTCAGACTTTCAATGTGCGTGCACATCACCTGGGAAATCTTGTTAAAAATGCAGATTCTGATTCAGAGGCTTGGGAGTAGGGCCCAGGTTCTGCCTTTTTGACCGGCTCCCAGGTGAGGGACGTACTCCTGTTCTATGGACCACACTTAGAGTAGCAAGATTCTAGGCCCTGCTCTGCCCTGAAACTATCTTCTGTTCAACTCTGCCTGCGGCATCTTTTAAAAAGCTACCGAGGCTGATTTGAAACAGTTTATTTAGCTAGGCTCTCTGGAAGGATGGTGTGTGTAGTACAGTTATTACTGATGCAGCTGTTTCTATTCAGCTGTAATGAAACACGATTTTTCTATAAAACAGTTACAGATCACCCACTCATTTCCTAGGAATCTTTGCCCAGAGACTCAGCCTCCAGTCAGAGGAGGCACCACTCATCTCTGGGGCGGGTGGGATTTTACCAAGGAAGAGTCAGGTCGTTCTGTTTTCCTGTGACATGAACAACTGGCTTCAGGCATGGATGGAGAGGGTGTTAGAAGGAGAGTCTTATTTGCTGAACAGACATGAAACCCTAGTTAGGGGAGTCTCCCTCTGGGTTTCCTTCCAGTGCCCCCGCCCCTGACCTCCACAGTGCTAACCGCTTTTCCCCTTTGGGTAGATGATCTCCATAGGACACACAGACCAGTTGCTGACTCTTGCCTTTTCTCTCCTTTGGGTCTGCAGGTTGCTCTGGAAATGCTGCTACTGCGGAAGCCTGTCAGGTTAAAATGTCATCCTTTAGCAAATTACCACTATGCCGGTAGGTTGCCAGGAGCCCTGTGTCCTGTTGCCTCCTGACGACGGGCTGCTTGCATGTTCGGTTGTGTCACTTTCTAGCAATGGATAACACCGGTTCTGTCCTAATCACCACTTGTGATCTCAAGGCCTCCTAGGGCAGAGCTATGTCTGTTGCTTTGGCTCTGTTGGCATTTGTCTGTTGGCATAAGCTCCTGCCCCTTGTGGGTGTGCCAAGACCTGGGTGACAGTGGACAGTGCCTGCACGTGTGGCAAGGAGACGAGTGCATGAGACCAGAGAGAGCCACAGAAGGTACAATCAGCAGCCCCCTGCTTTTGGAATCAGTAGCCATGGGTTTAGATTCTACCGCACCCCTTGGCCAAGTCCCATGGTCTTCTGCAGCCTGGGTTTTCTCACCTGTAAAATGAGACTTGTATTCCATCCCTCGTAGTGTTTTTGTGAGATTAGAGATGGTATATGTAGCCCAATGCCTGGCACATCCTAGTAGCATTTATTACTCATGTATCCAACAATTATTTTTTGAACACTTACTGTGTATTAGGGACTTGCTAAACACTGAGATGCATCAGTGACTATGACAGACATGGGCAGAGTCCTACGTCGTGCAGCTCAGAGGCTCTGAGGAGGAGGCAGTTATTAAATAATGGATCACACTGACAGGAAAGTCTTCATACACGCAGGGTTTTGTATGTGAATTAATGACAATACCACAATAAGAGGGAAGTAGAAGACACCTATGAGATTTAAATGGACTGAGAATTGTGAAAAGTGAAGGAAATAGGTCGGAGAGCCTAAGAAGTGACCAGTGACACTGAGGTCAACATTTTCATTTCCATGCACTAACTGTTCCTTCTGAGGGTCTCCACAAACCTAAGTTGGTTCTTTATTTTGGAGGGGGCTGAATTTTCAGTGCCTCTTGATTTTTAATCACTTGAGGGTTTCTTTGGTGCTCTGGGCAGACCCTGCCTAGGCAGGTGCCAAATATGTGGGCTTGGGGACCTAGCTATACGTTTTCCAATCTTTAGTCCGGGCAGCCCAGTGAGGGCTTCTTTACAAATATTGGCTTGCTTTCTCCACCAACATTTGCCTCACCTACTGTGCTCCTCCTCTTTCATGAACGAGCCTTCCTGCCTGTCATCACAAGGCAGACCTCAAAGCCCCTCTTCCAAGCACAGTAAGCCCAAGATGTCTGCCTGTAGGTCACTCCTGGAACTAGGCCAATACAGAGTGGACACATGGAATAAGAAATTCATCACTTCTCCGGTGGCCTAAAGGAGCCAGCTTCTTAATATTTTCTCCATCATTTCCTGCTTGGTGTCTGTCCCAAGTGTGGGTAAAAAGATGTAGGAGTTCTCCCTAATCTGCCATGGAAACAGCTCAGTCCTCTCTCTTAATTTCCAGCATCATCTGCTGCTCATTGAACCCTGAGAGGCTGTCCAGCCTCCTGGAGGCTGTCTCAAGCTTCTTTGCATGATGGTGGGACAGTGGGTTGGCTAAAAGGAGGTTCCTAACCATGTGCTGTGAGAAACTGCTGCCCTCAGCCCTCAGAGTGGCTAGGGTCGCCAGAGCCTCTGGGCTGGTTAGCTCTAGCTGTGAGCAGCGTCATCTGGGATACAGCTCTCCTCTGGTTCTTCCAAGTGTACCAAACAAGTATCATTTTATGTGTATCATGACATTAAAAAGGTCAGAAAGCTATGTACTAGGAGCGCCACACACCCCAGTCAAAACAAAATAAAAACACTAAAATATTACCAAAAACTTTGAAACAAGAGGGCCCTAAACTCTGCAACAATTAATTGATCTCTTGAGGTTAGGGGTTTCTAGCTAATCCCTTGCCTGTCCCCTGTCCCCTTCCCCAGCAGGCAGACCAGGAAGGACTCTGCTGTTTTCTGGAATCATTTCAATCCTTGGAGGCAAAAGAGATAGAGCTAAGCTGTGAAGGGTTGATATCTCCAAGAGAAACATACTCACCTATGTTTGCCAGTCACTTGCCTTCTCCAGGAAGTGATGATAGACTGGGACTCAGAGAATCTTCTAGAAGTTTGAGCAAAAAGGGCAGAGGTCACTGGTCTCTGAAGTCTGACCCAAAACCATCTCCTTAACAGTTTCCTTCTAAGCCGCAGGGGAGGCAGCAGAATCTTCCCCATCACATGTCCCAGCCACCACCTCCTTCTCCCACTGCTGAACCCCCTCATTTGCTTCCCAGGTGTCAGTGAATCCCATCTCCATGGCCCCATTCTGCTTTGGCCTTTGTGCTGAGCCCTGTTGGGTTGCTCCCCAGTAGTGACTGCCTGTTGGCTTAATTGCCACCTTGCTGGGACCCTATCTTCTGGATCTCCTTTGGCTCCTGACTCTGTGGCTGTGGCCAGTGTCACCATCCTGAGTCCCAGCCCCGAATTTGCTCTCCAGGCTCCCAGTTATCTGGAGAGGGAGTTCAGGTCTCCCAGGCCTGCCTGAGCCTGTCCATGTCAGGGCGGGAGGCTGTAAGTTTGGGGAGAAAGACAAAGACACAGGCCTACGAAAATCACTTCCTTACTTTACTCATTATCTTCCCTTTCCCACCCACTCCAAGCCGTTCATTAAGAAAAGGAAAAAGTGACCAGTGCTGGGACCCAGGAGAGATGTGCTATGGGGGAAGGGCCGACGTGGTGGGCAACTTGCCCAGATCTAATGGCTGCTTGCCAAGGCCACATGAACCCTGTACAGGATCCACAGAGGAAAGTGCTGTTGCAGTGGCTTCTGGCGCTCAACCCCCACCACGATGCACAGTCCAGCCCTCTGTTGCTCTCAGCACCTTCCCACCCATGTGTGGTTAGCAGTTGTGTGCAGTGGTTCCCAATTAGCACTTGGGTTGGGAAGGGCCAAGCATGGGGGAGTCAGGGTGGAGACGAAGCCTGGTTGTGATTAGATGGATTGCAGCATGCTTGATTTTTTTCATTGAACTGGTCATTCCTGCAGAGGGGTGTTAGAACTGACCTGGCTTCTTGGCAAGTGTTCAGCTGAGACTACTTATTGGCCCTGAGCACAGCCCAAACACCTGCTTAGTCCTGAAACCCTGACCTGAGTTGTGGAGATGGAGGAGACCTGGAGGAAATACTCATTCCATTGGAGAGGCCTTGTCTCTTCTGCCTTGGAAGCTGCCCCAGTTAGATGAGGAGACAGAATTACGTACTCAAGAGAGTAATTTGCAAGAAGCACAGCTGTGATTTCATTTTCCAGGCATCCTTAGCCTATGTCTCTAGACAGTGGTCCCCTCAAGGGCAGTACTGAGTTAATACTCTTTTACCTTGCCTAACATGGCACTGGTTTAAATTAAAAAAAAAAAAATTGCCTAGTGGACAAGCTCAAATTCTGGATTCAGATTGAGGCTTCCCCCCTTTTATCCACAGAGAAAACTCTGGTGTAATAGCCTGCTTCAACTTGCACCCCCCAAAAAATTACTCAACCTTCACCCACTATTGAAAACCCTGTGTGGAAATGAAAATTTGGTATAAAACAGTCCTCCTTTTTCTGCAATGAACATGTCTGTCTTGTGTAACTTCAAAACATCATCAATGGGTCCAGGAACGGTGGCTCATGCCTGTAATCCCAGCACTTTGGGAGGCCAAGGCGGGCAGATCGCTTAAGCTCAGGAGTTCGACACCAGCCTGGAAAACATGGTGAAACCCCATCTGTACTAAAAATACAAAAATTAGCCAGGCATAGTGGTGCATGCCTGTAATCCCAGCTACTTGGGTGGATGAGCAAGAGAGTTGCCTGAACCCAAGAGGCGTAGGCTATAGTGAGCTGAGATCACGCCACTGCACTCCAACCTGGGCGACAGAGTGAGACCCTGTCTCAAAAAAAAAAAAAAAAAAAAAAGAAGCAAAAGAAAAGAAAAAAATTATAATAGAAGTTTTAAGAAAGACAGAAAGGCCCTCTAAAAGATACTGTGTCCAAACTTTCTCTCAACCCTCCATGTCTCTTTTTAATTGCCTGTGTTCACTGTCGATTGCCCCCAAATTAGCCACAGTCCAGAGCCTGTTTCCCAGCAACCGAAGGTCAAAACAGTTTTCCTCTGGATACTGTTCCAGCACCGGTTTCATCCAGTTAATTAGGTTCTTTGTAATTAGCCTTAATCATCTTGTTAGGGGCCCCTGCTGGTAATAGCCCAATAGCCAGGAATTCCCAGGTAGAACAAATGAGTGTGGGGGGACTCTCAACCCACGAACCCTGTGTGCATGCTGAGTGGGCAGCAGGGATCCTAGAGAGAAGGGAGGGTGTGGGGGGTAGTTGAAGGATAGGGGAGGATTTGAGGCAACACCCTGCCTCGGTTTTGTATTTTATCCTGGACTTTGTCCAAGATGCAGGATCCAAGAAGGGCCGGCTTAGAGAACCTTGTCTAAGAACGAGGAACGTGTCCCTATCAGACTCCAGGAAAGAGAGACATCTGAGCCTTTCGTTAACTTCGGATTACAGAGGGATTTTGGAGGCAGGAAGGAGAAGACTATGGATATAATAAGCAGCCAGCAGTGAGACTGTGGATAAGAAATACACAGAACAAGAAACAGGTGGTCTTGGATGCCACTGTCCACATATCAGCAGGGGTGGCATACGTCTCATAGCCCTGGGCTGATTTGGAATCTGCTCTCCAAGTGGCCAGTGAAGGTTCAAAACATGTATCGAACACTTAGGACCAAACCTGTCAGTCACAGGGTAACTGCCACCATCCCCATGTCATGTGGGGAAACTGAGACTCAGAGAAGTTAAGTAGGCTTGCCCGGGGTTCACAGAAGGAGTAAGTGGCAGAACCAGGTTTACAACCTAAGGTGACTAAAATCACCCTTTTTATCACAGTTCAGTGATATTATTTGGAGAAAACACATTCATATGTTATTTATCTGTCCAAGGCTTTAGCCTGGGAATTCAATCCAAGAGCCCAGGGATGGACTCTCAGCCTCGGTGGGTAATCTTGTGATCAGGAAGCCACCTCTAGTGTGAGAATGGATTTGTTGCCCGGCCAAGGCTCTGTCCCTCAATTTGTGGACACCCTGTTGAGCAGACACTAACACATGCACACACAGAGCACTATCATTTGCACCAAAGCACAAAGCCTAGGACTGTGCAGAAGAGCCACCTCTTACTGTCTTAAGACTGTGCTCCCTGACCCAGCCCTGTATCCCTTGGAATGGGAGAGTGACATAGAGGGGCAGGGAGAACATGCAGCCCACTCCATCTCAGGATGAGTTGTACAGAATGCACACTCCGGAATCAGGAAGCCACCAAATCCTATGACAGAGCAGCAGTCTTAAAAACCACCAGGAATCAGCAGGGAGAAGGTCTCCTTCCCCCACGAGGTTTGGGGATCTCTCCTAACAGATGGGCCAGGAAGTTACATCACCAGTGGAGTTGCATCTGGCAAGCAATTTGGAAACATGAAGGGACATGCTTCTCAGAAATCGACAGGCCTGGGAACTGAACACTGCTTTTGGGGCCAGAAATCAGGTAATGAGCCTGGTGGGTAGAAAAAAGTATATCCACTGCAGAGACTGGCTGAGAAGGCTGGATGGCCCTGTTAGTGTCTTGTCATGTCTCAGAGCTGCACTCTAACTTAGGAAACTGATGGTCTGGTTGAGGTTGGAAAGAATTATCATTGATCTAGTTGAGGGTTTCATCAGCAAAATGTCCCCTGATTCCCCATCGGAGATGCAGCTGAGGGCCACACGGATTCTGGACCTGCAGCAGGGCAGCAGAGCAACCTCTGTGTAAGCTTGTGTGAGTCAGCTGGTATGACAGACCGCCATTGTGGTCTTCCTTCCATCATTATCTTTCTGACTCCTCTTACCCGTTTGCTGTTTTGGTGGATACCTAAAAGGAACCATGACGGTTGTTTGGTTGTTGAACTGAATTGTTGGTGATTCCTTTCTGTGTCCTTCTTTCTACCTCTGTTCCTGGGTAAGGGGACCCCAAGGCTTTGAATGTTGGACAGAATTTGAAGAATGGTGATGGAAGTGATATAGAGCCTCAAATCCCACCAACCCCCTGTGCTCACATGCACTCCGGCAAGTATTCTCCAAACCCCCAGCCCCCCTGAGGCTCCGTGTTACTGTGGTCTGCACGGTCAGAGCTGTCCAGCCCTCTGGAACCCATGGAAGATGACTCCCTTCTGCTGAGTATTCATGGGAAAGCTGCTTTCCTTCTAGAAGTAAAGAGATAAGTTTGCAGCTGGGCACAGTGGCACACGTCTGTAATCCCAGCACTTTGGGAAGCTGAGGCAAGCGGATCACTTCAGGTCAGGAGCTAAGGCCAGCCTGGCCAACTTGGTGAATCCCCATCTCTGCTAAAAATACAAAAATTAGCCAGGTGTGGTGGCACGCACCTGTAATCTCATCTACTCAGGAGGCTGAGGCAAGACAATCACTTGAACCCAAGAGGCAGAGGTTGCAGTGAGCCGAGATCTCGCCACTGCACTCCAGCCTGGGTGACAGAGCAAGACTCCATCTCCAAAAAAAAAAAAGAAAAAGATAAGTTTGCAAACCAAATAAATTGGGTGGTGGCCCTGCTTTTGTAGATGTCTGACCCCGCCCAGCTGTGGAGAGCATATTCTGAGTCTGGAGCCAAAGCTCCTGGCTTGAGGACCCATCAAAGAGCTGCACAAGGAAGTTGTTTATTTCAGAAATGTGAGTTTATGTCACTGAGCCATATATTCTTCTAAGGACCCTAGGCTCCCCACCTGTGGTCTAAGGAGGCCCCTGCCTGCCCAGAGCATTTTTGCCTGATTCACTTATTTTGGCCAAACCCTACAAAGAAAGAGGCGATTAGGGTTTCCTGTACTGCAGTCCCATCAGTTGACCATAGCAAAATGGAAACCTTGGACTCGCCCGGAATGGGAGGAAAGATATTATGATTTGGGGTACTAGTGTACCCCACTAATGAAGTATAGTGAGGTAGGGTACTAGTGTACCCCACTAATGAAGTCTAGAGAAGTGTAGTGAGGTCAAAGCCTTGGCCAAATACCATCCAAAGAATCAGAGATGTGGAGAATTCAGCAGGCCAGAAGAATAAGACTGAGTTTTCTCTGAACCAGCCACAGTGGTGGAAGCTTCCCTAGAGCCTCCAGAAATAGGAGTCCCCTTAGAAGTAGGCCTTATTTCTTGCCCCAAACAAGCCAGTATAACTTTATATTATTATCTGCATATCGTGCTTTCTTTCATGGAGGAAAAAGACATAAATATCAGGTTTAGCCAGTAAGGAAGATGCACCAGCCCAGCAGTGAAGCCTCTCCCTCTTCGGTCGGCAAATCTGTCAAGAACTGGCTCCACTCACCTCTCCAGCCTCATCTGCTTCTGCTGGAACCTTATACTTGAACCAGATTAGATTACTAGTCGTTCTTTGAAAACCTCCATTTCCTCATTTGTCAAATGGGCTCATCATCCTAACAATCTTACAGGATTGTTAGTAGAACCTAATGATGAATAACTGAAGTACTTAGAACCTGCCACTTAGTAAGCACTTAGAAATGTTAAGCTATTTTTCCTAGTACAGCATCTTGCTTGTAATATACACCTAATAAATATCTGTTGAATGAACAACTGAAGTGCATGACTTCACTCTTGCCTCTGACTTTGCACATCCTGCTTCCTCTCACCAGAATACTCTTCCATCTCCTTATGATCTGACTTGCTTCTATGTGACCTTTAAAACTCAACTCATGTTTTCTCTAGCTGGAAGCCCTCCTGGCTGCCCTGGCCCTAACCTGAGTGTGGTGTTTCTCCTTTGTGCCCCATTGGCACCTCGCCTCTACCTGAATAATTACAATTACCACCTTGAACGTCATGGCCTACTTGTTTGTCTCCCCAGTAGACTGTGAGCATCTTGAGGGTGGAGGGTGAATCCAGCCACACCCTGAAGGGTACTTGCTACATGAATGCTTGCACTTGTGAATATGATAATTACGTTAAAACTGTACCTAAAATTTGTTGAATGCTCACTGTTTCCCAGCGATGATGCTGGACACTTTTTGTGCATTATCTTCTTTAACCTTCACAAAAATCCTAATCAGTGGAGGCAATTATAGTTATTCCCATTTGTAGGTAACAAAACAGGCTTAGGATAAGTAACTTGCCAAGGTCAAGGCCATAGCTGGGACTTGAACCCAGGTGTCAGAGCTCCTAACCATTATATCACACTATCTTTTTGTTCAAATGGGAGTTTGATATGTATTATATCACTTGCTCTGTAGTTGTATTTTGTAACTTAACTAAATGAACCAGCAACTAAAAGCAGGGGGAACTGTGAGCTGTTCTTATGATGTTTGTGTTTTGTTGTAGGTTCGGACAAGTGGACCTCCCTAGAAAGAAAACTGTTTAACAAAGCACTAGCCACTTACAGCAAAGACTTTATTTTTGTACAGAAGATGGTAAGCATGATTTTTCCCATTGCCCCCTTGAAATTAAATTTGGGAAATTGTACACAAAAATATTTAGAAATATTTGGATACTGGTTTAAGATACTTACAAAAAGGATGTCTTCCACACTCGCTGGTGAGGATGGTAGTGGAGATAGGGGTGGTATGGCCCCAGTGTTAGGACTGTGGCAGGGAGAGGACAGGGGAAAGAAGGCGTAGATTATCTGGACACTGCAGTGGCACGGGGTTATTTTCTATCTTAATAAAAATGTGTAATTCATAATTCTGTCAGAATAACTAGAACTCGGGTTCCTGGTCCACAATTTACATAATTTATTTTATTTTTATTTTTTATTTTTTCCAAGACAGTTTCACTCTCTCACCCAGGCTGGAGTGCAGTGGTGTGATCTTGACTCACTGCAGCCTCCACCTCCCGGGTTCAAGCGATTCTCTTGCCTCAGTCTCTAGAGTAACTGGGATTACAGGCATGCACCACCACGCCCGGCTAATTTTTGTATTTTTAGTAGAGGCGGGGCTTTACCATGTTGGCCAGGCTGGTCTTGAACTCGTAACCTCAAGTGATCCACCTCCCTCAGCCTCCCAAAGCACTGGGATTACCGGCGTGAGCCGGCATGCCTGGCCGTACATAATTTACGTATATTTAACAGATCTACCACATTTCTGACAGAACTTTCTGGGGAGAGGAGAATATGTGGCCTCCCTCTACCCAGTAGCACAGTTTCTGGTGTTGAACTCCTATTTTTAATGACAGTAATAATAAAAATACCTTGCGTATACAGCATTCGAAAGCAAAATAAAACTTTCACATAGATGAAATAGCACTTTATACAACAGATAAACTTATTGACTTTATTGGCTGAGAGATGGTTTAGTGTAAAAAATTAAAATCATTCAAAGAGTGTTTCAACAAACTGATGAATGATGGAGCCATATTGTGTTAAAGCCATTTAAGGCTGTTCAGGTACACAAAGAACAGGGCGCAGTTGATAGCACCCACTGGCCCCTGGCTGAGACAGATGGTCCTCGGAGGTGTCCTAGGGTGGCATGTCTCCTGTTGTCAGTCTAGGGCCTTGCCTGGGCAAGTGTGAAAAGCAGGAGGACTTTGTCTCTGACTTGCCTCCGCCTCGCCTCCGCCTCCATCTCTGCATTTGCTCCTGCCTTGCCCTTGGCGGCTGCCATGCCTTTGCTGCCCTGTGTGCCCAGCAGCTCTCATGCTTCATCTTTCTAGAGTCACCCTCCCCTCCAGGACTGGCCTGGCATAGACCTCAATCCTTTAGGCCCCACACTTGCGACTGATGATGGATTCGTGTATTGAGCTTACCAGGCAACCTGGGTTTTAACCCAGGGCTCTCTGGGACGGGCACTGTCCTCACTCCCTCAGGTGATTCTAGTGTGGAAATTCCAGGTGTCAGGGGGATGAGAAGGGGGCAACTTTGAGGAGACAGGACTGGGTGCCCCTCTCATCTCACCATGTAGGTGGCCTTGTTCCCACCCTCAAGGGTAAGGCCAGCCTTTAATCTGCCTCCAGCAAACCCACGTTATTACACCTCACCTGATCATACAGCATATGAACTAAACAAAGGAATGTTTCTGTCTTAAGATGCATAGACCTTTGCCTGTTTGGGGTTGAATAGGGCAAGGCCCATTTCCTGCAAAACCTAAGCTCTGTCATCATAACTTTTGCCTTATATTCCTATTCCATTACTAAGGAACATTTCTCATAAGCATATTTTGAAGGTCAAGTTAGAGACATTCAAGCATATTAAATGAAAAAGCAGCTGCTTTATGGGTTAAAAAAATGAGTAAGTCTGTAAGGACTGATCTGAAAAAATTTCCAAGCTATATTGAGAAAAAAATCAAGTTGCAAAGCAGTATTTATAGTGTGCTCCCTTTTGTGAGGAAAGATGGTGGGGGAGGGAATATATTTTTGTGTGTGCTGGTACATGCATTAGAAAATTCTGGAGGCCAGGCACAGTGGCTCACACCTGTAATCCCAGCACTTTGGGAGGCCAAGGCAGGCGGATCACCTGAGGTCGGGAGTTCGAGACCAGCCTGACCAACATGTAGAAACCACGTCTCTACTAAAAATACAAAATTAACTGGGCGTGGTGGTGCATGCCTGTAATCCCAGCTACTCAGGAGGCTGAGGCAGGAGAATCGCTTGAACCCAGGAGGTGGAGGTTGTGGTGAGCCGAGATCGTGCCATTGCACTCCAGCCTGGGCAACGAGAGTGAAACTCCATCTCAAAAAAAGAAAAAAATTCTGGAATGGGTGTTGTGACTCAATGCCTGTAATGCCAGCAATTTGGGAGGCCCAGGCAGGAGGATCACTTGAGGTCAGGAGTTCGAGACTAGCCTGGCCAACATGGTGAAACCCCATCTCTACTAAAAATAGAAAAAAATGAGCCAGGTGCGGTGGCGGGTGCCTGTAATCCCAGCTACTTGGGAGGCTAAGGCAGGAGAATTGCTTGAATCTCGGAGGTGGAGGTTGCAGTGAGCCAAGATGGTGCCACTGCACTCCAGCCTCGGCAACAGAGCAAGACTCCATCTCAAAAAAAAAAAAAAAAAGGCTGGGCGCAGTGACTCACGCCCGTAATCCCAGTGCTTTGGGAGGCCGAGGTGGGCGGATCACGAGGTCAGGAGATCAAGACCATCCTGGCTAACACAATGAAACCCCGTCTCTACTAAAAATACAAAAAATTAGCCGGGCATGGTGGCGGATGCCTGTAGTCCCAGCTACTCGGGAGGCTGAGGCAGGAGAATGGTGTGAACCTGGGAGGCAGAGGTTGCAGTGATCCGAGATTGCGCCACTGCACTCCAGCCTGGGCGACAGAGCAAGACTCCGTCTCAAAAAAAAAAAAAAAATCTGGAATGGTAGCCAAAGAAATTAATGCAAGGGGCTACCTGTGTTGCAGGGTGAGGGGTAAGGACAGGCGTGTGAAGGAGGCCTTTCACCAGGTACATTTTTTTCTTGAACTGTACAAACTTGTTTATTACCCTATTACAAAATTAAATATTCAAAAATGCTTGCTACCTTTGCTCTCTGCCCATTGCTGGAGCTAACCTTGAGTTCGCTTTCCCGGCAGGTGAAGTCCAAGACGGTGGCTCAGTGCGTGGAGTACTACTACACGTGGAAAAAGATCATGCGGCTGGGGCGGAAACACCGGACACGCCTGGCAGAAATCATCGACGATTGTGTGGTGAGTGAAGCTGCTAAGTTGTTGCTTGTGCTGGGACAGCTCCCACCCCAGGCCCAGGTTAGTAAGTAGCTGGTGTTTGGTTTGGCTTTGCTGCCAAGATAGCCAGAGGAAGGAGGTGACAACAGCCCAGCTCTCCTGCAGGATTCAGGACCTACCCTCCTGAGTAGGTTTAAAGGAAAGAAGTCCATAGGTTTGGCCTGTAGCTCAGTGTTCAGAAACAGAGGTGAGGGCTGGTGCCCGCTTCAAGGCAGCTAGGAGCCAGAAGAATTAAACCAAGGATGGTCCCAGCCTTGGGTTTGTTGGTTTATGATTGGGTGGTGTCCTGACCCCCTGGAATATTCTTTTTTGATCTTTCCATGTCATAGATGCTACTGACCTGAGCCCATAATGTGCCTCAGAAAGGGTCCCTGGGATTTTGCCACAGTCTGTAAAGCATGAGCAAGAGGAGCTTTGACCTCTAGGTAGTGCCAGGAACCCTCCATCATTAAGGAACTAATTCGCTGCATGTAGATGATTCTAATCCTTACATCACCATTATCCCTGGTATTGATTTCCTTCATTAGCAGACAGTCCACAGTCAACTGCACATTAAGTACGTACCAAAGACACAAGAAGACCTAACTAGTCTCTGAACCCTGTATGTGTGGCTTTGATGATTACTATCACTTGTGATCCTTGCAATTAACTCTCCACCCTGCATCCATAGCCATGGGAAATCTCCTTTTCACACTCTGTGGAAAACATTACCTACCATATATGTGTATATAAAAATTATGTCTGACATTACTAAACTCTAGCTTTTGTCACCATCAGTGAAAGTATTGGGAATTCATGAATTATGTAAATATTTGAAATTATATTTTCATTCCCAATTGTGCCCCAGTTGTAAGGGTTAGCACATGTATGTGTGTTATTTTCTTTAACAGACAGTGAAACAGCAGTTTTCATGTGCCAGGCATTGTGTTAGGGACTTTATAAATATTGACTCATTTAATCCAATGTAATTCATTTAATACCAATTCTATGCAGTAGGAAACTGAAGCACAGAGCTTAAGCAAATTGGCCATAGTCACACAGCTGCTGAGCGTGTTGTTAAGCCTGATTCCCTTGTGTAGTTAAGAGCAGTCAGATGCAAATTTTCTTTTGTTTGTTTGAGACAGGGTCTCACTTTGTCGCTCAGGCTAGAATGCAGCGGCATGATCATAGCTCACTACAGCCTCAACTTCTTGGGCTCAAGCAATCCTCCCACCTCAGCCACCTGAGTAGCTGGGACTACAGGCACACACCACAACGCCCCACTCATATTTTAATTTTTTGTAGAGACAACGTCTCACTTTGTTGCCCAGGCTGTTCTCAGACTCCTGAGCTTAAGCAGTCCTCCTGCCTTGGCTTCCCAAAGTGCTGGGATTACAGGCTCACCCCTGTAATCTCAGGCCACTGCACCTGGCCACACATTTTCTTAAAGAAGTATAAAAAATTTGGACTTGGCCAGGCACGGTGGCTCAAACCTGTAATCCCAGCAGTTTGGGAGGCCAAGGTGGGCAGATCATCTAAGGTCAGGAGTTCGAGACCAGCCTGGCTAACATGGTGAAACCCATTTCTAATAAAAATACAAAAAATTAGCCAGGCGTGGTAGCACACACCTGTAATCCCAGCTACTCGGGAGGCTGAGGCAGGAGGATCGCTTGAACCCAGGAGGCAGAAGTTGCGGTGAGCCGAGATTGCACCATTGCACTCCAGCTTGGGCAACGAGAGCAAAACTCCATCTGAAAAAAAAAAATTGGACTCATTAATGCTTCAAAGCCTATGCTTCTAACTAATAATTGATCCTAGCTATGAAATATACATACATAAATACATTTATATTTGAGCCCAAATAACAGAGAAAGTAGAAATCTGTAGAATAGAATGGTATTGCTATTTTTTTCAATCAGAGATGGCAGTATTCTACATTCAGGATTTCTTGTGACCAGGGCTTTTGTTTGACTCATTTAAGTAGTGATGTATGATATCAGAATAGTCTTTTGCTCGTTTGTGGCCTAATGTTTTAAAAAACATGTGATCACCCAGGCACTGTGGCTCACACCTGTAATCCCAGCACTTTGGGAGGCCAAGGTAGGTGGATCACGAGGTCAGGAGATCGAGACCACCCTGGCCAACATGGTGAAACCCCATCTCTACTAAAAAATTAACTGGACGTGGTAGTGCACGCCTGTAGTCCCCACTATTCAGGAGGCTGAGGCAGGAGAATTGCCTGAACCCGGGAGGTGGAGGTTGCAGTGAGCAGAGATTGCGCCACCGTACTCCAGCCTGGGCAACAGAGTGAGACTACATCTCAGAAAAAAAAACAAAAAACAAAAAACAGTATGCTCTCCTCCAGTTCAGTCAACTAAAAGCAGTTGAACTCCCACAATGTAAACAGCAATGTGTATGTAGTGCTGTGGGTAACCCGGGATGTTAAATGGCCCTTCCCTCCTCTCCCCCGACCACACAGAACATATGTCCTTGTTGGGAAGATATAACACATGTAAGTGGAAATACACCATGAACCCCAAGAGTGTTTAAAAGCAGTATGCAATGAGATCCAGAAAGTCTTAGATGCAGCGTTAAGGACTCTTTCACCCAATTTCACCATTTTACAGGAAGAAAGTTGAGACCCAGAGAGAGGAAGGGGCTTGCCCCAGGTCACACAGAGCATTGCTTTCCAAATGAGTAGAAGAGACAGTAAACAAGGAAGCACAAAGATTCCTAGCCTTGAAGACCTAGGCTTTGCTCCTAGGCTTGCTGGTCTGTAAAATGGCCAGATGATTTAAATGATTTAGAAAGTCCCTTCCAATTCTGGAATGTTCTGGGCTCTGTCAGTGCCGTGTTTTGGAAGAGGGGCAAAATCAGAGAATATGGTCTTCTAAGGTAAATTGGTGTATCTTAGGCTTGGGTGTTATCAAGTGCCTAGGACAGTGCACAGTGCCTGGCATAATACAGTCACTCAATAAATGTTTGTTAAATGAATGAGTGAATATTTTTCGAAGATAGGAGTTGCTCTGATTCATAAACATTCCTTCTGTGAATTCACTGGAGGGAGATGGAATGAACAAGGGGATGCTGAGCAGAGGAGTGACACTAACAAAGATGTTTCCACACAAGGCAGAGGCACCGTCTCGGACTGCCTGGGCTTCGAAGATGGGTAGGGAGACCCAGGCCGGCGTGAAGCTTCAGATTAAGGAGGAGAGGGTAAGAGGGTGCCCAAGGGGCCACACCCTCTTGGGTTTATTCACCAGGAGCCAGTGTTAGGCTGGGCCAGGAGTGTCCACACCCTCATTACTTGTGAGCTTAGGGAGAGCAAAAGGCTTATGTGCAGAGATGACTCAGGCCCACAAAAAAAAAACAAGAAAATCTTGATTAAAGGCCAATATGGCAGCTCACAGCTCCTTTGTGGGCACTGTGTGCACAGTCAGCCTTCTAAGCATAGTTTGCCGAGTGGAGATGAAAAATTGGGATCATGGGGATCCTGGGGAGGGTGCGCCTGGGGAGGGTGTGCAAGGCACAGTCCTAAGATGTGGTCCTACTCTTTGTCCTCGGGGCCTGCCTGGGACACCTGGGATAGCTCTCCTGATCATGTATCTTCAATGTTTTACGTAAGGGCGGGTGACCATTTCCCTCCAGATGGAACATGAAGGAACATGCTCAGGTGGTTCAGGGATTATTGAGGACTTGAGAGGGGAAAAGAAGGAGGTTTGAAAGGAATGATTGCCCTTTAGCTAAGTAGCCGGGAGGTCAACAGAGCACAGCTGCTCACTCAGCAGGGGCAGTGTGACTGGAAGCAGAGGCAGGGAGCCAAGATGGGTTCTGTTAATGAGGTGAGAGGAGAAGGTGCTGGCCACACCTTCCTGTCCCCTGCCTGTGCTCATGCTCCCCGACTCAGGACAAATATATGGGGCTGGCTGTGATCAAAATTTAGCACAATTCAAGAAACCAACTGAGGCAGTTAACTGACTGTGGAAAACAGCAATCAGGGCTCCAAGGGCAAAGGTAGAACTCACCATGATGTCAGCACAGTTACCTACAGCACAGTCCATTGATGGGGGCCTTGGGAAACATCCTCCTTCCCTTTGGCATTTCAAAGCAGCTGGTTCCAGTAATATTGAGAGATTTAGGATCTCTAAGCCATTTACAGATGGATAAACATGCACCTGTGGACATGTGCAGCCAGACCAAAGAGTGAAGAAGGTTGAGGTTTTGGAATAAGATAGGCCAGGTTTTGAATCTCAGTTCAACTTTTTTACCAGCTGTGTGACCTTGAGAAACTTATTTATTGGGTCAATTTCCTCATTTGTTTAAAAATGAAAAAATTTTACAGTGTTATGAGAACTAGAAATTGTGTGTGTGTGTGTGTGTGTGTGTGTGTGTGTGTGAAATGCATGATTCTCAGCAGGCATTCAATGTTGTCATCGTCATCATTATTATTAGTGACTAACACACAAATTTGTGTCTTTGAGCAGATTTGGGTTGTTGAGCATTTGTATTCTGACTTACCAATTTCTCATAATATGAATTCCATTTGCATGCTTGGGAAATAAAAATATCCTCCTCAAGAAACTCTTATTGTGGACACTCGAGGGTCTGAGCACCATGTTAAATGTATGGCCTCCTCCCCACCCCCATATTTGCCCACCTTCTAATTTTGGAATATAGTAAGTGTTTTGTTTCACAATATATCATAAAATGACCAACTTGTTGTTACGAAGTTCTACATGTTAAGATTTTTGTTCTTGTATTTTTGTATCTCTTAGTCACTTTGGTGAGCCATGTGGTTTGATGGTAAATCATTTTGTGATTTATAGATTGCCAGTTGAAATAACACCTATCTAAATTCCTGAGACATACATAATCATGGTACAGTGTGACTTATAATTTTGTGGCTATATGGAACATTTCTTCTAAGAATGTTTAAGCCAAACAATGGCATTGTGAGAAAATTGTCATTATAACAAATACCATGAAACAAATGGCATTGTCATCTGTTGTGTGTAATTATTTTTAAATGCCAAACTGTAGGCCATGGGCTACTTAATGTTTGAGACCACAAAGTCCCAGTTTGACATAACATGGTTTTACCTGAAACTCTTTGGGGTGGAAAGATGGTGGAGTCTTACAGAAATAAGACCACCTAAGTGAAATCAACCTGTATGTTCTATACTAGTAAGAGGCTGGCTGCTTAGATCATAAACCACTTTGTCAAATGTACTAGGCCTACATCAGTGTTCACTGAGGTCTTCTAACAAATGTGATCATTACTAATTAATCCTGTTTACCAATGGAAACTGAAGCCATTTCTTAAATACACCCTGTTCATACTGCATCGCAAGTATACATGTATGTGATATTAAATAAGGACAATACTGAAACAGTGAGGGGCTACTAAATGCCACATACATACTGGCATTGTCTCCCTCTCTCACACACACACCCCAAATCCAAACTGTAGAGAGGAAGCTTATGTTTTCTGGGTCCTAGGGTATCACTACTTTCAGAAATCTTTATCCTTCTTGGAAAGTCTTGCTTCTGGGCTTTAAGAATCATAGGCTCCCCAGACTTATATCACTGTCAGGGGTAGAGTAGACTGGAACCCACGTGCATTAAGTGATGAGTTATGCAGAGAGCCTAGCAGAGACAAATGACCTGCCAGGTCAGGGGCAGCTGGACATGCCTTTTCCTTCCTCGTTTATAAAACGACAGGTCTGTTTACAGCCTATTCGGTGGCATAGTAAATGTGAAAGCACTTTGTAAACTGTAAAATAAAAGCTGAAATGAGGCTGATTGGTCCTCAGCCCTTTTGGGGCCTGCAGGAGCCAGCAGCCCTCACCCCTACCCTGGGAAGGTTGGAGAGAGCAGAATAAAGTAGTTAAGCAAGGGGAGAATGAGAGCCTCCTGGATCGTTGCCCTTCCATCCCAGCACACCCAGGGCACCCACTCCAAGCTATTCCAGTAACTTACTATTCTGTTAACCTTGAGGAGGGCAGGGACCTTCTGCTTAATTCTCCACATGGCTGCTGTTCTGAAGTGGGGAGAGTGGCCATAGAAGCAGAGGAGATCATTATTCATAGGAAAAGTTTTTCTTGTTCTTTTTCATTAAATGCCTCTGGTAGGAGAAAATGAATAAATAGAAACATTGAATACACTGCTTTTTCTAAGCCCATGGTCAGAGACAAAAGGAAAAGCACATGACAAATAAAAGGGAATCTCCCCTTCCATTTTCTCTCCTTTCACTCTATTTTCTGACAAGACCAGAGTGGAGCTCCCCTTGAGTCACGTGCTTTCTGCACACCGCAGGTCAAATCCAGTATCTTGCATGGTGTGTTATAAAGCCTCTAAAACAAATCAGCACAGGTCCTTCTTTAGTCTCTCTCCAAGGGGGATTCCATGGTATTGTTATTGCTGGAAACCCCTCTTCACCTCTGTGAGGAGACAGAGCTACTTACAGGCAGGACGCAGCCTGAGTTTTAGTCATTTTAAGATCTGATAGTCTCGAACAAGGTGGGGAATCCTTGCATGTAGAAATTGCTCCTCTCTGCCTCACCATATCTTTATATAAGTGATGAGGGGTCCCGAAGTGGGGCAGGGGACTTACTTCCTTGACCTCGAAGTCCTAAGCATCCGGAGACCAACCTTTTGAGGATCACGCCTAACAGGCTCTGTCCACCATTCCTTATGCAGAAAGAAAGGAACACAGCGCCAGCATCCTGCCCCTCTCTCCTCTGTTGATCTGTGAGTTCTGTTCATCACTAAGAATGCCATTTGGGGATTTTCCCCTCTTGCTTTTATTACCTTAACACTAGACAAGTGAAGAAGAAGAAGAGTTAGAGGAGGAGGAGGAGGAGGACCCGGAAGAAGATAGGAAATCCACAAAAGAAGAAGAGAGTGAGGTGCCGAAGTCCCCGGAGCCACCACCCGTCCCCGTCCTGGCTCCCACGGAGGGGCCGCCCCTGCAGGCCCTGGGCCAGCCCTCAGGCTCCTTCATCTGTGAAATGCCCAACTGTGGGGCTGTAAGTGTGTCTGTGTCGTCTGGGGATCTGGGACAAGTGAGAGCCATATAGCTGTGCCTGGCTTTAAGAGATGATGTATTTTCGAGAGTGCTCTTCCAACAGTCACAGTTTGGCAGAGGGTGCTCCATGTTGCCATTGTTTTCTGCTTCATTTGGCCAACAGGTATTTACAGAGTGTGTGTTCTGTGTCAAGCATGATGCTGCGTGTTGGAGAACACAGAGAAGGCCCCCATGCCCAGGAGTGTGTGATTCCAAGCTCTGCAGTGAGCGTGGCCTCCAAAACATACATTCCACATTTCCTGGAGCCTCTGCATTCCCCTGGGCTGTGTGTCACACAAGCTTGTGCCCTGTCAACATGCATTTAAATGTACTAGGAGAGCCTGCTGACAAAGATCATCCTTTTATGACATAATTACTTGCCCTACCTCCTGCAATTTTACCTATTTAGAAGGTTTTGCATTTCACATTTCATAAAGTGTTACTAATCGAAATGTCACTAATTTAAAATTGAGAACACTGTTACAAAGATTTAACTAAAGTTTATCTTTGTACTCTATGGTGGAGAAAAAAAAGATTTACTAAAAGTAAATTAATCATATAAACAGGCTGAAAGGGAGTGTGTGTAAATACAGAGGCTACTACTTTTCAAGAATATTAGAAGCATAATTTAGCTAAAATAAAACAAGTTCACCATGTGGTCATTCTTAGCACTAAAGAAAGACCTTACGGTATCTGTGCTGGCCTTGTCTAAGGCTCCATATGTATTTTAAAGGATATTTTTAAAGGTTATTTCTCAATCTCCCGCTGGTCTGCCACTAGTCTGAATTGGTGAGCTTTTCCCAAATCAGGTTTCTTAAGGCCAGGCACACCTGTATAGGCAAGTTCTAGAGGGATTACCCCTCAAAATAATGTTGCCCCTTGCAGAGGAAGCCCATTTTCCTTAAGTCAGTGTGCTTGTCTTTGCTCATACATGATATAGGACAGTGCTGTTCTCCAGAGTGTACTGAATGCTGCTTACCTGTCACTTAGATGGAGAAAGCAACAGTCTTTAAAATATTTAGATCCTAAAGCAGAAATTCATTTGATTTGCATTTAAGAAAAAATGAAAATTAAAAAAAAAACAAAAAAGATACATACATTTTGCATTCACTTTGAAGAGAACAGAAGAGATTGCTGGCTTGTTTTCCATCTTTGATGTTTAATGACCTGGCCATTTTGTATAGAGTGTTCACTGCAGCATGATTGCGATAATGACTTTAAGTGATGGTATTTCTTGGTGAATTTGTTCAGAAATTAGATGCCTCCTCAAATCATAGCTCTATGTACAATAAGTTGTGTACCAAATGGAAGTTATCTTTTACTTTTTCCCATCAAATGCTCAGCAAGTTAGATATTTTTCTGTTCCAATTTTTCTGTACATAAGGGAAAAGATATTTTTTAATGACTTTTAAAAATCACAGTGGAAAAAGCGTGCTGGTTTTATTTTATTCCTTGCCTAACGATGGAGGCTTTGGTTGCTAAGTCAGCGATAGGTTTTTTCCTATGTAAGAAAATAACCAGAGCTTGGCCAGGCGCGGTGGCTCACGCCTGTAATCCCAGCACTTTGGGAGGCTGAGGCAGGTGGATCACAAGGTCAAGAGATCAAGACCATCCTGGCCAACATGGTGAAACCCCGTCTCTACTATACTAAAAATACAAAACTTACCTGGGCGTGGTGGTGCGCGCCTGTAGTCCCAGCTACTTGGGAGGCTAAGGCAGGAGAATCGCTTAAACCCAGGAGGCAGAGGTTGCGGTAAACTGAGATCATGCCACTGCACTCCAGCCTGGTGACAGAGTGAGACTCCATCTGAAAAAAAAAAAACAAGCAAACAAACAAACAAAAAAAACAGAGATCATAAACTTAATACAGCAACTACTACAGCTAGACAGCCCAGTAGGTACTCCCCTTAGCTGATGAGTTTAACAAGCTGGAAGCCAGGACTCATTGGATTCAGGGATATGGATTTACACCCCTTTATAGCGGTGGTTCTGAACTGGGGATGATTTATTCCCCAAGAACATTTGGCAGTGTCTGGAATTTATCATAACTTTTATCATAAATGCGGAGGTGCTGCTAGCATCTGGTAGGGCCAGAGATGCTGCTAAACATCCTATACAACAGAGCCCCCCACCCATCACAACAAAGAATTATCCAGCCCAAAATGATAGTAGTGCTGATGTTAAGAAAACCCAGCTTTATGGCAGGATTTTAAAATTCTGCCAAGATCCTTCTTCTTTTTATCATCTGTATTAAAATTTGGGGGTCTTAAACATTGCTTCAACAATGGGCTACTGATTAAGGCTATCTACAACGTAGAATACGTCAGAAAACCTAATCACTGTCTTTCAAACTGGATTCCTTAGGGTGCTAGGGCTTCCTCGGGGTAGATAGAGCTGAGCAAACAGGCGCAATTCTGGGGCACTGTCTCCATTCTAGCCAGAGCACCTCTGCTTTTAACTTGAGCCTGAGTTTTTTTAGTAAGACCTGATTTCCTAAAAAGGAAGGAGGGAGGGAAAGAGGAAGGAAGGAAGAAAAATGGGAGGAAAAGAAGGAGGTAGTTATCATCTTTAAAAAAGTTTGAGGCCAGGCGTGGTGGCTCACGCCTGTAATCCCAGCACTTTGGGAGGCCAAGGCGGGCAGATCACAAGGTCAGGAGATCGAGACCATCCTGGCTAACACGGTGAAACCCTGTCTCTACTAAAACTACAAAAAATTAGCCAGGCGTGGTGGCGGGCGCCTGTAGTCCCAGCTACTCGGGAGGCTGAGGCAGGAGAATGGTGTGAACCTGGGAGGCGGAGCTTGCAGTGAGCTGAGACCGCACCACCACACTCCAGCCTGGGTGACAGAGCGAGACTCTGTCTCAAAAAAAAAAAAAAAAAAAAAAGTTTGAAAGCTGGTCCAGCCCTCTCATTCCTCAGATGGAAAAAAATAAAGTATACAGAAGGGAAATGGCCCAACAGCTTTAGTTATAGTAGAGCTGGGTCCAAACCCCTGACGTCTTGACTTCTAGACAGTAGCTTTATTCTTTATCCTGTGCCACGTCGCTTCTTCTCTTCTGATTGTAGCAGTGATGAGGTTTTGATTGGCACAGGATCTGTGGTTGTGGTATTTGATCTTTACCTTTTGTAGCATATGCCCAAAGTTTGCTTATATAAAACCCTTGTGCCCTGTCATTAGACAGTTTCAAGTATTCCATGTTTACCACTGAGTAACTAATAACCCTAATTTCCTTTTCAGGACTGTAGATGTCATGTCACTCCCTTTCTTCCCCAGGTGTTCAGCTCCCGACAGGCACTGAATGGCCATGCCCGCATCCACGGGGGCACCAACCAGGTGACCAAGGCCCGAGGTGCCATCCCCTCTGGGAAGCAGAAGCCTGGTGGCACCCAGAGTGGGTACTGTTCGGTAAAGAGCTCACCCTCTCACAGCACCACCAGCGGCGAGACAGACCCCACCACCATCTTCCCCTGCAAGGAGTGTGGCAAGTAGGTGCAGGGGACCGGGGACTGAATCTGAGTTCATGATGGGTAGTCGCTCTATGGGAGCTGGGCCAGGATGGCCTGAGGTTTCTTCAATCAGAAAAAAGAACTTAGACCTCAAAACTCTTCTTCGTGTCATCTTTGGGATGGGTATGTAGTCCTGTTGCAGACTCAGAATATGGCCATTCTGTTATCTTAGAGCCTTGTAAGGATGGATATCTTCAGAGAGTGAACCTGTAAGTTACAAAACTTCACTCTTTCCCAGGAATGGCAGGTGGGACTCTGGTTCCCACTCCTTCCCTTCACACCCAAGCTATGTTCACTAGCATTACTCTGTTTGGATCCCCGCTGAATGATTTGAGAATGGCTCTACAACATCTAATCAGGAACTCTCTGTAACACAGATGGCTCATACAGGGTAATCCTACCACCTTCGCTTACTTCTGTGACTAAGGCAGACATCACTAATCAATCACCACACTTTGCTATCACTTTAAGACAAAGCCTCAATTACTTTTTGTTGTCATGCTTCAAGCTGCACAACCAATTAATCAGAGTTGACACATGAAATAAAACCTATTTGTTATCCTCCCCTTTTAGGTATAATTTAAAAAACAACAACAGCTAAAGAAAAAAAGTAACGAGATAGTAATTATAATAGCTAACATTTACTGAGCATTTACTTTGTTACATGCTTTATGTGTGTGAGCTCACTTAATCCTTACATAGAAACTCCATGTGATACAGATACTGTTTTTTTATCTTTGTTTTACAAATAAGGGTTTAAAAATTAGGTAAAATGACTTGACCTAAATCACAGTGCCAGTAAAGAGCAGAACTGAGATTTGAACCCAGTTTTGTCCGAATGCAGACCTGGGCTTCTGACCACTGCTCTTTCCTTTTGGTTTACTTTGTTTTTTGCTTTAGGTAGAAAATGCCATTGATGGTAAGATGGGTGATTCCCTCCCACAGCCTCCAGTAGAGAATTCCAGTGTACTTCTCAATGAGTCCACCTGACTGGAAGGGTACTACATTGTTATGAATTACATCCTTTAGGAGCCTTGCTGAGTTCCTCTTCCCATAATTCCTAGTGCCTCGAGCATGAAAAGGAGTATTACCTGGGAGAGATGCTGCCCAAGTGGTTTCTGAAACTCTACCACGAAAACATCCCTAGTTACATCAGCAAGGCTAGGTGGGACCTCTACTTATACATCCTCATAGAGTAGAGCAGGCAACTTAATAGTAACTGCTGTTTATCAGGTACTAACTATGTGCCTGGCACTGTTTTAAAGGATTCTTTACATGTTTTAGTCTGTTTTGTGTTGCTACAACAGAATATCACTGACTGGATAATTTATAAAGAAAATAAATTTATTTCTTATAGTTCTGGAGGCTGGGAAGTTCAAGGTCAAGGGGCCTGCATCTGGCAAGGGCCTTCTTGCTAAGTCATCCCATTGTGGAAGGGCAAAGAGAGGGGAGAGAGAGCAAGAGGTTGAACTTGCAGCCTCATACCCTATTATAATCGGCATGAATCCATTCATGAGGGTGAGGCCCTCGTCACTGAAACACCTCCCATTAGGCCACACCTTCCAACATAGCTGCATTAGGGATTCAGTTTTCAACATGTGCTGTTTGGGGGACACATTCAACCCATAGCACATGTACTGATTAATCTTTAAAATAGCCCTATGAGGCAGGTACTTTTAGGAGCTTCTTTTTTACAGGCAGAAACTGAGGCACAGAAAAGTGAAGCCCCTGTTGCAGTTCACAGCGAGCAGCCTAGTGGGGATTCACACCATGCAGGCTGGCCTGGCCTTGTGCTCCTGGCTCTATGCCATGCTGCGTCTGATTAAGCCCAGCTTGATGGCACCCACCAAAGTGAACTGGAACTAGCAGATCACTTCCCCCCATGAAGCACAGGGATGGGAGAGATGGGATTCGGTGTGGGTCTCCTCCACACCCTGCTGTCCTTCCAAGCTGGCCATGATGTCATTTTAACATCACCACCCACCACACACTGGTGCACCATGGAAGAAATGGGCCCCTGGATTGATCTTAAGGCTTTTTTAATTGAAATAATGATGGAACCACCCTCAGCTGACTCTCAGTGATCTCCCGCTTATTTGTCCTGGAGTGGCAGCATCAGGGTATCAGGGTCTTGCCAGTTTTCCCCCAGAGGAGCTAGCACCACCCACTCATTAGGCTCAAACAGGCTACAACGCTACATTCCACCAGGTGGAGACAGAGGATGATTTAACTTAAAAAAAATCAGTATTTCATGTTTCCCAGCCATGTCTCAGTAGCATCTATTAAATGTTTTTTTTTTTGGAGTCTTACGTTGCTTGGAAACTTTTTCTACCAGAAATCCAGTTATGATTTCATGGAAAATACAAATGGTTTCTGTGGCTTTTCCTAACTCAAAATAACATTAGGCAAATGTTCACAAAATACCTCTTAGAGGTGCTGAAATTATGTTTGTTACATTTAACCATTTTCAGTGTGTCCAAGCAGAATTGTGATTTATCAGCCCCGTTGGACTCAGGCCTTAGAAACCAGGTGTTTTGTGTGTGTGTTTTTGTTTTGTTTTGTTTTTTCCTTCATGAGCTCAGAAGTGACTAAAGAGTATTATGCCACCCCCTCTCCATAAACAGTCTCACACCTGGGCACGCTTCTTCTGAAAAAGGTCCAGATAGTTAATATTTGAGGTTTTGTGGGCCGTTTACTGTCTTTATCATAACTGCTCAGCTGTGCCATTGCAGCACAGAAACGGCCATCAACATTGCATAAACAGACATGGCTATGTGCCAATAAAACTTTATTCCCAAAAACAGTCAGGATTTGGCCCACTGACCATAGTTTGCAGACCTCTCATCTAAAGAATTAACCCCAGCAATATATCATTTTATCCCCGGGTTTCTCAACCTCAGCACTGTTGGCATTTCAAGTCTGCCAATTCCTTGCTTGGCGAAGAGGGAGTGTCCTCTGTGTTGGAGGATGTGTAGCCATTATGATAATATCATGGCCACAAAGCAGGGGCCTTAAGTGAAAGGGAGTAGTAGATGTAGCTCAGAAGTCAAGTACAATAAAGACAGGGGCCACTGAATTTGGCCACACAGAGTTACCAGTGACCTCGAGAAGAGCAATTGGGTTGACAGGGAGAGGACAACAGTCCACTTGGAGAGGAAGAAGCAGAGAAAAAAGAGATCCACCAAGTGCGTGTGGGCAGATCCTTCAAGAATTTTGACCGTGGGTTGGGCGCAGTGGTTCACACGTGTAATCACAACACTTTGGGAGGCCAAGGTGGGAGGATCACTTGAGGCCAGGAGTTCGAGGCCAGCATGGGCAACATAGCAAGACTCCATCTCTACAAAATATTTAAAAATTAGCCAGGCATGGTGGTATGTACCTGTAGTCCTAGCTAATCGAGAGGCTCAGGTGGGAGGATCACTTGAGCCCAGGAGTTCAAGGTTATGGTGAGCTGTGATCACACCAGTGCACTCCAGCCTGGGCAATAGAGAGACACCCTGTCTCTATTTAAAACAACAACAACAACAACAACAAAACCAACAACTTTCAACTGTGGAGGAACAGGGACAGAGGCCAGAGGCAGATGGTGGGTTGTTTCATGATGGGGACCATCAGGGCTTGTTAGCATGATTTAGAAGATTCTCCAGTGGAGAGGGCATGGTCAGTGATGAGGAGAAGGGGGAGGCTGAAAGAGGAGAAAGAGCCTGTGCTCCAGACTCCAGGTGGACAGGAGGCCTTTGAGAATTCCTCCTCCATTGTCACAGGAAGGAAGCCTGAGGCACAGTAGGTGTGTTCTGTCCCCATCCCTTTCCTTGTAATGCTTGGAGAGGAAGGAAGAGAGGTGACAGGTCACAGGGGAAGGAGGTCCTAGAAGCCGAGCAGCCAGGGACTTTGTCAGACCACACACCCCCATTCCCCGTAGGACACCTGGATTTCCAAGAACTCAGATCTCCTTCTAAATTCTACACACCTCTCTTTCTTTATTTTTAGAGTCTTCTTCAAGATCAAAAGCCGAAATGCACACATGAAAACTCACAGGCAGCAGGAGGAACAACAGAGGCAAAAGGCTCAGAAGGCGGCTTTTGCAGCTGAGATGGCAGCCACGATTGAGAGGACTACGGGGCCCGTGGGGGCGCCGGGGCTGCTGCCCCTGGACCAGCTGAGTCTGATCAAACCCATCAAGGATGTGGACATCCTCGACGACGACGTCGTCCAGCAGTTGGGAGGTGTCATGGAAGAGGCTGAAGTTGTGGACACCGATCTTCTCTTGGATGATCAAGATTCAGTCTTGCTTCAGGGTGACGCAGAACTATAAAGCCCTGTGTGTCACTTAGAGACAGTGAAAACCCACGGCCTCCATCTTCATTAATCAGGAAACCTGGACTGCCTGCTTGTTTTGTAACCCTTTTAAACTACCTGTTTTAAAAGTGGTCATTTTATTCAGGTTTAGAAAAAAAAATCCTATTTCTTTTCCTTTTATTTAAAAAAATTTGTTTTTGTGGGGGGTTGGGGGAATAAATAATTGGCACAACTATCTTTAAGAGGTGTTTCATCTGGGCTACCTTCTCATGAAATCATTCCCAGTAGGGACTGAAGCTGACCTTCATGTTCCATTGCATTCAGATGTCAACCATCCCGGTTGCCTTTTATCCCAAAGCTTGCTGTGAGTGTGTGTGTGTGAGACGCAGGCGACCCTCTTAGTACTGGGGTCTTGGGGCCAACTTTTCCCATCAAGCGTTACTTTGATTCTGTTCTGACCTCATTCCATAGTTTGCAGTGAGCATGGCATCTTTGCCTGGAGATACTATGCTAGGGGCAGCTTTCCAGGGGCAAAGCAAGCCCTCGTGTTACACGGCTCTCCTCCAGCTCACACGACATGTGAGGAGATGACCAAATGTGAAAACAGGTTTCCCCTGTGTTGCCCGTCATCCTTTGGCCCGTTCACAGGAATGGAGTACTGTATAATTTTAGGCTTTCATTCCCAGCAGTGTTTACTGAGGACCTGGTTTTCTAGAACAGGTGTGTCCTGTCCTCTTCCATGTTCCCTGGGGGCTGGTCAGCTCCAAGTTGTGGGTGGCAGAGCTGTGTTTCAGCATGAACTGACTAGAGACCCATCTGGAGGCAAATATTAAGTTGCCAGGACTGCTTTCACTTCAGGGTGATTGAAGGACACATATTGAAGTACCTAGAATGCCAGAAAGTGTTCTATTGCCCAAAAAACAAATCAGAAAAGCCTATTCTTTTTTGCAACGCTGTTAATGATTAGTGGAGTTCTGAAATTACTTTGTGCCACTTGGAAGTACTGTGAAACCGCATTCACTGGGATTTTGCTGTAATTCACATCCGCTGGACTGAAGTTTACCTTGATGTTAGCTATAAGAAATAGTTTTCTAACACATACGATAGCAAATACAAGACAAATAGCATTGAAGGCCAACAAAAATGGCTTCAGATACACCTTAGCTATAATGTTTGCATTCAAACAATGAATGTATTCATCACAAGTCACTTACCAAAGCACTTCTAGACTTCTCCAACCTCCATGACTTTGCTCTGCTTCCTCCTGTCCCTGTCAGCAGGGTTGCTGTTTGTACTTGAAGGTAATAAACCTGTAATCCTTCAAAAATGCCATTTAGCCCCAGGCTTCTGAGCTGAGTCAGACTGACCCATCCCACCGTTAGGGCAAAAGTCAGGCTGGGACACAGCGCCAGTACAGAGAGGATCCTGCTTCATGCAACTCCCCTTTTGGAGTTAATGCAGCGTGATTTCCTGGGCCGGTGTTTTCAGGCATCGCCCACCCCAGGTATGCTGGTTCCCAGCTCCACGTAGGTGTGCCTATCACGCTGGGCCACTTTGCTGACAACATTCATAGCTTGACATGAGAGAGAATATCAGCAGAAGCATGAGAGTAGGACCTGACGTCTTTGACTCTGCAAAAGCATTTAGCACACACTCATGGGGGGGAACTGGCTGTGAGCCACAGCAGCCCCACACAGACAGTGGTCTCTGAACTTCAGGAAAGCCATGGACAGAAAAAAAAATAAAATTCTTTTCCATCATTCTATTTTCAAAGAGGTCTTGGCGTTTTCCTACATCTTTTGTTTAGAGGGGGAAAAAAGTTTCATTTGCTGCCATTTCAGAAAGGTTATGCTATCCTGTTTTATCCAAGCAGTTGTGAGTCAGGAACTGCCTGGGCAGTGTGCATCAACTTTGTGGCCGAACCATTACAGCTGTCATATCCTTGGCTGATCGTCTCTCCCAGGGACTACTGCCCTCCACTTAGTGTCTGAGGGTAAGCCTAGAAGGGTGCTGCTATTGGGTCTATGGAAGCTTATCTATCAAAGGAGCAAACATCCAGAAAAGTGTTTATAAAGCAAATGTATTGCCTCTGTTTAGAGATTTGCCCAGCTGTTCCAGTTTTAAACATTAAAAAATAAACTCAGTTGCCATGGCAAAAATAGAATGCACAGCTTACTTATAATTTTCCATGCAGTATAGCATAAGGATTTTTGACTTGAAACAACCAAAGAACTCCTCCTTAACGAGACAGTTCAAATTCCTGAATTAGTATTTCTTGACTATCAACTTAAAGAATGGACTTCCTAGTACAATGTTGCACTTATTTTTTTTTCTGAAATAATTCTGCCTGCATGTATGTGTTGTGTTTTAGCTTCTCCCCTTACCCCACCCCAAAGATCTTTTCTTCCTAATGGTTAATGTCTCAACTCGGTTACTGTTTACTATCAGATGGTTTTTCATTAGTGAATTTAGACCTCTTTGAGAAAGCTTGTATATAAAAAGTTAACAGATATATTTTATGGAAAAACCCATCTTATTTTCAAATATATTTAACTGCTGTTATATTTTATTAGAGGAAGGTTGTAAATATTTTCTAGGAGTTCTATTGTAAAGAAAAGTATTTTTGAAAAAAATTAATGTAATAAAAAGGAAAACATTTTTAAATAGTGGTTGTGATTGCTTCCTGTTCTGGCTTCGTTATGTTCTATTCTCAGCAGATGAATTGCATGCCTTCCATATCAGGATGTAATTTATTCAGGTTTGCACTATTATAAGTTGACATCATAATATCTAGTGTGCTTAACTGTATTTTCCCGGAATGCAAGTCCCTTGGTCCATATTAAAGCACTATGTATAGCATATTCATAATTTTTCTTTTGTAACGTGTGTATTTTTAATAAGGATTTTATGTAACATTTTGGCAACAAGAGGACCGTATTTTCTAGTGAATTTTATAATAACATTTTGCTAAAAATGTTTCTTCCTAGGTCAGTTTTTGTTAAGGTGAACCAAAAGTCTTATTTTACCAGGGGTTTAAAAAAAGTTTGAAGCTTGAAAGCAAAGTTATATTTAAACATCATATGTAACAAATAAATAAAGATGTTTTATAGACTTGTCCTAAAAAGGTGCATTCCTTAAAAAAAAAAAAAAGAAAAAAAAAGGAAACTGGGGCATTCTAGGTTGTTTCCCCTCCAAGTGATAAGCTTTTTTTTTTTCTTAATTATCACAATGCTTCTTCAAAAAGGGAACCAGGGAAATTTTATTTAACACATTCTAATCATTAGCCTCTCAGAAAGTTATTACAGTTCCTATAGATGGGCATTCATCAAATGGAGATGTAACCAAACAGACACTGTCATATTTATTTGTGAAAACCTGATTCAATATTGCATCAGCTGCTCTGAAAATAAAATATTAATCTTTTGCGTTTCGTTTGGCTTAAATATTTCTTCTTTCTAGCCATTGCTATGACTTCTCAATGCTGGATAAATGCTAGTTTACCTGTTAATTGGTTTCCGTAGACAACAAGTTTAAGTCGGCTGATCAAATTTAATGATCATTATTAAAGTGTCCCCCGACTCCGAAGACCAGGACATACATTTCTGCTATTCAAGCAGTGGATGAACCACTTGGGTTCGTAAACCTTATGACTCAAACTGTGTCATAAACTCAAACTGAGTCATAAACCTTATGACTCAAACTGTGATTCAAGGGAGCACACTGTGACATACAGGTGTCTTACACTAAATCCTCCACAAAGTCTTAAGTCCACCCCGATTTATTTGCATTTTAAATCTGAATTTCCAAATTTGAGTAAGTAAGTTTACTTTTTTTTTTTTGACAGTCTTGCTTTGTTCCCCAGCCTGGAGTGCAGTGGCACGATCTTGGCTCACTGAAGCCTCCACTCCTGGGTTCAAGCAATTCTCACGGGTCAGCTCCTCTAAGTCCACCCCGATTTATTTGCATTTTAAACCTGCATTTTCAAATTTGAGTAAGTATGTTTACTTTTTTTTTTTTGAGACAGAGCCTTGCTTTGTTCCCCAGCCTGGAGTGCAGTGGCATGATCTCAGCTCACTGAAGCCTCCACTCCTGGGTTCAAGCAATTCTCACGGGTCAGCCTCCCAAGTAGCTGGGACTATACAGGTCATGCACCACCACACCTGGCTAATTTTTGTATTTTATTAGAGGCGAGGTTTCGCCATGTTAGCCAGGCTGGTCTCGAACCCCTGGCCTCAAGAGATCCGTCTGAGGCCCGCCTCGGCCTTCCAAAGTGCTGGGATTACAGGTGTGAGCCACTGCACCTGGCTGTATGTTTACTTTTTTTTTTTTTTTTTTTTGAGACAGAGTCTCCCTCTGTCACCCAGGCTGGAGTGCAGTGGTGTGATCTCAGCTCACTGCAAGCTCTGCCTCCCGGGTTGATGCCATTCTCCTGCCTCAGCCTCCCGAGTAGCTGGGACTACAGGCGCCCGCCACCACACCCTGGCTAATTTTTTGTATTTTTAGTAGGGACGGGATTTCACCTTGTTAGCCAGGATGGTCTCGATCTCCTGACCTCATGATCCACCCGCCTCGGCCTCCCAAAGTGCTGGGATTACAGGCGTGATGTATGTTTACTTTTCATGGTCAACAGAAAACTATAGAAGAACTTTCAAATTCTGGATTTCATACAGAAGTTTACAGAATTTTACAAAAATAAATTTGCTTTAAGTGGGGAATGCCTATTCAAGACCTTGATCTAGATTCTTTTGGAGGGTGGGGGGGGTGGGGAAGGGGGGTTGTTGTTGTTTTTAAACTAATAGAGACAGGGTCTCACTATGTTGGCCAGGCTGATGTTGATCTCCTGGCCTCAAGCAATCCTTCTGCCTTGGCCTCCTGAAGTGCTAGGATTATAGACATGAGCCACTGCACCTGGCCTCTTTTGGATTTTTTTTGTTTTTGAGACGGAGTCTCACTGTCGCTCAGGCTGGAGTGCAGTGGCGCGATTTGGGCTCACTGCAACCTCCACCTCCCGAGTTCAAGGGATTCTCCTGCCTCAGCCTCCCGAGTAGCTGGGACTACAGACCACCACGCCTGGTTAATTTTTTTTTTTTTTTTTTTTTTTTTTTAGTAGAGATGGGTTTCACCGTGTTAGCCAGGATGGCCTGGATCTCCTGACCTCATGATCCACCCACCTTGGCCTCCCAAAGTGCTGAGATTACAGGTGTGAGCCACTGCGCCTGGCCTTTTTTGGTTTTTGACTTTAATTTTAGCTGTTTACTTTAGACAACCTATACCAAATAAAATAGCTATTCCTCTAGAAACTGTGTGCCTTAGCCAGTGCTGTAAATTTAAAGTCTACTTCTGGAGGCCTAATTGGAAGATTTTTTTCTACTTTTATTCAGTCAGTCGATCCTCATGAGCCACCATTATTCCATACTGTATTATACAGGGGGAGGAGAGTGTATAAAGATGGCTGTACATGATTCCTTCCTGCCAAGGAATTTAATACCTAGAAAGACATATGGGGGCCTTGGAACAGATTCAATTCCAGGATTGAGAAGAGACCTATCAATATTCGGAATCCTCTCACCATCACCCACATGTACACAGCAATTTATAGCGGGTGCTCAGCAACTATTTGTTCAATGAGTTAACTCGCCAGTCCTCCAGGTACGCTCATCCATGTGTGCATTTGGCAGAGAGAGAATGTGTGTGTAAATCCTGAATTCCATTTACTCCCTATCTACCATCCTCAGCCACCGCCAGCGAGCTGAGATGTGCTCTAGGAATGTGGATGAGAGTTCATGTTGACACAGCAAAGCATAATTAGGAAGACATTTTAAGAAATTGAATAATATATTCCTAAGAGAACCATAAGTGATCTTTGAATTGTAGATATCCCTGTGTAAAGGAGCCAAAGGGCCAGTCGTGATGGCTCACTCCTGTAATCCCAGCACTTCGGGAGGCCGCGGCGGGTAGATCACCTGAGGTCAGGAGTTTGAGACCAGCCTGACCAACATGGAGAAACCCTGTCTCTACTAAAAATACAAAAATTAGCCAGGCATAATGGCGCATGCCTGTAATCCCAGCTACTCGGGAGGCTGAGGCAGGAGAATCCCTTGGACCCAAGAGGCAGAGGTTGCAGTGAACCGAGATCAAGCCATTGCACTCCAGCCTGGGCAACAGGAGTGAAACTGTGTCTCAAAAAAACAATAATAATAAAAATAAATATAAAAAAAGGAGCCAAAGAGCTGATTACTTCCTTTATGTACGAGAGGATCTTTTGGAAAGGACTGTCTTTAAAAACAGAACAACTGGCACAATCAAAATATGATTAACTGTAAAATATTTGATGTATCTATGTTTATTTTTTCTGGACATAAAGCAAGGTTTACTTGCATCAACTATCTAGAATCATTGGACTCCTGCTCCTCTACATGAGGTTGGGTGTCTGGAAGTTTAGGCTGTAGGAAAGAGACCCTTAACGGATAGGCCAAGCTTCAGAACGCTGTCCCTGCCCACACCTCATGCCAAAGAGCACTGTTCACAGCCCTACTCTGGGCAAAACCTGATGTTGCCCCTTACAATGAGTTCTACCTAGGCCCTAGCAAGTCGGCACTTGATCCCAAACCATTAGGCCCCTAGGCCGTGTGGTGACACATTTGGCTCAGCCCAGGAAGATGAGAGAACCAAATCAAATTTCCACATTTGAGAGTATGAATGGAGAAACTTGATGAGCCAAAAGCAGAGAGCAGTGGCCATGCAGAGTCCTGAGGGAGCAGAAACTATTGGTAAGCAGTGAAAGCCCATCATTAAAAAGAACACATTTGGCCTCAGGAGTGAAGAGGGTATCCAGTCCCTAAGACTGTTTAAAGCATACCTTTCCAGTTCCAGGAGCTGTCCAGACCACACAGGTCTTTAAAAATAAGCCCCTATTTCTTTTGGAGTGGTGCTAGGGTGGTGGGTATTTCTAGTCCTATTATCCAAGAGATTTAAATAGAACCGAACCTCATCATAGAATCAGCACCAGCCCACTGCAGAGGTAGAAAAGGCACTGCTTTTAAGATGGTTATTGGTTTAGCTGTAACTAACTTACCATATGACCCTGAGTGAGTCATTTCACCTTGGGTTCCTCATCTATAAAATGAGGATAAAATCCATGTCTTCTGGTGTGGATCAGAGTAGGTAACTTAGGTGAAAGTCGTTTGCAAGCACTATAGTTGCAGAACACTCACCCAGCTGAGGCTACTCAAAGGGGACAGAGGCAGGGTGAAGGGCCTCACGGAAGTGCCATTTGGACAAACCGATGCAAACTTTGGAAGCAGGAACAGAGTTGGGAGTGGGGAGGCTGTTGGAAAACCCCATTGGCTGAGAGAAATCCCCTTAAGTGTCACAATTCAGAGAGAGAGACTGATTCTGAGAAGGGCACTGGGCAACCTGCCAACATGGGGCATCACCGAGTCCAGCAGAAGGGCACACAGGTGAGGCCGGGTGTGGTGGCTCAAGCCTGTAATCCCAGCACTTTGGGAGGCCAAGGTGGGCGGATCAGGAGGTCAAGAGATTGAGACCAGCCTGGTCAACATGGAGAAACTCCGTCTCTACTAAAAATACAAAAATTAGCTGGGCGTGGTGGCGCATGCCTGTAATCCCAGCTACTCAGGAGGCTGAGGTAGGAGAATCACTTGAACCCAGGAGGTGGAGGTTGCAGTGAGCCAGGGTCATGCCATTGCACTCCAGGCTGGGCAACAAGAGTGAAACTCCGTCTCAAAAATAAATAAATAAGAAGTGCACACAGGTGAAGTGTGCTGTTTCCATACCCTGTTGCAAGGCCACACTGGAATCTCTGCCACACCTCAACACGGACTGAATTCTAGTAAACAGAGGCCAGCCTGAGGGGCAGGAAAACTGGTTTCTGCTCCTAGACCTTTTCTATCTCCTAGATAGGTGTGATGTTGGGCAAATCATTCTGCCTCTTCTTTGGTTCTCTTGCCTGCAAAATAGGGTAGTAATAACTATTTGTGGGGAGAAAAAAAAAACAACTTTATATTTGTACAGTTCTTTATTTGGATGCTATAAAATATTCTCATAAACTTGATCTTTTTATTTTTAATCTTCTCAACAACCTTGTGAGGCAGGTGAGGTAGAAACTTAATGGCACAAATAGTGGATGACATCTATAGTGTATCATTACATGGCAGTATTGTACTAAACACCATATATTGGTATTGCATTGAATTCCCAAGCAACTATTGGAAGCAGGAACTACTGTTATCTTTTTTTTTTTTTTTTTTTTGACATATGAGCAAACTGAGGCTGAGGGTAAGGAAGTAACTTGCTCAAAGTCACTCAACTAACTGGTAAGCCTGGGATTAGAAACCAGATCTGATTATAAGGCTAGAGTTTTCCATTAGGCTAAAATGCATATGTGAAAGCACTTTGGGGAAATAAAGCTTAGAAATGTGAACAAATGGGCCAAGTGCAGTGGCTCATACCTGTAAAACCAGCACTTTGGGAGGCCAAGGTGAGAGGATTGCTGGAAGCCAGGAGTTTGAGACCAGCCTGGGCAACATAGCAAGTCTCTGTCTCTACAAAACAATAAAAATAAAATAAAAAATGGTCGCAAACACCTGTAGTTTTAGATACTCCAGAGGCTGTGGTGTGAGGATCACTTAACCCCAGGAGTTTGAGGCTGCAGTGGGCTATGATCAAGCCAGTGCTCTCCAGCCTGGGCAACAGAGCGAGACACTGTCTCACACACACACACAAAAAAGACAATATAGTATTATAGAAGCAGACTTTAAGATGAGGAGAAAGTAAAAGGAAAAATAAAAATAAATTTTTAAAGATTTGCACAAATGGAATAAGTTTTTTTTTTGGAGACGGAGTCTCGCTCTGTTCCCTAGACTGGAGTGCAGTGGTACAATCTCAATCTCGGCTCACTGCACTCTCTGCCTCCCGGGTTCAAGAGATTCTCCTGCCTCAGCCTCCCAAATAGCTGGGATTACAGGTGCACACCACCATGCCTGACTTTGTATTTTTAGTAGAGACAGGGTTTTGCCATGTTGGCCAGGCTGATCTTGAACTTCTGACGTCAGGTGATCCACCCGCCTTGGCCTCCCAAAGTGCTGAGTGCTGGAATTACAGGTGTGAGCCGAGCCACTGCACCTGGCCTTTTCTTTTCTTTTCTTTTTTTTTTTTTTTTTTTAGACAGAGTCTCATTGTGTCTCCCAGGCTGGAGTGCAGTGGCACGATCTTGCCTCACTGCAACCTCCACTTCCCGGGTTCAAGCAATTCTCGTGCCTCAGCCTCCTGAGTAGCTGGGACTACAGGCACACAACGATGACACCCCACTAATTTTTTGTATTTTTAGTAGAGATGGGGTTTCACCATGTTGGCCAGGCTGGTCTCGAACTCCTGACCTCAGGTGATCCGCCCACCTCAGCCTCCCAAAGTGCTGGGATTACAGGCGTGAGCCACCGCACCCAGCCTGAAGAAGTTTTTATTATAGCAAATCCCAGTTATACATCTTTTTACTTGGAAAAAATTATGGTGGACATTAATAATTAGACAAAACACTTTGGCTTGTTGTAAGTGAAGCTAGCCATTGTAAATTCCTAAATACTAGAGTAACATAAGGAAATGAATAATTTAGAAAGATCAGTAGGACAGCGGTATACAAAATGGTTGGAGCACAGGAATTCCAATTGGTGTGGGGAAGGAAGAAAGGATTAAGAACCATAATTAGAAAGCCGCTGCAATAAGGTAACTGAGTGGCAACTGGACCCAATGGTAGTGGCCGACTTTTCTTTTTCTTGTTAAATATAGATTTTGTTAAAATTTTGAAAAATGCAAAAAAAATTGAAAAATGCAAAAATAGGAAAATAAATCACCCATTATTCCAGTACTGAAGTAAATGGTGTCAATACACTAGTTTCAGTCCGGGCTTTGTGGTTCATGCCTGTAATCTCAGTCCTTTGGGAGGCCAAGGCCAGAGGATCACTTGAGGACAGGAATTCAAGACCAGCCCACAAAATAACGAGAGCAATATAATGAGACCCTGTCTCTACAAGAAAATTAAAAAAAAAAACAAAAAATTAGTCGGCTGTGGTGGCACGCACTTGTAGTCCAGCTACTTGGGAGGCTGAGGCAGGAGGATCACTTGAGGCAGGAGTTTGAGGCTGCAGTGAGCTATGACTGTGCCACTGCACTCCAGCCTGGGCAGCCGAGTGAGACTCAGTCTCTAAAAGGAAAAAATAAGTAAATAAATAAATGTGTGTGTGTGTGTGTGTGTATACACACACAACAATTTAAAGGTGAAAACATTAATAGGGCTTGGTAACTATCCAGACACTGGCCGGAGCCAAACCAGCCTGGCCAGCCAACTGTCCCGCCCCCAAAAAGCACAGGTTCATGTCTCTATGGTTGTTCCAGCGCCGGAACATGAGGATGTACTCTCTTCTTTTGCGGAACTCTATGGTCTGAGGACGCCGCTGTAACCCCGGAAGCAATCCTGAGAGGTCGGGACCGGCAAGATGGCGGCGCGGACAGCGTTCGGTGCTGTGTGCCGGCGCCTCTGGCAGGTACTGGATTGGCTAGGGAGACTAGGAGGGCTGACCGGGATAGTTGCTTTTAAGTTTCCCTGCCACCAGCCGCTCTGCCCATCAGGATTTTTCCTGATATTTATCCCTCACCTCGCGCCGTTTACAGGAAAGTGACGAGAAAGGGGCTAGTTTTATCAGAATTCTCTCATGGAATTAAATATAAGTTAGTGAGTCCAGGCAAAGATAGGAACAAGAATAATCGTAGAATGTCAGAGCTGGAAAAGATTTTGTACTTCGTATGTTCCAAAACCCCTCCTTTCACGCTTGCAAAATAAACTGAGGCTCAGAGAAGACAGGAAATTTGCCTCGCGAAAATTAGAGGCTGAGCTGGTGCAAGATATCAGACTCTTCCCATGGAACTAAATTGAGATGCTTTCCTGGCATCCAAATTTAGATGAAGGTCTCAAGCCAGAGAAGTGGGTTAGATATCCTCTGCGCAGTTATTTGCAGGAGGAGCAAAAACTTTTCAGCAGCGGTTCTCCTGCTTTTTGGCCTTGGGACCACTTTACACTTTCGGAGTTCAGGACTCCAGAGAGCTTTTGTTTTTGTGGGTTTTTGCTATCTATATTTAGCTTTTTGGAAAATAAAACTTAAGAATATATATTGATTTAAAAGTAACACTAACTCATTACATGTTACAACTAATACTTTATGAAAAATATATTTTCTGAACAAACTGAGTAAGGAGCAGCAATGTTTTACATTTTTGCAGCTCTCTTTAATTTCTGGCTTAATAAAAGCTAGATTCAAATCTGCTTCTGTATTTAATCTTTTCCTATATCACACCTCAGGCTGTCACGGGAAAACTTCACTGTACACTGGTAAGAGAATGAGTGGAAAAGTTGTAAATGACGTTTTGGTTTTATGAAAATAGTTTTGATTTCCCGGATCCCCTGAAAGTGTCTCAGACCCCACAGACGTCCTCAGACTACACTTTGAGACCACCGTTTTTGTTTTTGTTTTTGTTTGGAGACGGAGTTTCGCTCTTGTCGCCCAAGCTGGAGCGCAATGGCACGATCTCGGCTCACTACAGCCTCCACCTCCCGGGTTCAAGTGATTCTCCTACCTCAGCCTCCCGAGCAGCTGGAATTACAGTCATGCGTCACCATGCCCAGCTAGTATTTGTATGTTTAGCAGAGACGGGGTTTCACCATGTCGGTCAGGCTGGTCTCGAACTCCTGACCTCAAGTGATCCGGCAGCCTCGGCCTCCCAAAGTGCTGGGATTACAGCCTTGAGCCACCGCACCCGGCCTGAAAACCACTGTTCTTGAGAAAAGTCAGATGGTATTAGAGATTGAAATTTTTGAACTGCTTTATTAAGACAAATTTACCCAGACAGCCCTCCCTTCCAAACCACCACTCCCCCAACACACACACACACACACACACACACACTCTCTCTCTCTCTCTCTCTCTCTCTCAAGAAATACAAAGAAAAAATGCAATTTAAAAACTTCTTGGCCGGGCACGGTGGCTCACGCCTGTAATCCCTACACTTTGGGAGGCCGAGGTGGGCGGATCACGAGATCAGGAGATCAAGACCATCCTGGCTAACATGGCAAAACTCCGTCTCTACTAAAAATACAAAAATTAGCTGAGTGTGGCGGTGGGCCCCTGTAATCCCACCTACTCAGGAGGCTAAGGCAGGAGACTTGCTTGAACCCAGGAGGCGGAGGTTTCAGTGAGCTGAGAATGCTCCACTGTACTCCAGCCTGGGCGACAGAGCAAGACTCTCTCAAAAAAAAAAAAAAAAAGAAAAGAAAAAAAAAAGAAAAGAAAAAGCAGAGGTTTATAGTGGGAGAATGTGACTGAGAAGTGTAATATTCTTGCTCCTCTTGCACAACTCGATTGTGGGGTCACTGGTGTAATTGTTGGGAGGGAATTTTCTATGCAATTTTGTCTGAAGAATGGCACATACCTCTTACCACTTTGTGTTGTACCTGATTTCCTTTTTCCTTTTCCCCTTTGGTGCAAAGAAGATTATAGAGTTATGATTTGTCTCTATCTTGGGTAAGGAGAGGAAGGACAATAAGCTAAGAATAGGCTTTTAAAACGTGGCTAGGTGGTGGTTCACTCCTGAAATCCCAGCACTTTGGGACACTGAGGCTGGAGGATCGCTTGAGCCCACGAGTTCAAGACCAGCCTGGGAAATATGGTGAAACCCCATCTCTACAAAAGTACAAAATATTAGCTGGGCCTGGTGGCCCGTGCCTGTAGTCCCAGCTATCTGGGAGACTGGGGTGGGAGGACCACCTGAACCTGGGAGGTCCAGGCCATGATCATGCAACTGCACTCCAGCCTGGATAACAGAGTGAGACCTTGTCTCAAAAAAACCCTGAAAAAACAAACAAAAACGTACTTAGGTGACAATCATTTGTATTAATGAAACTTCACTTATGCTAAACTTCTTTTTTTTTTTTTGAGAGGGAGTCTCGCTCTGTCACCCAGCCTGGACCTCCGCCTCCCGGGTTCAAGCGATTCTCCTGCCTCAGCCTCCCAAGTAACTAGGATCACAACCGCACCGCCACCATGCCTGGCTAATTTTTGTATTTTTAGTAGAGACAGGGTTTCACCATGTTGGCCAGGCTGCTCTGGAACTCCTGACTACAAGTGATCCACCCACCTTGGCCTCCCAAAGTGCTGGGATTACAGGTGTGAGCCACGGCACCTGGCCTTATTTTCATCTTCATTGTGTTTTTAAGGATTCTATTGTGTTTCCACTTTCTCAGGTTACACTTCAAAATCTCAGAAAAGTTGAAAGGAAAAAACAGCTGTTATATGTAGTAGTATCGTTTGTTTCCTAAAACTGGAAAGTCTTGTTCCACCAGGGGGAGCTGATGGTAAAGGATTTGGAAATGTGGGTTCGTTGTAGCATGTGGCACAGTAGTTAATGATGGGTATAAGTCACAGCACATATTTCAGTTCATTATAAGCTAGTTATCCCAGCCAAGCTAAGAAATATGTATGCTTTAAAAGATGTATGAAAGCATCAAAAGAGGGATACTTCAGAATTTTTATTCCAACTCTTAACAAATTATAAAAACAATATATTTTATTGCTTAAAGATATTCAGGCAAAATAAGTATTATACTGAAGTACAATTAATTTGTAAAAAATAATGGGAAAATGAAGTCACATTTTTTCTTGATGTCCACATAATTCATAGCTTTTTTTAAATGTGAGAATTGTTTTTTTTGAAAAAGTTTTTATTCCTAATCTTTAAAATAGAGATTCTCTAGTATTTTGAGACTGCTTTTTTTTTTATCATCAGCTCTACCATTGTCCTCTTTTTTTTTTCAATCTAATTTGGCCATTTTAGTTACCCCAGTATCTTCGTCTGAAATAATGAGGTAACCTTTTAGTTTTTAGTGGAAATTATGAATGGTTTGGTAGTTGACTTTAATTCTAACACATGTCCTACTTTTTTTTTCTTTAGGGATTGGGGAATTTTTCTGTAAACACTTCTAAGGGCAATACAGCCAAAAATGGTGGCTTGCTTCTGTAAGTATACAATTGGATGTGCTAAATTGAACAAAATAGGTTCTTGTGCTATTTTACTTAGGTTTCTCTTTTTTTCCCCACACATAGCAGTACCAATATGAAGTGGGTACAGTTTTCAAACCTACACGTTGATGTTCCAAAGGATTTGACCAAACCTGTGGTATGTACTCCCTGTTTCTTGGTATAAGGAGCTACCTTGGCAATAGGTTTTCCTTATTATTTCATTGGGTTTTTTTTCCCCAAACACTCTATGAATAAAAAAATTTTGTCCTAGAATACTGGCAAATGCACAACGCATATATTCTCTTAACTCCCTGGATTATATTGTCTTCAGGGTATCAAAGTAAGTTCTAAAGGAATAAATTATTTACCCCCAAATAACTGTGTTAATTAGTAGTCTCTTGCTTTTAGCTTGGCATAATGGAAGAGTTGTCAGAATTTGTGATGTAGAATACTTGATTTATGTTATGGAAAAGTATTTTTCTTGTAGCCTTCAAGTCTTTGTTTTCATTTTGTGTATTGAGCCTGGGCCTGGACAGTGCTTTATTGTTCACAGTGAGAAAATGCGTTAGCACAAATAATAAACATCTAGAAGGAACTTGGTAACCCTGTAGAAGCTATGATTTCATCAATCCAGTTTTTTGTGTTACTTGTAATTTTTAAAAATCCTTTCATTTCCACCCCTCAAAAATAACCCCCTTTAACAGTTTGGGATTACAGTTCTAGACATTTGTCTGTAGGTACTCACTTTGTCTGTGCACATGTCTAGTTTACTGCTCTTTTCTAACTTTTCTCTTAATAGATATTGGATATTTATTTATTTATTTATTTTGAGACAGAGTCTCGCTCTGTCACCCAGGCTGGAGTGCAGTGGCATGATCTCGGCTCACCTCACCTCAGCCTCCTGGGTTCAAGTAGTTCTCATGCCTTAGCCTCCCGACTAGCTGGGATTACAGGCACACACCACCATGCCTGGCTAATTTTTGTATTCTTAGTAGAAATGGGGTTTTCCCATGTTGGCCAGGCTGGTCTCAAATTCCTGGCCTCAAGTGATCTGCCTGCCTCAGCCTCCCAAAGTGCTGGGATTACAGGCATGAGCCACCACACCTGGCCAGTACTGGATGTATTTCTATGATAGTACATTTAAGCCCCAGTCTGCAACTCACATGCCTGCAGGAGCCAGGCCTATAAGAAAAGGTGGCAGAATTGGCATGGTGTGCCACTGTCTTTATAAGCAAGACAGCAGCTACTTATTCTAGCCACTTGTTGCCCTGTGGGAAATCAGACCTAGTGATGCCAGCCTGTCTAAATCTTCCAAGCTAAACTGAAATCCAGATTTTCTTGTGAAATCTTCTGATTTTTAATATTCCTAACAAATTCAAAGTATCTTTTAACACCCTGTAGGGATCAGTCAGAACACATCTTGAGGCTATATTCCCCCTTCTCATCCCTCAACTTAGGACACAGGCTATCAGTATATTCTGTTCTTCCAACAACCCTTTTTGGAGTAATTGAGAGTGGATATCTAGCTTTCTGGCTAGTAAGTAAATCTTTCAGGAGTGAAGTGATTTAACTCTGAATCATTGGATTAGTAGTATAATTTACTGGTTTAACGGATGAATGAAATGAAGGTAATTCACCTTTTGGAAGAAAGTCAAAAATGTCAAACCCATTATTTCTAAGGTCTTTAGGTATTAGGGTGGAAGAGGTTGAAGTTATAGGTATAGTCAGTGTCATATCATTTAAATTAGAAATGAGTAATTTGTTTATTAGGGCAGACAAAACATACGCGAATAAAACCTAATAAAAAATATGAATAGAACTAACTTGGCTTTGTATAATAATGTTTTATAATTAATAAGCACTTTAATCTGTGTTTTCTTATTTTTTTCTTAGAGAAATACTATGAGCAATAGCATAGGTTTACCCTCTTTCATATGTGAGGAAACTAATGTGCAGTGAGACGATATGATTTGTCCGTTGTCATTCAGCTACCATTAGCAGAGCTTAATCCTCAATCCAAGTCTTCTGCCCAGGCTCTTTACTAGCAGACCCTGGAGTCCTTTTTCATTGTGAATTTGAAGCTGAATCGTTATTTTAAGTTGGAAAGTTCCTTTAGTAATTTTGTGGGTTGCCTTGAAAATTCTTTTCATTTACACTGTATTTTAACAGATTCTGAGGCTCATAGTCCAGATCTGAACATGAAAGTATCTAGACACTTCAGCTAACACTGCCGTCACTCAGTGTTTTTCTCCTCATTTATTAGTAAACTCTGAAGTTGTTCAATTGAGGCTAATGTTTTAAATTTGCTAGTTAGAAATAGAAGAGGAACTAAAACTGAAACTTTTCTTTTGGATTTTAGGTAACAATCTCTGATGAACCAGACATATTATATAAGCGCCTCTCGGTTTTGGTGAAAGGTCACGATAAGGCTGTATTGGACAGTTATGAATATTTTGCTGTGCTTGCTGCTAAAGAACTTGGTATCTCTATTAAAGTGTGAGTATGGCCTTTCCTGACCCGACCTGTTCGCTGCTGTAATATGATCAACCAGGAAAATAGTGCTCATCCCAGGAAGGTCTGAACTCTTTTTTTTTTTTTTTTTTGAGACAGAGTCTCGCTCTGTTGCCCAGGCTGGAGTACAGTGGCACAACCTCAGCTCACTGCAACCTCTGCCTCCTGGGTTCAAGCAGTTCTCAGCCTCCCGAATAGCTGGGACTACAGGCGCATGCCACCACGCCTGGCTAATTTTTTGTATTTTAGTAGAGATGGGGTTTCACTGTGTTGCCCAGGCTGGTCTCGAACTCCTGAGCTCAGGCAAATTGCCCGCCTCAGCTTCCCAAAGTGCTGGGATTACAGGCGTGAGCCACTGCACCTGGCCCAGTCTGAGCTCTTAAAGTGGGATAGAAACTCTTGGTGGGTAGAGCTTAAGTTTGTCATATGTTATCCTAATCAGGATCATGCCTTCCTGCCATGTTTCTGGGATCTCCATGGAGCAGGGAGGTAGAGTAGGTGAATGAACAATCGTTTTAGACCCTTTGGATGTGATGATTTTTGGCTAATACATCCATCATTTCAAATCTTCCCTAAGAAACACCACTTACCCAGTAATTTCTTGCTTGAACAAGGTAAGCCTTGGAGTCACTGCAGGGTCAAGCATAACTGTCTCCTTTGTCTTGTCATCTGCTCCTTCTGCTGTTGAACGAGGCCCCATCTGGGGCTTTGGCAGTCTGGCCTTCTGACAAAAACAGAAGGCCACGGTTTCCCAAAACAGACTATAGTTTTGTTATTTTGATTTATCTGTAGATTTTCCTAAAACAACAGACATACAGCAGGTGTTACAACTATGTCTACCACACTGGTGCTGCTCTTCACAATTAATATATTTGGTCAATAAAAGACTAAAGGGTGTAAAAGCAGCAGGTGTGTGTGTATGCTTGCACACTTGACATGCCAGGGCTTATTTTTGAGCCTGTGGGAAAAAGTTTCTATTGCTGTCTGCAGTGTTTATTTTGGCTTGAGTTTTATGATAGCAGTTGTTGTTCCAGATGACAGTTTTGGCAAATGGAAGTCTGTAAATGGTAGTTAATGCCTATAATTGAGTGTGAGTCTGACCTACAAAATTATGGAATTATGCTTTGTTATCATAGTGACTCAGGTTTTGTTTTGTCCATTAATTTCAGACATGAACCTCCAAGGAAAATAGAGCGATTTACTCTTCTCCAATCAGTGCATATTTACAAGAAGCACAGAGTTCAGTATGAAATGAGAACACTTTACAGATGTTTAGAGGTGAGTGTATTTGAGAAATTCTGGCATTTTTGAAATACCAAAAATTCACACTAGCATATAACTTTACTTTAACATTGACTAGATTGACTTCTTTCAGCAAGCCCATGTCTGTTGGTTGTACAGAAGGTAAATATCTTTTAGTGTTTATGGAAGTGTCATGGTAGGAAAAGTAAATGCAAATAAAGCAATCCTTTAGAGTAGTGCATACCTTAACTCAGGAATGCAGATTATGCAAAGATAGCATTGGAATAATTTTGCTCATATTTCAAAAATTCTAGTGAAGTTTTTACACAGTTCTAATAACTGTTTCACATACTAGCTGGATTTTCCATGTCAGTGATGCACAGCATTAGGTTTTTCATTCATCTGTTACTCATTTGTGCTTCCATTAGTGCCAGCACAGTCGTGTGCTTAAGGAGAGCATAGGTTCTGGAGTCAGACTGCCAATGCCAGAATCCAGGTCCTGTCTCTTAACAGCTGTGTGACATGTACCTCTATTCCTTCATCTATAAAATGGGAATAATAGTGGTACCCATCTCATAAGGTTAGTGTGAGGATTAGAATGGAAAATTTATGTAAGCACTCAGAATACTTTGATCACATAGTAAGTGATTGGTAAATATTAAAACAAGCACTTATGTATCTTTTATATGGGAAGTACTGTACTAGTCATTGAGGGCACAAATATAATAAAGTCATGGTCCCTACTCTTTTTTTTTTTTTTTTTTTTTTTTTTTTTTGAGATAGAGTCTCACTCTGTCACCACCTAGGCTGGAGTGCAGTGGCACAATCTAGGCTCACTGTAACCTCTGCCTTCCGGGTTCAAGCAATTCTGTCTCAGCCTCGCTAGTAGCTGGGACTACAGGTGTACGCCACCGCGCCTGGCTAATTTTTGTATTTTTAGTAGAGATGGGGTTTTACCATATTGGTCAGGCTGGTCTTGAACTCCTGACCTCAGGTGCTCCACCCACCTCGGCCTCCCAAAGTGCTGGGATTACAGGTGTGAGCCACTGTGCCTGCGCAGTCCCTACTCTTAAAAAGAAAAACCCAAATTTTATCCATCTTTGTCTGAGGGAAACGTCTCTCATAGTACACACAGAAAATCTTATATTAACTATATCTTATAATTTAGTCCTTTTGTCTTCAGTTGTTTTGTGAGCCTGGGATTTTATGTTAGATTCTTTAGGGGAGGCCAGGTGCGGTAGCTCATGCCTGTAATCCTAGCACTTTGGGAGGCCAAGGCAGGCGGATCACTTGAGGTCAGGAGTTTGAGGCCAGCCTGGCCAACATGATGAAACCCCGTCTCTACTAAAAATACAAAAAAAATTAGCTGGACATGGTGGCACACACCTGTAGTCCCAGCCACTCGGGGGACTGAAGCAGGAGATGGCTTGAACCCAGGAGGCAGAGGTTGCAGTGAGCTGAGATTGCACACACTCCAGCCCAGGCAACAGAGTGAGACTCCATCTCAAAAAAAAAAACAAAAAACCGTGCTTTAACAAACAGCTTACATGAAACATTTTCATGTTTGATGTTTTAGTTAGAACATCTAACTGGAAGCACAGCAGATGTCTACTTGGAATATATTCAGCGAAACTTACCTGAAGGGGTTGCCATGGAAGTAACAAAGGTATAGCTTGAATTTCTGCCTCTTTCGGTGGGGCGGTGGGGAGTGGTATCTGTATTGTTGTTTTGATACATTGCAGCCTGGTCCTGGCCCACTGAGTAGAGTTTGCCCTAAACTGTGGCAAACTGGGAGACACAGTTGCCACAGCGGTTGGGGGCTACCCACCCCTTGCAACAGAATCCTGCCATTTCAGCCCAAGTCCTCCGTGAACCACCTATGAAGTTCTCCCTCCTCAATATGAGTTGTCTAGACCTGGGGATCCCATTAAGTGGCAATCCATGAAGATCATTGAGGATCAAATCGATTATGTATGTGAGAGTGTTTTATAGACCATCAAGTTTCCTTCTTTCCATTTCAAAACCCTATAGAAAGACTAGGGGGATAAAAGAAAAAGAAGTAAAGAGGATTTGACCAAATTAATAAGTCCGATTTGTAGTCAAAGAGTTCTGTTAAATCCACATTATAGTTTTGTTTCTTTCTTTTTTTAGACACAATTAGAACAGTTACCAGAACACATCAAGGAGCCAATCTGGGAAACACTATCAGAAGAAAAAGAAGAAAGCAAGTCATAAAGCCTCAGGGAGGCCATTTTTGCCTAAATTTGAAATGAGGGTGGGCCAGATGAGTATGTTTAAGTGGAGAGTGCTTCCAGCTGAGATGATTTGAGTCTGCCCTAACTGCTCCATTGAGTTCTCGTGCCCTCATCAGCTGAGGGCAGGGAATGGAACTTTAATGGAAGAACCACTTTTATCTATTCTTTTTATTCATTGTTTCAGTTCTGATTTCAGCAAACATGAGCAAACCACTTTGACTGAAAGCAGAAAGAGTGAAAATTCTATTTTGTTACGCTACTGGTGTTCAATTATTAGTTTGTACCATTTTTAATTTATGTCAGTTGATGCATCTGAAAATAAGTGCTTGGAGTGTTCGTACCCTTATTTTTTTTTAAGATTCCTAGAAGGAATCTTTGGTTAATTCAGATTGAGCAGTTAAAGTTTTTGCTATTTACCTTTGTGCAGGCTGGCATATGCTAATTTGGGGGTGGTAACCAACCGATTTTATCTCATGTAAGCATTACATTTTGAAGACTGAATATACTTCACAGCAGATCAAACACATTTATGGCATGCACTGACCTCTTCTTGGAGCCCAGAACTTTATAGAGTTGCCTACCAGGGTTACTGTAATGGAATTTATGATCTTAAGAAATTACTAGTTGTATTATTTATCCTATGATTCATTCATTCAATAAGCTTTTACTGCATAAACTTTACATCCAGCACTGTAGTTAAGTACCCAAAATTGAATAGAAATAATGGCTTTTGAAAATCGCACAAAGCAGGCCAGGCACGGTGGCTCACGCCTGTAATCCCAGCATTTTGGGAGGCCGAGGCAGGCGGATCACGAGGTCAAGAGATCCAGACCATCCTGGCTAACACGGTGAAACCCCGTCTCTAATAAAAATACAAAAATTAGCTGGACATGGTGGCACGTGCCTGTAATCCCAGCTACTCAGGAGGCTGAGGCAGGAGAATTGCGTGAACCCGGGCCCGGTGGAGGCTGCAGTGAGACGAGATCGCGCCACTGCACTCCAGCCTGGCGACAGAGCGAGACGCCGTCTCAAAAAAAAAAAAAGAAAATTGTGCAAAGCATAGGTAAATATTTTTCTTTATTAAGCTTCTCACTGAGAAGCCCTCTTTATTTTGGTAAATGTCACTCTGTTTGTTAGGAGATGTCTGCTTTTCCATGAAATGAAATAGTGGCTAAAGCCCTGAAAGAGGCAAGACTACAATGGGCTGAAACAGTTGGTATAGCAACCCCAGAGAAGTGCTTCATTTTCTTTTTATAGTAGAAGCAGGTCCATGTCTTTTGTGGTTTCCTGCACATCTTTGGAGTAGTTATGACTTCTCAGTTTTTCCCCCCTTAAACTGCATTGCCTATTCTTTTTTCCTGACATGCTATCAGGTATCAGTGTGTTGAATACATACTGCTTGTGTATCAGACTTACGTTACTGTCATCACCATTAAAAGAATTGCAGCTTTGTGCCCCATGACCTTCAGCTCAGTTGTTGACTGTCATTCATGAATGCCTAAAGCATACTGACACCAGGTATAAGTACTTGAAGATCAAGAACTAGTCAATAAAACATGAGCAACATAATGGTAACTATGTGCAGCAAAGCAGCAATTTATGACACATTTTCATCTGAAGTAATTCTTTAAAAATAAATATAGACCCGGCCGGTTGTGGAGGCTCAAGCCTGTAATCCCAGCACTTTGAGAGGCTGAGGCAGGTGGATCACCTGAGGTCAGGAGTTCGAGACCAGCCTGGCCAACATGGTAAAACCCCATCTCTATTAAAAACACAAAAATTAGCTGGTCATGGTGGTGGGCGCCTGTAATCCCAGCTACTTGGGAGGCTGAGGCAGGAGGATTGCTTGAACCCAAGAGGTGGATGTTGCAGTGAGCCGAGATTGTACCATAGCACTCCATGTAAACCAAAGTCCTTAGTTTAGGACTTCCAATTATGTGTTAAAACCTCGGCTTAAATAAGCAAATGAACTACATGTGCACACATGCACGTGAGAAAAACTAGCAGTATTTCTTTTTTCTTTTTCTTTCTTTTTTTTTTTTTTTTTTTGAGATGGAATCTTGCACTGTCACCCGGTCTGGAGTGCAGTGGCGCGATCTCGGCTCATTGCAACCTCTGCCTCCCAGGTTCAAGCGATTATCCTGCCTCAGCCTCCCAAGTAGCTGGGACTACAGGCATGTGCCACCACGCCCAGCTGATTTTTGTATTTTTAGTAGAGATGGGGTTTCCCCATGTTGGCCAGGATGGTCTTGATCTCTTGACCTCGTGATCCACCTGCCTCGGCCTCCCAAAGTGCTGGGATTACAGGCATGAGCCACTGCGCCTGGCCCAAAACTAGCAGTATTTCTTCGACGAAAGTATTTGGCATATTTGAAGCCCGCTTCTTGATATAAACAAGTTTGGCATGAAGTACAGTACTGAAAAAATGATATAAACAAAATAACTTCTTAGCTTATCAGGATATAGCTATCTTGATAGGCTAAGAAGATTTTTGGTTTTCTTTTGTTGGTTTTAAATTAGGCCTCTGAGTAAAATGCATATCCTGAAAATTAGAATTAATGCCTGGGTCACACTTTCTGTCCATGGTGGGTATGGGAGATGGTGAGAGAAGAGTGGATTTGATAATATATGTTGGTGCAAAAGTAATTGCAGTTTTTGCCATTAAAAGTAATGGCAAAAAAAAAATAGAATGAACCGGCCAGGAGTGGTGACTCACGCCTGTAATCCCAGCACTTTGGGAGGCTGAGGCGGGCGGATCATGTGAGGTTGGGAGTTGGAGACCAGCCTGGCCAATATGAGAAACCCTGTCTCTTCTAAAAATACAAAATTAGCAGGGTGTGGTGGCGCATGCCTGTAATCCCAGCTACTTGGGAGGCTGAGGCAGGAGAATCCCTTGAACTCAGAGGTTGCGATGAGCCAAGATCACGCCATGGGCAACAAGAGTGAAACTCCATCTCAAAAAAAAGAAAAAAAATAGAATGAACCAGAAGGCAGGTAGGAAGTGAGATGATCTTTTTTCTTTTTCTTTTTTTTTTTTTTTTTTGTAGAGACAGAGTCTTGTTCTGTTGCCCAGGCTGGAGTGCAGTGGTACGATCAAAGCTCACTACACAATCGAACTTATGGGCTCAAGGGATCTTCCCACCACAGCCTCCCAAGTAGCTGAGACTAAATGTGTGCACCACCACACTCAGCTCATTTTTTTATTTTTTGGAGTCAGGGTCCTGCTCTGTCGCCCAGGCTGGAGTGCAGTGGCATGAACACAGCTCACTGCAGCCTTGACCTCCTGGGCTCAGATGATCCTCCTGCCTCAGCCTCCCAGGTAGTTGGAACCACAGGCATGTACCATGATACATGGCTAATTTTTTAATCTTTTTGTAGAGATGGGGGTCTCACTTTGTTGCCAAGGCTGGTCTCAAATTCCTGACCTCAAGTGATTCTTCGGCCTTGGCCTCCCAAAATACTGAGATTACAGGCATCAGCCATCATGCCCAGCCTATATTTTCTTCATATTAAATAAAATCATGTTCTCATCCAAGAGTCTTAGTATAACTACAGATCTCTGGTAAGACAGACTAAACTAGTTCAAGTGCCAAGTTTCAGTGCTTTGAAAGAATGGCATATGTTCCTGGCCCTATGACCATTTAAACATGCCACAGTGAATACATAAAGCAATCATTTTAAATTATTAGTCTAGTTTCTTAACATTTCTAGTTGTCTGCAACCATCCCTGTCTTACATTACATTATTAAGTTAGTTCTATTACAAGACTAATGAATGACAGAATAGAGCAAACATGGACTTTGGAGTCAGACAGACATGAGTCAGATAAGAGTTCAAACCCACTGACTGCCGTAAACTTGGGCAAGAGATTTAACCCTGTCAGGGCCTCAGTGTACTCATTAGTAAAGGTAATAATAAGTCTGTAGGAAATAATACCTACATACTTACATTTGACATATATTTAATGCTCCAGCTTAATAAGGTTGGAGTATTCGATAACTGATAAAAAACCTTGCACAGTATTGAGCAGGTAACAGACATTCAGTAAATGGCAGTACCATTCCGATGATACTTTAGATGCTTGTGTGCTATACTGTTCAAGAACCAGCTGGAAAAGACCTCAGGTTACCTCCAGGGTAGGGATAACATTTACCTTAGAGTTTTTGTTTTTGTTTTTTTGAGATGGAGTCTCGCTCTATCACCCATGCTGGAGTGTGGTGGCACAATCTCACTGCAAGGTCCGCCTCCCAGGTTCACTCCATTCTCCTGCCTCAGCCTCCCGAGTAGCTGGGACTACAGGCACCCGCCACCACGCCCAGCTAATTTTTTGTATTTTTAAGTAGAGACGGGGTTTCATTGTGTTAGCCAGGATGGTCTCGATCTCCTGACCTCGTGATCCGCCCGCCTCGGCCTCCCAAAGTGCTGGGATTACAGGCATAAGCCACCGCACCCAGCCCTTAGCGTTGTTTTTCAGACAGTTCTGGCTCTATCACCCAGGCTGGAGTGCAGTGACAATCTTGGCTCACTGTAACCTCCGCCTCCTGGGCTTAAATGATCCTCCTACCTCAGCCCCCTTAGTAGCTGGGACTATAGGCACACATCACCACACTCGGCTAATTTTTCTTTTTTTTTCTTTCTTTTTTTTTTCTGTAGAAACAGGGTTTTGCCATGTTGCCCAGGCTGGTCTCAAACTTGTAAGCTCAAGCAATCTGCCAGCCTCAGCCTCCCAAAGTGCTGGGATTATAGGCATGAGCCACAGCGCCCAGCCACAAACCAAAAATCCTTTGATTTTTATTAACACACTGAAGTACTTACCATTGTCCCCATTTTACAGGACAGAAAACCAAGGCTTAGAGAGTTGTTATTTGCCCACTCAGTCACCCTTTCAGCTTACAGATGAAGCTGTTAGTGACAGGGTCAGCCCTAGAAGCTAATTTGTAAGCAGGCTATGAGGTACTCAAATATCCACATACTAAATGCAGAATATTCAAAGCTAAATTCCAGGTTTGTTCACCTCTCACGTTACCAAAATGTACTCGTTTCCTCTAAAGCAGGGGTGTCTAATCTTTTGGCTTCCCTGGGCCACATTGAAAGAATTGTCTTGGGCCACACATAAAATACACTAACGCTAATAATAGCTAATTAAAAAAAAAATCATGAAAGAAAATCTCACAATGTTTTAAGAAAGTTTACCAATTTGTGTTGGGCTGCATTCAAAGCCGTCCTGGGCCGCATGCAGCCCGTGGGCCTCCAATTGGATAAGCTTGGTCTAAAGCTTAGAAGTAAAGTGATTGACTGGGAGGAAAAATTAATGAATTAAAGCAAGAAGCAAGATACACGGCACAATTTAGGTGGTCCCACTGCTCAGACTGGTCCTGAGGGAGGGGGCAACACAAGAGTTTAGGCATCAGCAAGGGGAGTCCTACTCGGTCACAAGAACACTCAGATGGAGATGATTCACAGTGGGGCTTCAGGTCCAGCCTGACTAGGGCTCAGAAGACATGGGTTTGTCGATTTTAAGCATATCTTTGCCCCTGGAGCCAGGCTTATGGCTGACTGCCTGCAATCCCCAGGACTCTCTTTCCAAATCCCCTGCTCAATTCCTAACCCTGCCCTCCTTAAATCCTTTCTATTGTTACTCACTTCAAGCTCTCATTTCTCTCTATGGATTCTTAATCCTCTTTATTTTATTTATCTATTTATTTATTTATTTTATTTTTATTTATTTATTTGTTTATTTTTTGAGACAGGGTCTGACTGTCGCCCAGGCTGGAGTGCAGTGGCACAATCTCGGCTCACTGCAACCTCTGCCTCCCAGGTTCAGGCGATTCTCGTGCCTCAGCTTCCTGAGTAGCTGGGATTACAGGCACCCGCCACCACGCCCAGCTAACTTTTGTATTTTTAGTAGAGATGGGGTTTCGGTGTGTTGGCCAGGCTGGTCTCAAACTCCTGACCTCAAGTGATCCGCCCACCTCAGCCTCCCAAAGCGCTGGGATTACTGGCTTGAGCCACCATGCCCGGCTGGATTTCTAATCCTCTTTAAAATGATATATTTATAACTCAGTAGCTCAGCGACATTTATTTATAGGGCAGGTCATGGGCAACTGACCCACATGAAAAACCAATTGAATTTTAAATTCCTCGGCCAGAGGTTAAATCAAGTTATATTTCACTCATAAAATTTCTTAACTTGGGCAGAGATACTGTACTTTAATCAATCTTCAATGCTGCTTAAATAATAAGTGTTAAGAGATGGATGGAGCCTGGCCAACATGGCAAAACACCACCTCCACTAAAAATACAAAAATTAGCTGGGCATTCCAGGTGCTTAGGAGGCTGAGACATAAGAATTGCTTGAACCCGGAAGATGGAGGTTGCAGTGAACCGAGAGTGTTCCACTGCACTCCAGCCTGGGTGACAGAGGAAGACCCTGTCTCCCTGTCTAAAAAAAGAGAGATGGATGGGAATAATACTACCTTCACACCAAGCCAGTTGAGATGCTGCTGTTACAGAGCCACGGCTGCTGATGGGCATGTGTTATCTTAAAGTGTGTTGAGATGGGTAATTGGAAATTAATGGGCTAGATAATCTTCAAGGCCTTTTCCAGTTCTAAAATCCCATTATCATTTTTATCTCAACAAATACCTGCTAATCTAGACACTAAACAGAGTCAAAGAGGAATTGTCTTGTAAAATGAAGGAGTGATAGCTGACGTTAATTCAGCATTGACCATGTGCCAAGGACCTTGCTCAGTTACTCAACAAGTATTTGAGTTTCCTGTACATGCCAAGTACTGTTCTAAACGCTGGGAATTCTGGAATGTATATAGTGAAGTCCCTCTCCTCAAAGATCATAGACTTTAGTGAGAGAGACAGACAAGTAGAGAAAAAAATAAGATAGTTTCAGATGCAATTAAGTACTGTGAAGAAAATAAAATGGGATAATATCAGAATTACTTGAGTGGCTACCTGAGGGGGAGTTGGGAAAGTTCTCTCTGAGGAGGAGGCAGTGGTGTTAACATCTGGAGGAAGAAGCTGGGTGTGGTCACTCATGCCTGTAATCCCAGCACTTTGGGAGGCTGAGATGGGTGGATCACCTGATGTCGGGAGTTCGAGACCAGCCTGGCCAACACGGTGAAACCCCATCTTTACTAAAAACACAAAACCTAGCCGGGCTTGCTGGCGGGTGCCTATAGTCCCAGCTACTCGGGAGGCTGAGGCAGGAGAATCGCTTGAACCTGGGAGGCGGAGGTTGCAGTGAGCCGAGGTTGTGCCATTGCACTCCAGCCTGGGCAACAAGAGCGAGACTCCCATCTAAAAAAAAAAAAAATCTGGAGGAAAAACAGTCCAAGTAGGAGGAACAATACATGCAAAGACACACTGATTCTAGAAGGAGTTTGGTGTGTTTGCAGTGTAGAAGACCATGAAGACAGAAGTAGGCAGGGACTAGATCGTGTAATGCATCATAGGCATGGGGAGGAGTGTGGATTTTATTCTCAGCAAATGGAAAGCTAAAGGAGGGTTTGAGCAGGAGAGTGGCAGGATCTGCTGTATGCTACTGTGGCTGCTGGGTGAAAGAGGAGTGACGAGAGGGCAGGGAGACCAGTTAGGGATCTGCTGCGGTGGACCAGGTGAGATGATGCTGGTCTGGGCGAGAATGTCAGGAATGGAGGTGAGGAGAAGTGGTTTGATTTAGAGTATAGTTTGCAGGAAGAGCTGATGAAATGACCTACTAGTAGATTGAAGTGAAATCTAAAGGAAAGAGCATTCAAGGATAATTCCTGGGTTTTCACCTAAGCGTAAATAGCAGTGCCATTACTGAGGTGGAGAAGAGATAAGGTGGGACTCGGGAAGGAAATCAGTAATTTGGTTTTGGCCTTGCTAAGTTTGCAATCTGAGTATAGATGTCCAGTAGGCAGTTGAATACATGCATCTGGAGTTCCTGGGAGAGGTCCAGGCTGAAGATACAAATTTGGAACCTGCCAGCCTGTAAATGGTGTGTAATGGCATGGGAATGAATGAGATCATCTAGGGAGCAAGTGTGGGTAAACAAAGGAAGAGTACTAAAGACAAGCCTGGAAAGCTCCCAGCTTTTAGAGATTTGGTTAAAAGCAAGAGGTGCTAGCAAAGAAAATGAGCAATGAGTGAGGCTGGAGTGAAATCAGAGGAGTGTGGGTCCTTGAAATGTAGAGTGGAGAAAGAACTTAGTTTGGTGAACTGTGATGAATCTGTGGCAGGTTAGGTTAAAAAAAAAAAAAAAAAAAAAAAAAAAAAAGTAGATCATTGGTGACCACAATAAAAGCCATTTCTGTGGAGTGATGGGGATGAACGTCCAGTTGGAGTAAGTTGAGGAAAGAATAAGAGATTTAAAAAGAGGATGCAAAATAGGTTTGAGAATTTCCCAGTTATCTATTGCTACCTCAAAAAACACTTAACACTTAGTAGCTTAAAACAGTGACTCTGCAGGGATAGTGTCTGCTCCATGTGGTATTAGCTGGGGTAGCTCAGAAGCTGGGGCTGGAGTAGCTCAGAAGCTGGGGCTGGAGTCATCTGAAGGCTCATTCACCCATGTCTGGTGGTTGAGACTGGCTTTCAGCCAGAACCCCTGCATGTGCTCTGGGCTTCCTCACAACATGGTGGCTGGGTTCCAAGGGCAAGTTCTGAGAAAGAGAGCCTGGTGGAAACCTATCACTTTTGATGACCTAGCCCTGGAAGTCACATTGTGTCATTTCTGCAGTTATCTTCAACAAGGCAGCCAGAAAGTTTCCTCCGGGTTGAAGAGAAAGATAATAGACTCCTCCCTTTGATGGGAGGAATGCGTGAAGCCAGAATGATCGTCCTGCCATTTTCTGAAGATACATCTGCCACAAGGGGCTTTGTTGTAAGGGGAGCAAAATTTAGGACAATAGCTGGGCAGGGGATGTGGGCAGGTCAGTTTACCCAGTAGGCACAGTGCCTAGGGCCCAATATTTTAAATTTCTTTTAAAACCAAAATAAAGGCCAAGTGTGGTGGCTCATGCCTATAATCCCAGCAGTTGGGAGGCCAAGGCAAGAGGATCACTTGAACCCAGGAGTTCAAGACTGGGAAACATAGTGAGACCTTGTCTCTACTAAATATCAAAAAATTAACCAAGCATGGTGGCGCACAACTGTAGTCCTAGATACTCAGGAGGCTGAGGCGGGAGGATTGCTTGAGCCCAGGAGGTCGAGGCTGTAGCGAGCCCTGATAGCACCAGTGCACTCCAGCCTGGGCAACAGAGACCCTGTCTCAGGATAAATAAATTAGTTAATTAAAATAAAATCGGAGCCGGGAGCGGTGGCTCATGCCTGTAATCCCAGTACTTTAGGAGGCCAAAGTGGGTGGATCACTTGAGGTCAGGAGTTCAAGACCAGCCTGACCAACATGGTGAAACCCTGTCTCTACTAAAAATAGAAAATAAGCCAGGCATGGTGGCGTACGCCTGTAATCCCAGCTACTTGGGAGGCTGAGGCAGGAGAATCACTTGAACCCGGTGGGGCAGAGGTTGCAGTGAGCCGAGATCGTGCCATTGCACTCCAGCCTGGGTGACAGAGCGAGACTTCGTCTCAAAATAATAATAATAATAATAATAAAATAAAATCATAATTTAAAAGAAACACCGAGTCTAGATTATGTTCTTTTTTATACCAGTGATAATTATTAATATTTACTTATTTAATATTTTTTCAGTATTTGTATTATGACCCATGAAGGCAAAAACGTGTGGGGCCCGTGAATGTCATAATGTAGCCCTGAATGTGGGGTCAAGGAAGGATTTTTGTCTTGTTTTAATAAAGGCAATATTACAGCACACCTGAATGCTGACGGGAATGATCCATTAGAGAGGGATGAGTGGAGGCTGCAGAAGAGAAAGGGAGTAACTGCGGGAAGGAAGCTTTCGAGTAGGTAAAGAGAGATGTGATCTAGGAAACAAGTGGCGGTGTTGACGGGGACAAGGGGAAGGGCACGCTGCTTCCACTGAGACCGGAAGGGGGCAGAGGACATGGGCACAGATACAGAGAAGTTGGTAAACACTGGTGGGAAGATGAGTCACTGCCTCATCTGTCTCTGTGAAGTGTGCAACAGTGTGGGAGTGAGTGGAAGGTTTGAGGGCAGGAAGCGCTGTGGAATAGTCATCTCAGAGAGGGGGAGAGGGAATTCGGCAGGAAGAGTATGTAGTATGATTGTCTGGCATGATCTGAAGTGCGTACAGCCAGCATGATTTATGATGTCCTCCAATGATGTCCAGGCTCCCCACTGTAGGCAAAGTGTTACTGCATAGTTAGTGAACAGCCTTAACCAGGGCCAGGCCAAGTGAGGCGTTAGGAGGAGAGAGGGGCACAAAAGTCAAAATGGAGAGAATGCTGGGCCATGGAATGAAGATAAGGAGGAGAGTGAGGAGATGAGCAAGATGACAGATGTTAAAAACAGATCAGCAGGTTGGAAGTCGCAATGAGATTAGTGAATTATTGGAGTGAAGGTATTACAGTAACAGATGGAAGGGGTGGGGTGCTGATAACAGACGGCAGCGTTTGAATGTTTCAGAGGTAGTAGAGATTGGTGACAGCAAGGCCTAGGGTGGTGATCCTCAAACTTCAGTACGCATTGGAAGCACCTGGAGGGCTTGTTAAAACACAGACTCCTGGCCCCAGCCCACAGTTCCTGATTCAGCAGGTCTGAGGTGGGGCCTGAGACATTGCATTTCTAGCAAGCTCCCAGATGCTGCACTTGTGGCTCAGGGACCACAAGTGAATGGAAGTACTAGGTAAGGTGGAAGAAAAGCTCTTTGGAACTAAAGAGATCAAGGACCAGGCCAGGCCCGGTGGCTTACGCATGTGGGACCATGCCAGGTTGCCAGCAATTAGAGACTAAGAGGGCAGTGTGACCCCCACACATCTCACTGGGGCCGGGCGCAGTGGCTCATGCCTGTAATCCCAGCACTTTGGGAGGCCAAGGCGAGCAGATCATCTGAGGTCAGGAGTTCGAAACCAGCCTGGTCAACATGGTGAAACCCCATCTCTACTAAAAATAGAAAAATTGGCCGGGCATGGTGGCAGGCACCTGTAATTCCAGTTACTAGGGAGGCTGAGGCAGGAGAATCGCTTGAACCCGGGTGGCGGAGTTCACAGTGAGCCGAGATCGCACCACTGCATTCCAGCCTGGGTGAAAAGAGCAAAAACTCTGTTTCAAAAAAAAAAAAAAAAAAGAGAGAGAGATCAAGTACCTTTGAGGCCAGTGTATGGGATGGGCTGTTTATCCACTTGGAGGTCACAGTCACTGAAATGACTGACATGATGCTTTGAGACAAGCAGGGAAGTCACCAGTGAATGACAGTAATGAGGAGAAGTAAATAGTGGCAAGGAGTCAGATGTGGCTTCAAAGGGACTGGCCTTTTTTGGGGAGAAAAAAGTAAAAGGCCATTTGGAGGCAAGAGTTAGAAGCGAGGAGGACACTAGCCCTGTTATCTAGACCTTGAGGTGTGTGTGGGGGAGAAAAACCCACCACCACTTGAAAGGATGACAGAAGAAATCACATTTCTCCTTCAGGAATAGCAAGAAAGTTAAAAGAGCTTTCAGAGCTCAGTGACGTCTGGAGGCAGAGAACAGTGAGAGAGGAGGTCAGGCCTGGAGATGTGCAAAACAATTCAGGCTGAACACCCAGTGAGGGATGGGTAGGTTAAGGATAGATTCACTGGAACTGCTGCCTCTGAAGTCTTCTAGAAAAATGAGTGTCACTGGGCGTGGTGGCTCATGCCTATAATCCCAGCACTTTGGGAGACCAAGGCGGGTGGATCACTTGAGGTCAGGAGTTTGAAACCAGCCTGGCCAACATGATGAAACCCCATCTCTACTAAAAATACAAAAATTAGCTGGCTGCTGGGTGCATCAAACCAACATGGCACATGTATACCTATGTAACAAACCTGTATGTTGTGCACATGTACCCTAGAACTTAAAGTATAATAAAAAAAAAAAAAAGAAGAAAAAATAGCTGGGTGTTGTGGTGTGCACCTGTAATCCCAGCTGCTCGGGAGGCTGAGGCATGAGAATCACTTGAACCCGGAGGCGGAAGTTGCAGTGAGCCGAGATCACACCACTGCACTCCAGCCTGGGCGACAGAGCGAGACCCTGTCTCAAAAAATAGAAATTTAAAAAAAAAAAGCAAAGAAAAAGAAAAATGTGTGTCCCTGGTCTTTTGATTTCTTGGAGGTGTCATTTTTATGTTACATTAAAATAAGCATGAATATGTAATTGTTCAAAAGCAAATTTTACATGACCTATAATGTAAAAGTAAGAGCCTTCAAAGATATTTTAGGCCATGCTCCCAGATCCTTCTCACATGTTAGTATTTTGGAGGAAATGTGAAAAAGGCACTACCCCTAGGTCTTGTGTGAAGGGTTGGAGGGAGGCATTTGTAGTTTAAATCAGAAAGTGAAAAGCTCCCAAGATGAAAGGTGTAATCTGGAAAGGAGCTTCAGGGACCGAGTTAGCCTGGGAAGAGAGTTGCTCACCTAGAGCCCTTCCCATCATAGATTCTGCCTCTTTTCACTAGACCGTCTGAGGGGCGAGTCCCAGATCACCAGCAGATTCTGTTTTATGGCCTAGGACTTGATCTCACTTCCTCTCTGGATTTGAGTCTCCTGTCTCCAAGATGGGCCTCCCTGAAGCAATGTGAGGCCCAGCTAAAGAGATAGGGAGTGAGTGAGATGGGAGGATCCCAGCCTAGCACCCCGACTCTTTCTTCACTCTGCATCTCTCTGCTTACCTCTCAGTTTCTTCCCCTTCTACCTCTTCAGAGTCTACCAGGGCCAGCTTGGTTGCTTTGTTGACAAGGCTAAGGGAAGGAGTGAGGCTGGAGGAGTTTAGGCTGGAGGTCAGAACTTCCTGGGGAATCTCTTTTTTTTTTTTTTTTTTTTTTTTTGAGACAGAGTCTCACTCTGTCCCCCAGGCTGGAGTGCAGTGGTGTGATCGCAGCTCACTGCAACCTCTATCTCCCAGGTTCAAGTGATTCTCCTGCCTCAGCCTCCTGAATAGCTGGGATTACAGGTACCCACCACCATGCCCAGCTAATTTTTTGTATTTTTAGTAGAGACAGGATTTCACCATGTTGGCCAGGCTGGTCTCGAACTCCTGACCTTGTGATCCACCCACCTCGGCCTCCCAAAGTGCTGGGATTACAGGCATGAGCCACCGCACCCGGCCACCTGGGGAATCTTCTAATAGTCTTAGGGCAGCTTAGCTGGCCTGGACCCACCTCCCTTGCCACCTGCCCCCTGCACCGACTGATCATGTTCAGTCACCCAGGAGATGATGGAGAGGCTGATCAGGCCTCCTGGAAAGGGAGGAAGAGGGCCCTAGTTGGAGAGATCCATCAGCAGAAGCCAGGGAGGAGATACAGACCCTTGCTCCCTGATGCTCCTCAGGGCTAGCATGGGGCAGGAGTTTAGCTGGGAGGAGGCGGAGGCAGCTGGCGAGATAGATGTGGCGGAGCTCCAGGAGTGGTACAAGAAGTTTGTGATGGAGTGCCCCAGCGGCACACTCTTTATGCATGAGTTTAAGCGCTTCTTCAAGGTCACAGACGATGAGGAGGCCTCCCAGTATGTAGAGGGCATGTTCCGAGCCTTCGACAAGAATGGGGTAAGGCACCCTGAAGGGAAGGACCAGTGGCCAGTCCACCTGGCGCCTTCCTCCACAAGTGTCCTCAGGGAGAGCTCCCAGTTCCCCACTCCTCGGCTCTTTCTCTGCTCTTCTTTCCACTCCGTCTCTCTTTACCTTTTCTGTCTCACTCACCAAACCCTTCTGTCTCTTCTCTTCCTTTTGTCCCTTTCCATCTTCTCTGTCTCTCCTTCCCTCCCTCCATCTCTTAGCTGTCGGCTGATGCTCCCTGTGTCCTCTTCTTGAGAGCTGAAGGGCGACTGGCAGACAGTCCAGGTCCTCTCTTTGTGTATTTTTGACCAAGACTCTGCAGCCCAATGACCGGGTTTTCGCATCTGCCAGAGCCCCTGTCACTCTAAACACTAGGAGCAAAAGAGATGTTCTAAATGAGACAAGGTATCTTAGCATGGGCTATGAGCTCCCTCTTGTTGGGGTTCTTCTGAGACTGGTCAGATCCTCCCTGTCAAGAATGCTGGAAGAGGCTCCTGCATGTATTGGGAGACTGGGCGAATGACTGCAAAAGCCCCTTTCAGCTCTTCAAGTCCTGGAAGGTTTCATTAAATCATTCAGACTAGAGTTTCTCTAAGCCCACAATGTCACTAGCAGCTAAGAAGATAACACATCTTGTAAATGCACCAGGGGATTGAATTTTAAATTTCAATTCAGTTAAAAACCCCTTGATTATTTAAGGTTATCCAGTTCAGTGCCCTGGCAATCCTCAAATACCTCAAATACCTCAAATGCCCTGGTATTTGCCTCAAATACCAATTTAATCTGAAGAAAGTGTCAGTTCTCCATTCCTCAGTGCGTGGAGAACTTAGCTTTCTAAGCTGAATCACTGGGAATGCCACTTCAGGTCTCATCCTGTCGCTGGTACCAGTCAGTGCACGTCCCCACAGTGCCTGTCCCGGGACAGGAGGGTGAGGTCAGCACCTTCAATTCAACAGAACCTCCTTAGAGATGAACCCCATCGACCACCCCACAGGGCACAGAGCCAGTTTCGGACTTCTCAGCGCTCCGCCTCTCTTAGGTCTCCTCTGAATCAGCAGCAACCCTGGGTGGGAGGGGCAGACTTTTGTTATTCCAAATTAAATGATGAGAAAGCTGGGCAAAAGGGAATGAATCGATTTGCCCAAGGTCTTAAGTGCTCCTGCCTAGAAGGCAGGTTTTTTAAAGAGAGAAGATGACTTTTTAAAATAATTGATGTTTTTTTAAAATGTAAGAAAAGTAAACAAATATATCAGGTCATAAATAATAAGACTCATTTAAGTCCATCAATCTTCCCCAGATTCATCTAAAAATCAATACGATCATGATTCAAGATCCAAAGGGCTGATTAAGCCCCTAGGCATATAGTTGTACTCCTTATACCTCATCTCTTCTTATAAATCGGCATATGATGTTCATCAATGTTTTTTCCTTTTTGAATAACTTTTTAATTTTACTATGATTCTAAATTTACAGAAGAGTTATAAGAATGATACAAGTAACTCCCATATGCAATTTATCCAAATTTCCCCAGTTATTCACATTTTATATCATTTACTTTATCATTCTGCCTCTCTCTGTATACATACATATATATAATGTATCCTATAAGTATATATACATATACATGATACATAATTTATACATATACTTTTTTTAAGAGAAAGCTATAGATATCATGCCCGTTTATCCCTAAGTATTTCAGTGTGTATTTTCTTTTTTGTTTTTGAGACAGAGTCTCGCTCTGTCACCCAGTGGCATGATTTCAGCTCTTTGCGGCCTCTGATTTCCCAGGCTCAAGGGATCCTCCCACCTCAACCTCTCAAGTAGCTGGGATTACAGGTGTGCACCACCATGCCTGCTAATTTTTGTATTATTTATTTATTTATGTTGGTAGAGATGAGGTCTCGCCATGTTGCCCAGGCTAGAGTGCAGTGGCACAATCTCAGCTCACTGCAATCTCCACCTCCTGAGTTCAAGCAATTCTCATGACTCATCCTCCTGAGTAGCTAGGATTACAGGTGCACACTCCCATGCCTGGCTAATTTTTGTATTTTTAGTAGAAACGGGGTTTCACCATGTTGACCAGACTGGTGTCGAACTCCTGACCTGAAGTGATTTGCCCACCCCGGCCTCCCAGAGTGCTGGAATTACAGGCATGAGCCACTGCACCCGGCCAGGTTTCTTTCTTTTTTCCTTTTTCTTTTCTTTTCTTTTCTTTTCTCTCTTTTTTTTTTTTTTTTTTTTTTTTTTTGAGTTGGAGTCTCGCTCTGTCACCCTGGCTGTAGTGCAGTGGTATGATCTTGGCTCACTGCAACCTCCACCTCCCAGGTTCAAGCGATTCTCCTGCCTCAGCCTCCCCAGTAGCTGGGACTACAGGCGAGCACCACCATGCCCAGCTAATTTTTGTATTTTTAGTAGAGATGGGGTTTCACCATGTTGGCCATGATTGTCTCCATCTCTTGACTTCATGATCCACCCGCCTCGGTCTCCCAAAGTGTTGGGATTACAGGCATGAGCCACCATGCCTGGCCTTCCTTTTTCTTTTTTTTTTTCTTTTTTTTTTTTTGTATGATCATACATTGCATTTACTTGTTGTATCTCCTTAGTCTTCTTTAACCTGGAATCTTTAATCTCAGCTTTTCTTTTTTATTTGACTGTGACATTTTTGAAGACTGCAGCTGAGTTATGTTGTAGGACAGCCCACAACTGGCGTTTGTCTAAATTGGTAGAATTGCCACTGATGTGATGTTGTGTCCTCGGTTCATCATACCATCCGGTACAAGACATCAGTTTGTCCCATCACTGGCGTAGTTAACTTTGATCACTTGGTTAAGGTGGTATCTGCCATGTTTCAACATTGTAAAGTTACTATTTTTTTCTTTGTAATTAATAAGCAACATGTAAGGATATATCTTGAGACTAAGTAAATATCCTATTGTTCAGTCAAATTTTCTACTGGCTTTGGCATCTGTTGATAATTTTCTAACCCCATCACCCCTTCTCTATTTATTAGTTGGCATTCCACTGTAAGGAAGAGCCTCCCTAGAAAGTGTTTTTCAGTTCCTCTCTCAGGGACTGAGCCTTCTTTCCCACTTAGTCTTTGTCTCCAAACCTACACCTGACTCCATTCCCCCTTATATCAAGGAGTGTCATTTCGGAACAATCGGTCTGAGATTTCTAAAGCAAATCCAATCAAAAGTGTTTATAGATGTGGTTCACACGTGAAAATGTGAGGTGATGGAAACCGGTTTGGTGGGGACAAAAAGGTAGGAACACCTCGTCTCTGCCACTCTCCCTTGCAACTCTCGTGGTTGCCCTATGACCGCCTGGAATGGAAGAAAGGGGAGGGTGAAGATCAGATGTCATTTAGGATTCTTATATAACATGCATTGAAGTCAGGGCTGGTGCACAAATATGGCCAATTCAAGGAGAAACAGGGCAGATAATCCCACAGAGCCGGTGACACGCCCATCCTATTCCTGAGTAGACAGAGCCATTTCCATCACTCTCAGGCCTCTGTGGGTAATTGGAGCTGACAAGGTCCCATGCATAGCAGATGAGATTAGTCCCAGCTGGACGTTTCCCAGAAATGGTCCTGGGGTTTCCAGTAACCTCTCAGATGAGATCACTTGTCTAGAGATCACTCTGGAATATGTCTCATATAAGGCAAGGAGTCATGGAAACTGAATCATGTTGAGAGAGGATGTTGTAGGAATAGAAGCTTCTGGACAAAGAATGAGGAAGACTCTGGAGATCTAGAGAGTGGGGATTTGTGAGTGGTTTCAGGTTTTGTTTTTGTTTTTCTTCTCTTGGCACCCCCAAGCACTAGGCTTATTTGCTGGACAGAAATAGATCTTAAGTGGAGACTGCAAGTTCTTCCGACGTGATGCACTGGAGGAGATGCATGCCTGGAAAAGCTCTGCCACTTGCTGGCTGGGTGGCCTGGGAACCTCTGGGTCTCAGGCTCCTCATCCATAAAATGGGGATAATAACTAATTCTCATTAAATAAGAAACACAAGATTGATTTGTGGTAAGCTTAATAAGTAACAACTACTCGAGAAAATAGCCTTTTAAAGAACTGACAACCATTGCTAAGTGTCTACCCTAAAAAAAGAAATACCAGAGATATAAGAAAAGGTATACGTGCAAAAAAAAAGTTCATTGTTTAATGGAAAATATTAGAAATATATTCAACAAAGGGAATGTTCAGTACCCCCTCCCCACCAAAAAAAAAAAAAAAAATGGAAGTTGACATTTTAACTAATTTTTAAAGACATGAGAAAATGTTACATGAGAATGAAGGAAACAAAATTATAAATATAATCTGACCTCAATTAGATAAGTATATGATGGGGAGTACGGAGACCATATATTTATAGGAATTATATAAAAGATATGAATAGAACACTTCAGGTACTAAGGTAAGCTCGTTTTGTTTTCTTCTTAGTTTTTCCTTAGGCTTCTTGCTGTTTCCCTCATTTTCTGCCATTTTCTCCTGTTGCTCAAACCTTGTTCACTGAGGCACCCCTTGATCTGGGGCTGGGGCTCCTGAGTGGCCTGACCCAGTGGGACAGAAGTGCTCTGGGCCATCAGTGTCATTTCTGATAACAAAGTCATGTGAATGACAGGCACTCCTGGGGGATCTGATAGCTCAGATTTTTGATTTGGAGAATGGAGTTCCCAACCTTGGAATAAGTGAGCACCTGTAAGTGAGACACTAGCACAGCTAACCCACTGCAGCCACCAACAGCAGCGGCAACAGCAGCCTGTCACCCCAAACACATCTGGAGAAGAAAGCAAGAATATATCCTCTTTCTTATTTACTGTTTTAGAAATCATTATTGCTGCCGCATTTCTGTTACAAGAAGGTTCTGTTGCTTCCTGGTGAGAGTCACCTTAGAAGTAGACTGTGCCTCTCCCCCTTCCTCTGCCCAATTAGCACCTGAGCTCTGCGCTCCCCAACCTTCCTGGATGGGCTGGAGGCACAGGCCTGTTGTTCGGTGTAATGTCCACTGGGACCTAGAAGTGGGTAGGGCTGGAGCCACTGCCTGTCTGCCTCTCTCTGACTTGGGGTGAATGAGAATGCAGAGGAAAATTTCAACATGGGCTCTGCTTTCTAATTCCTTCAAAACTGTCTTAGTCCCAAATTCAGATCAAGTCCATCATTGACTCATTGATTTATGAATATCTATTGGCTTACAATTCTGGCCATAAGTGGCACTGTGCTAGGCATGGAGGAGAAACCCAAGCAATGTCAACCCCTCTTTTCCCCAGGAGCATATAACATGGCTAGAGAACAAGACAAATCTAGGAAACAGTTAAGTGACAATGCCAGAGAAAGTCCCAAGCTGTGTAGAATAGACAGTAGAGGCTGTGGATGTTAGAATGAGGAGGGAGAGAGCACTATGGCTGAAGAGGTCAGAGAATAAAGGCTTCCTGGAGGAGGGGACCCTTGAGCTCAGCCTTGAAGGATGGGTAGGCTTGGGTGATCATAGAAAATGAGAAGAGAGAATGTTCTCTAGGCTGGGTGTGGTGGCTTATGCCTGTAATCCAAACACTTTGGGAGGCCAAGAAGGGAGGATCACTTGAGCCCAAGAATTTGAGACCAGCCTGGGTAACTTAGTGAGACCCTGTTTCTAAAAATAAATAGACAGATGATAGATAGTCAGATAGAGAGAGAGAGAGAGAGATGATATAGATATAGATAGATAGATAGAATGTTCTCTACCCCAAGGGTGGAGAAAGACTTGAGCAAAGACACAGAGGCCACATGGATTAAAAGGAGGAGGAGAAGCCCTGTGTTTGCAGGGATGAATGGCCTATGCTCTGGGGAGGTGGGCTGTGCCCTCAGCAGCATCCACATCTAATGCAGGACAACACCATCGACTTCCTGGAGTACGTGGCAGCTCTGAATCTCGTGCTGAGGGGCACCCTGGAGCACAAGCTGAAGTGGACATTCAAGATCTATGATAAGGATGGCAATGGCTGCATCGACCGCCTGGAGCTACTCAACATTGTGGAGGTTAGTGTCTCTGCCCATGGGCCAGCAGCCTGGGCACTAGAGCACTGCTGGAGCTCTGAAGGTTGGCCACAAGTGGCCAGCGGGGACTGAAGAAGAGGCCTTGAAATCATTCTGAGTGTGTTTCCTGTGTTCTCATTCTGAGTGTGTAATTTCTAGTGGAATTAAGCTAGAAATCAATCAAAAAAAGATTATTAGAAAATCCCCATCTGTTTGGAAATTAGGCAGTAGACTTCCACATACTCTGTGGAACACACACACACACACACACACACACACACACACACACACGACAAGTATCTTAAATTGAAAAATAATGCAAGCATGACATACTACAACTTGTGGAATGCAGCTAAAGCTGAACCTGCAGAAAAATTTATAGATTTAAAATACACATATTAGAAAATAAGACTTAAAATGCATATATTTTGGAAACAGAAGCTGGGTGCAGTGGCTCATTCCTGTAATCCCAGCACTTTGGGAGGCTGAGGTGGGAGGATTGCTTGAGCCCAGGTGTTCAAGAACAACCTGGAAAACAAAGCGAGACCCCATCTCTACAAAAAAATTAAAAATTAGCCAGGCTTGGAGGTACATGCCTGTAGTCCTAGCTACTTGGGAGACTGAGGTGGGAGGATTGTTTGAGCCAGGAGTTGAAGGCTGCAGTAAGCTATGATCATGCCACTGCATTCCAGCTGGGGCAACAAAGTAAGAACCTGTCTCAAAAAAAAGAAAGAAAAGAAAATATATCTTAGGAAATAATTAGAAATTGCATACTATATTAGAAAATAAGACTTTATATATTAGAAAATCAATGATCTAAGAAACCATCTCAGGAAATTAGAAAAAAGGAAGAGTAAATTAAGGCCAGGCACAGGGACTGACACATGTAACCCCAGCACTTTGGGAGGCTGAGGTGAGTGGATCACTTGAGCCCAGGAGTTCAAGACCAGCCTGGGCAACATAGTAAGACCCCATCTCTACAAAAATTACAAAAAAATTAGCTGGGCGTGGTGGTACGCACCTGTGGTCCCAGCTACTCCAAAGGCTGAGGTGGGAGGATTGCCTGAGCCTGGAAGGTCGAGGCTGCGATGAGCTGTGATTGTGCCACTGCACTCCAGCCTGAGCAACAGAGTGAAACCTTGTCTTTAAAAAAAAAAAAAAAAAAAGTAAAATAAACCCTTGGCCGGGCACGGTGGCCCACGCCTGTAATCCCAGCACTTTGGGAGGCCGAGGCAGGAAGATCACGAGGTCAGGAGATCGAGACCATTCTGGCTAATACAGTGAAACCCTGTCTCTACTAAAAATACAAAAAATTAGCCGGGTGGGGTGGCAGGCACCTATAGTCCCAGCTACTCGGAAGGCTGAGGCAGGAGAATTGCTTGAACCTGGGAGGCGGAGCTTGCAGCAAGCCGAGATTGCACCACTGCACTCCAGCCTGGTGACAGAGCAAGACTCCGTCTCAAAAAAATAAAATAAAATAAATCGAAAGATAGTAGAAGAAAGAAAATAAACAGCAGAAATCAATAAAATAGAAAACACAAATGCATGAGAAAAAGTCAAGAAGATCAGAAGTTATTTCTTTTAAAAGACTAACAATCATTCTCTATTAGCAAGAATGATTAAGGAAGAAAAGAAGTGCCTAGTACATCCCAGACTCTGGCGTGTTCCCTGGGTTAGCCAGACCCGCGCTATGAGGCAGGCATCGTTAGCCCTGTTTCACAGAGCAAGAAGCTGCTTCATAGAGATTCTGTAATCGGCCCAAATTAGTCTACCTAGGAAGTGCTGGGGCTGGATTTAACCCCTCAGTCTCCCAAGACACGTCGATGAGGCCTATTTTATGCTGGGCACTGGGCTGAGCAGTGAGGCCATAGAGGTGCATAAGACGCAGCTTCTGTCCTCAGGGAGCGCCAGCCTGGGAGCTAAGGAGAACCATCATATGTGTCCATCTCTTCCGCATTTACATGGTGCTTTCTTTCTTTCTTTTTTTTTTCTGAGACAGAGCCTCGCTTTGTTGCCCAGGCTGGAATTCAGTGGCGCAATCTCGGCCCACTGCAACCTCTATCTCCCAGGTTCAAGCGATTCTCCTGCCTCAGCCTCCTGAGTAGGTGGGATTACAGGCGCCCACCACCTTGCCCAGCTAATTTTTGTATTTTTAGTAGAGACAGGATTTCATCATGTTGGCCAGGCTGGTCTTGAACTCCTGACTTCAAATGATCCACCCGCCTCGGCCTCCCAAAGTGCTGGGGTTACAGGCATGAGCCACAGCGCCCAGACTACATGGTGCTTTCACAAACATAGTCTCATTGGGAGAGGAAACAGGGCAAAGGAGAAACCTGGGTTTTTCCCTCCAGTCCATGAGGAGGGAACATGTGTATCCCCATCATTCTGTTTTACACATATACAGGCACACTTATATAGATACACTGAATTTTCTTCTCTGCATCTCTATTTCTTCCTGTGTAGAATGCAATTTAGACTGTCATGGTGACTTAAACCTCCCTCATTAGAGGTTTTGGATTTGGGCTTTGCAGCTCACAGTGGAAATGCAAATGGTGTTGGGGTCAGGTGGGGTGTGAGGCCGGGAACTCAGCTGGAATTAGGCCAGTGGGATTCTGAGAGCACCGCCTTAGGACAGGTCAGTTTTGATCTGGATCCAGATTATGTGATCCTAAGACGCACAGCCTGGGAAGCCAGCACTGGGGAAGTGGTGCTGGGGGATGTGGGTCACTGGGGTGAAGGTGGAGCTTTCAGGGTCTCCCGTCAATGCAGCTGAGTTTTCTTTGGCAGGGAATTTACCAGCTGAAGAAAGCCTGCCGGCGAGAGCTACAAACTGAGCAAGGCCAGCTGCTCACACCCGAGGAGGTCGTGGACAGGATCTTCCTCCTGGTGGATGAGAATGGAGATGGTAAGAGGGGCAGAGATGGGGAGAGTGCTGTCCACTCTGCATCATCGCCACTTTCTGGCCGCACGTCCTTGGGCAAGGCCCTCCACCTTCCAACCCTGGGGTCCTCATCTGTGAGAAGGCTGTGGAGAAGATGTCATGAACTAACAAAGGGACTCATGAGCACGTGTTTGTAGGAGTGACTAAAAGTCCTACAGGAGTTGCTGATGGAGGCCAGGCACGCAGAATAGAAAGAATAGGAACTTTGGAGTCAGGCAGGGAGTGATATATTGAGCTTCTCGTCCTAGTCTCAATTTCCTCATCTGGAAAATGGGGATAATAATAGTGGTTGAGAGGAATGAATAGGATAATGTGTTTAAGAGCAGGCATAGGGTAGACCTCCATTCAGGCTGCTTGGGCTTTCCTCCCTGTAGCCCAAAGCCCAGCCTCAGGGCTATGTGGGGAGAGAGCTGGCTTGGAATACACACTTGAGCCCTCCAGCTCTCTCAGCTCCACCCAGCATTTCCGTGGTACCATGCGCAAAAGTAAAACTTCAATTCATCAGCAAAGAAAGCCCCTTAAAGGTGGCAGGAGACTCCTGGAGATTCAGACACCTGACAAGCCGCAAGCTTGAGGTCTGAGACTGCAGGATAGTTGGCATAAGACGTGTAGGCGCATCCTGGGAGCGAGGTCTCTCCTCCTGCCCCCAGACCCAGGTCTCCCCTTCTTCTACATGACCACCTCTCCTCCCCCTTGCTCAGGCCAGCTGTCTCTGAACGAGTTTGTTGAAGGTGCCCGTCGGGACAAGTGGGTGATGAAGATGCTGCAGATGGACATGAATCCCAGCAGCTGGCTCGCTCAGCAGAGACGGAAAAGTGCCATGTTCTGAGGAGTCTGGGGCCCCTCCACGACTCCAGGCTCACCCAGGTTTCCAGGGTAGTAGGAGGGTCCCTGGCTCAGCCTGCTCATGCCCACTCTTCCCCTGGTGTTGACTTCCTGGCACCCCCTGTGCAGGGCTGAGTGGGGATGGGGAAGGGCTGCTGGGTTTGAAGTGGCCAACAGGGCATAGTCCATTTTGGAGGAGTCCCTGGGATGGTGAAGGGAATTCAGTTACTTTTCCTGTTCAGCCGCTCCTGGGAGGACTGTGCCTTGGCTGGGTGGTTGTGGGGCTCCCACAGTTTCTGGGTGTTCTCAGTTGGAAGCAAGAGCCAACTGAGGGGTGAGGGTCCCACAGACCAAATCAGAAATGAGAACACAAAGACTGGTAGGAGGCAGGGGTGGGAGGGTGTTGAGACTGAAGAAAAGGCAGGAGTTGCCGGGCACGGTGGCTCACGCCTGTAATCCCAGCACTTTGGGAGGCCGAGGCGGGCAGATCACGAGGTCAGGAGATCGAGACCATCCTGGCTAACACGGGGTGAAACCCCGTCTCTACTAAAAATACAAAAAATCAGCCGGGTGAGGTGGCGGGCGCCTGTAGTCCCAGCTACTCAGGAGGCTGAGGCAAGAGAATGGCGTGAACCCCAGGGGGCCGAGCCTACAGTGAGCCGAGATTGCGCCACTGCACTCCAGCCTGGACGACAGTGAGACTCCGTCTCAAAAAAAAAAAAAGAAAGAAAAGAAAAGGCAGGAGTTTTGGGGGGCAGGGGGCAGCAATAATTCTATAACTTCCGGGATGCTGAGGGGCGTTCATGGGGAGGACCCTGGCCTCCTCCTCCCCAAGGCATCCTCACCAGTGGTGTCAACAGGAAAAATGGCAGCAAATACGCTGCAGGCTGTGGTCTTTCTGCCTTTGAAAGGGTCAGCTGTACTTAAAGGGACTGTTTCAGCTCTGCCTGGGTGCTGCTCTGGGACCCCCTGCTGCCAACCCACCACTCCCCCAACAATCCTCTCTTTCCATCCATATCCCCCAGTATGGACCTTCCACAACTCCCAGCCATAAGCTGAATGTTTCTCTTTAAAGGATGGAGAAAACTTCTGTCTGTCTCTGGCAAGAATTGGGGGACTGTTGACTGGGATTGTGGGCTGGGCTTGGCTTCTAACTGCTGTGTGACCCAAGACAGCCACTTCTCCTCCCTAACCTTGGTTATGTCTTGGCAGCACAGTGAGCAGGTCGGACTAGGCGAACAGTTTTGGATTATTGTGTTTTTAGATGTGGAATTATTTTTTGTTATATAAACTCTTATGTGTAACCCCAATATAGAAACTAGATTAAAAGGGAGTCTCTCTGGTTGAAAGGGGAGCTGAGTACCCTCTGGAACTGGAGGCACCTCTGAAAAAAGCAAACTGAAAACCAGTGCCCTGGGTCACTGTTACTCCTATAAGACAGTTTAAAGTGAGACCTGGAAAAACATTTGCTTTACCTTGAATAGATAGGTTTTTATGTTGGTATATAAGAAATAAAACTAACCTATTAAACCTGAGACTTTACAGGTGTGTTATTTCATATGATAGTCATATAAAATTTCCTTTAGACATCAATTTTAGGTAAAAAATAATTGATTAGAAAAATATTGGCCAGGTGCAGCAGCTCACACCTGCAATCCCAGGACTTTGGGAGGCCGAGGCGGGTGGATCACCTGAGGTCAGGGGTTCAAGACCAGCCTGACCAACATGGTGAAACCCCATCTCTACTAAAAATACAAAAAAAAAAAATTAGCTGGGTGCGGTGGCAGGCGCCTGTAATCCCAGCTCCTTGGGAGGCAGAGGCAGGAAAATCACTTGAACCTGGGAGCTGGAGGTTGCAGTGAGCCGAAATCGTGCCATTGCACTCCAACCTGGGTAACAAGTATGAAATTCCATCAAAAAAAGAGAAAGAAGGAGAGAAAGAGAAGAAAGAAAGAGAGAGAGGAAGGAAGGAAGGAAGGAAGGAAGGAAGCCAGGAGGCCAGGTGCGGTGGCTCACGCCTATAATCCCAGCACTTTGGGAGGACAAGGCAGGCGGATCACCTGAGGTCGGGAGTTTGAGACCAGCCTGACCAACTTGGTGAAATCCCGTCTCTACTAAAGCTACAAAATGAGCCAGGTGTGGTGGCATGCGCCTATAATCCCAGCTACTCGGGAGGCTGAGGCAGGAGAATCACTTGAACCCAGGAGGCAGAGGTGGCAGTGAGCCAAGATTGTGCCATTGCACTCCAGCTTGGGCAACAAGAGTGAAACTCCATCTCCAAAAAAAAAAAACTACATATATATACGTATATATACATACATACATATGTATGTATATATACATATATACACACACACACACACACACACACACACACACATCCAGGTGGGACACAGATGTGCCCCAAATCATGAAGAAGGTATGTGAATGACATCGAGGGATGTCCTAATTACATGCAGACACCTTCCCAACTCTGACCTTCAGGATTTCCCGACAGGCAGCCAGCCAAAGGAGCAGAAATGTCAACTCCCTTTTTCTTCCTGGCTGCGCACGGCACCAACCTCTACCTTCCCTCCATGTCTGTCACTCAGTCCCTGGCTGACTTCCTTGTCTGGGGAGGTCCAAGTGATAGACAGGACATGAGCAAAATGCACCCCCTCATCCGCCCAGTGGGGCACTCTCTGACTTGGTATTTTACTTATTTTTCCCCTCATTTTCTCCCTCCCACTTCTGAATGTATGTATGTATTTATTTATTTATTGGAGACAGGATCTGGCTCTGTCACCCAGGCTGGAGTGCAGTGGTGCAATCTCGGCTCACTGCAACCTCCGCCTCCCAGGCTCAAGCGATCCTCCCACCTCAGCCTCCTGAGTAGCTGGGACCACAGGTGCATACCACCATGCCCTGCTACTTTTTCTATTTTTTGTAGAGACAGGGTTTCACCATGTTGGGCAGGCTGGTCACGAATTTCTGAACTCAGGTGATCCGCCTACCTCAGCACCCATCCCAAAGTGCTGGGATTATAGGTGTAAGCCACCACACCTGGCTTCCACTCCTGAATTTTCATTTACTCCCCACACCTCCCCCACACCCAGCTGAAGTGAAGACTCAAAGCCCAGAAGAAAGAGCATCTTTGAAAAAATGGTCACAACTGCTCCAGCCTGTGTGTTTCCCCAGGTTCCTGTAGCAACCAGGTAGCTGTAATTCAGGGACAGAGCCAAGAAAACCTGCCTTGGACAGGTAGATCTCTGAGTTGGGTATTCCTTTTTTTTTTTTTTTTTTTTGAGACAGAGTCGCTCTGTCGCCTGGGCTGGAGTGCAGTGGCGTGATCTCAGCTCAGTGCAAGCTCCACCTCCTGGGTTCACGTCATTCTCCTGCCTCAGCCTCCCGAGCAGCTGGGACCACAGGTGCTCGCCACCACACCTGGCTAATTTTTTTGTATTTTTAGTAGAGACGGGGTTTCACCGTGCTTGCCAGGATGGTCTTGAACTCCTGACCTTGTGATCTGCCCACCTCGGCCTCCCAAAGTGCTGGGATTACAGGCGTGAGCCACCGCGCCCGGCCTGAGTTGGGTATTCTTAAAGCTGAGATGTGCAAAGATGCGGA